>NC_000014.9:32338985-32642016 GCF_000001405.40 Homo sapiens
ATTTATACTGTGTCAAGCATATATATTATTTCATTTAATTTCCTGTCTCTGCTTAAATTTTGTTCATAACACTTATCACCTTCTGCAAACTAAACATTTTACTTGTTTGTTTGTTTCTCCCTGGTATAATATAACTTGTATAAGGGCAGAGATTTTTGTCTATTTTGTTCATTGATGTTTCCTTAGCTCCCAGAATAGTGCCTGGCATATGGTAGGTGCTCAATAAACATTTGTTACGAGAGTAAATGAATCCACATAACCCTGTGAGAGGAGGCCACATGATTGTATTCAGTAATAAAAAATTAACTCTCTTTTGCAGTGGTCCTTTTCAAGGTATAAACACCCTTGAGTTATTCTTGCTATTCCAGATAGCATGCCAAGAAATTCTTGTGGCTGATGGTTAGGGTATCATGTACCATCCAATTATTCTAAATTCTTCTATTGGAAGCAGGGATATTGCCTGGGAAGCTCTGATGTCCTCCTCTCTAAAGGGTTTCTATGAGGAAGCTGGGGTTTCACAGGTCATTTGAAAGATACATTGATTCTTTTACTGGTGGTTGTCTCTTCCTTTCTCTCTTTAGTGAATTTGGGTCCCCTTCAGGAACAGGGTTATTTATTCTCCTTTAAATCATGAATCCCCAGCTGTAAATCTCAGATTGATGGATTGGTGGAATTTGAAAGACTCTTTGATGAAAGTTTCAGATAGGGAGAGTGATAAGCCATGACAGTCAGCCCTTCTCTGTTGCTATTAAAAATGCTCTAATGAGAAATAGAGCAAAGCACAGGAACACAATGATACAGTTGTTTCATGAAGAACATACAGCTTCATAAATGAAGGAATAATTAAGAGAGCCTAATTCTATACTTATTTTGAATTAGATTCAAAACAATCTTTGAAGTGGATATCTGCAGCTGAATTTTGTACCAAAGGCATATTCTAAATGTCATACTTTTGAACTGAGTATTTATTTCTCAGGGAGCAGGTGTTAGGGTTTTTTTTTTTTCCTTGAAATTCAAACCATTTTGACAGTATCCTATTTTTAGAATGCCTTTTTCTTTAAAAAGACAAGCAATATCCAAAAGCAGTAGAAAGACATCTTGGGAGAAGGCAGTGTTCTGGTTATACCATAATCATAACAAGCTGAATAAGAAAAAGTAATGCTGTTAAAATTTAAAACTCAGTGTTTTTATTTTATGATAATAAAACATATTTGTTTTTATTAAATGTTATTTAATATATTAAATAAAACATATTTAATATACTTTCAACAACCTTATGCTACAAAATAAAAATTATACCTCATGAAAATTTTCTTGCATCTGCAATATATGGCATGGTCAGTTGCAATGTACAAATACATTACTGTGTTCAAATAGCATGTTATTCTAATCTATTTCAGAGAGCACTGGACTGGGAGTAAGGCACCTGAATTTTTAGTCCCTGCTGACATACTCTTCCTGAATCTTGGTTTCCTCCACAGTAAAACAAAAGGGTAAAATTTAAATGATTTTTGTTTCCTGATAGCTCTAGTATTTTATGCCTCATTTACAGGGTTCTCCATATTTCTCCATTGTTTGTTTAGTCTTAGGATTTTCCAAAAATCTGTTCCACAGAGTATTTTAAATTTCCTTAGTGTGCTCATGTACCTGAAAACATATTTTAATTTATTATCTTAGTTCATTTGGAGTGCTATAACAAAATACCATAAACTGGGTTGCTTGTAAACAACAGAAATTTATTTCTCACAGTTCCGGAAGCTGGGAAGTCCAAGGTCAAGGTACCAAAGATTTGGTGTCAGGTGAGTCCACTTTCTGGTTCACAGCTGGTACCTTCTAGCTGTGTGCTCACATAATGGAAGGGATAAAGAGTCTCTCTTGGGCCTCTTTTATTAGGGCACTAACCCCATTCATGAGGGTTCCACCCTATGATCTAATCACTTCCCAAAGGCCCTGCCTCCTAATATCATCACCTTGGGGGTTAGGATTTTAACATATAAATTTTGGGAACGCAAAACATTCAGACAATAGTATTTATATACCATTTATATTTCACACTTGTGTGTTTTATTAGCTTATATTTCATAATACTTTTGGTGGTCAACCTAAAGTCAACACATAAAGTTTCGCTTAAACTAACAAGCTATTATCTTTCACAAGAAAATTTTTTTAGAGTTTCCTTATCTTGCAAATTTGTGTTTCTATTTGTTTTTTCTCTTTTTAGCCACAACATATTTTTGCTGTTAATGAGTTGGGTGAAGTATTTGGTTCCCCTCTACCCTTCCTATTGGGTATAGAATTTCTTTAGAAATTTACACTGCTGCTGTAGACATTCACATAAAATATAAGTGAAAGTGCTGTTGTTAGGTCAAACGGTATGGAATTTCCATTGTTGTTGTCAAAAAATGGCCAAATATTAACAGTTTCATGATACTTTGATAACAGTTTCCAATAATTTGTTCATTATCATAGCAATGTTAGTCTTTACTATTTTTATAACTCAGTGATGAGAGCCAGTCCCTAAATGAACTAGTGAAGTAGTGCAAAGAGCACACAGGGTCCTTGGTGAAAGATAGATTGGGGATTGAATTCTGCTTCTATACTGCCAACATTGTGACCATGGGCAAGTTGCTGAGTTTTGTTGAGCTTCAGTGTCCTTGTTTGTAAAATAAAAATGATAATGCCTGCCTCTCAAGCTTGCTGAGAAGAATGCCCCTGGCTCCCAGAATAATGTTTTATTTTGTCTAAAATGACTCTCAGGCTGGATGTGGTGGCTCAGGCCTGGCCATCATTTTAGGGAAGCTCAGGAGGGAGGATTGTTTGAGTACAGGAGTTCGAGACCAGCCTGAGCAAAAAAGTCCCTAAAAAACAAGTAAAAAATTAGATGGGCGTAGTGGTGTACAACTGTAATTCCAGCTACTAGGGAGGCTGAGGCAAGAAGATTGCTTGAGCCCAGGTGTCTGAGGCTACAATGAGCTGTGATCATGTCACTGCACTCTATCCTGGGTGACAGAGCAAGTCCCTGTCTCTGAAAATAAATACATAAATAAAATAACTCTCTTGAGTCCATGAGTCTGGTACCAGACTGGAAGGGACAAATCTTTGAGTCTCTACCTTTTCTCTGGATGATCTATGCTTGTTGATGGCTTCTTCTATTTCCATGTGCTGATGACTCATAAATTCAGATTTCTAGCCTCTGATTATTTTCTCCCAGATTCAGACTTGTATTTCTCCTGCTTTCTGTATGTCTTTTCCTGAATCTTCCACAGGCACTTTTCACTTAGCACACCTGAAATGATCTCATCCTTTCTGAACTTCCTGTCTGGAATTAAGAATTGTCTTCAGTCCCTGCCCTTAGGGTGGAGACTGGGAGTCATCCTAAGCCCTCTCTTCCATGTCTACCCTCACCTAAGTCCTGTTGAGTCACCAAGTTCTGTTTTGTTTCTAAGTGACTGGGATTTGGTAAAAATGAGCTTAAGATCACCCCATATAATTTTTGATTGTGTGATAGATCTAGGTCATGCTCTTCTACTTCCTGCCTTCCCTTTCTCTAAACCATACAACTGATATTATTAGACATTTTCTCATGAAGCCCCTCCTATCTCCATGATCTTTCTGCTGCTCTTTGAACCTTTTCCAGCTTTGTTAAAGCCCATGTCTAGGACAGCCTCAAGTATCCAGTGTAGCTAGTGCACTGTGGTAAAGAGAGGAAGAAAATGCAGTGTCAGCGCTGGATGGAGACTCTACTGAACAAGAGATGTGTTATCCTAGACAGAAAGGGTTTGTTATTTTTTTTTAATTTTGAAATAAAATTCTGTCTGATCGGAGAATTCTCCAAATTGATATGTAAAGTTACTACATCCTAATTCAAGGGGATTACATAGTGCTGACTTCAGTACCAGAATGTATTTCTTTTTTGCACAATTATCATTTGTCTTTGGAATTAATTCCAGTAGGCAGGAGCCAGTTTTAACTCCATGGCCTACAACCCTGGCATTGTTATGCACACTAATGTTCACAATAGAACAAAACAGCAACCTTTTTTCCCGTTGAGAATTTAAAAGACCTTTTTTCCCCTTGACGATTTTCCCATGAGGAAGGCAGATAGGATGTTGGTAAGCTTGGGCTTGGGGCCAGTTAGATCTTCTGGGTTCAAATCTCAGTCCCACCCCCACTAGCTCTGTGCCCAGGGAAACTTGCCTAACCTTTCTGGGTCCTATTTTCTTCACGGTACCTTCCTTGTCAAGTATACCTTCCTTGTCAAGACTTAGAAACAACGTGTGTAAAGCACCTAGCAGAGTGCCTAGGATACAGGAGGTGCTCTGGAGTGGTTAGTGGAGACCCAGATTATTCAGAATGTAAGCAGAGGGCTAACTGGTGGTCAGCCTGCCTTGCCCTGGTTTTAGGAGAGTTTCTGTTCCAATTCCAGACCTGTGGCATATCGGTGGTCAAGTAAGTCTTGTACCATAATCTACTCCAGCTGCCCTGCTTCCTCCTTAAATTAGACAGGAACCCCAGCACTTTGGGAGGCCGAGGTGGGTGGATCACGAGGTCAGGAGATCGAGACCATCCTGGCTAACACCGTGAAACCCCATCTCTACTAAAAATACAAAAAATTAGCCAGGCATGATGGCAGGCGCCTGTAGTCCCAGCTACTCGGGAGGCTGAGGCAGGAGAATGGCGTGAACCCGGAAGGAGGAGCTTGCAGTGAGCCGAGATTGTGCCATGCACTCCAGCCTGAGCAACAGAGCAAGATTCCGTCTCAAAAAAAAAAAAAAAAAAAAAAAAAAGAAATTAGGAACAACTGTATCAACTGTAAAGAACTGGGGAGACTAGCAGTATCTCTGCTTGGCCCATGCTTCACACCCCATTAAAACCCCAGTTTCTTCTTACAACCTTTGCCTTTTCTCTAGCTCTCTGTGGTCATAACGTTCTCTGAATTCCTAAAGCAATAATGCTTTTTATCATGATTTACTACTTGTTCATATACTCTGAGGTTGTTTCACATGTGTAAGTCTGTCTCCTCAAGCAATTGGAAGCACCTCTGGCAAAAACTCTGGCTGTTGTATTCCCCAAGGAGCTGGCCCCTGTGCGAAACTGGGGACAGGTGCAGTTTGACCTACTCTCCCTGTGTTCCCAGTCCCTTTTGCTACTCATGGATGTCTAGAAGCTCTTTCTGGAGCCTGCCATCAGGCATTGCCCAAGGCCATGTCCCATGATCCATCCATACAGTGTTGTCATCATTCTAGCTGTGATGTTCTGGGAGCTGTCCAGACAAGTAGTGATTATAAGACCAAGAGATTCTTGCAGTGTCCTGAATATAACACCAATCCAACATGCATTGATCTAATGCCTACATAGTGGCATGATTGTGCCATGATTGTGCAGAACATACGTAGCTGAGCAAGATAATGGGGAGTCAGAGAAATTATAAAACCACCTAATTAGTCCCAGTAAATACAAAGAGCTATGGGAAGGTCGATGAGGGTGCAGTTAATTCAGTCAGGGTTCAGGGTCTAAACAGGAAGTAAAATCTGACCTGAGCCTTGAGGAGTGACTGAGGATTTCAGCTGGGTATAGATAAGGGCATTCCTGAGTATGGGTGACCACTGTGTTAAGCAAGTGGAGTATAAGAGTATATACATAAGGAGGCCTGGACGCAGTGGCTCACACATGTAATCCCAGCACTTTGGGAGGCCGAGGCAGTCAGATCACTTGAAGTCAGGAGTTTGAGACCAGCCTTGCCAACATGGCGAAACCCCGTCTCTACTAAAAATACAAAAATTAGCTGGGTGTGGTGGCATACCCCTGTAATCCCAGCTACTCAGGAGGCTGAGGCATGGGAATCTCTTGAACCTGGGAGGCGGAGGTTGCAGTGAGCCGAGATAGCACCACTACACTCCAGCCTGGGCAACAGAGTGAGACTCTGTCTTAAAAAAAAAAAAAAAAAAAAAAGAGAGAGAGTATATATAAGCAGAATGATGGTATAGAGAGTACGTGTTTAGGATGAGGCTCAGAGAGGAGGCTTGGATGGGATTTGGAAGGGCATGTCAAAAAATGGCTGTGTAAAATGAATATTTATATATCAAATTTTGTTTTTTCTATGCTTCCTTTCTAATTTGGGGAAATGTTTTCATAGAAGGGATTTTAGGGCCAATGAATATTAAAATTCATAGTTAAAACACAAGGTTGTCAAGGGAAATTCCATATTTTAAAATGTGCATTTACTTCTCTAATACCGATTCAGTTCACACAGTCTATCACATACACAGGTGTTAAAATGCTGTATCTAGTTAACTTCACATTTTTCCCACAGGTATTGAATGTGTAAGCAGACACAGGGGTAACTCTCAAGGAACAAAATTGCCTGAAGGCTTTTCCACAGGTACAGGTAAAAATTGCCTTGGAAATGATTACATGACTTAGCAATGAGGGGTTAGTATTTCTTTAGGCTGTCAGCTGTGATGTAGCCAGTAGCATCTGAGCTTGAATTATCTCCATCACTGAGCCTCAGACATGTTTGGGCATGTCTGCTGAATGTCTGCCCTGTATCTGTGATGAGTTGGTGGTCTGTCCCATCAGTGTATTGATACTAGAGTCAAAAGCGGTTCCTAGAGAGAAAGTATCCTAAGAAAGGTGGAGTCAGCCACAGTAAGCTCTGATCACCAGAGGGTGGAGTGATTCTGATGTCAGTTTCTATGTGGGTCATGAGGAAGTGTCCTGTCTCAGCCATTCCCTGGACTCTGGCCTGAGTCCTAGAAAAGCTGGGGAGGGGTGAGTGGGCTGAATGTAAGAGCTCTTCCACTAAAGAATCTGTATGTCATTTGAGCACAAGACCACTGCTGCAATAGCCCTCAGGAGAGTATATTGTATAAGAGGGAGAAAGGCATATTTCCCTCTATCCACAGATGCTTGAAGCCAGAGGTTTCCAAACTGTTTTGATTGACATATTTATCTGTTAAAAAATGTCTGAGCTCTCTCATGTATTAATGTCTTACATATTTTACAAAACATATAGAAGTAAAAATCTGAAAGGTTAAAATAAAAATTAAACAGAAGTTCTAATATTTTCATCACACCCCAAAGGTTTGCCTTGCATCCCCCTTTATGATGAGTCCCCCATCATGAAGACCACTACTCTAGAGCATTAGTGGGAGGGGCCTGGCAGTGCCCAGAAATAACAGCTCTTCCTGGTAAAGGTGCCCATGATGCAGTGAGTGTGCATACATGTGAAATTCATGCTGGAGCTTCATGAGATTCTACTTAGGGCCCTGTTTTCAGGGAGCTAAGACTCTGATAAGGAGGTTAAAATAAAGATGGAGAGAAATGTAGCACATTACCAAAAATGTTACTCCATTTGAACTTCCAGGCTGGTGAGCCATGGAGGAACTTGAGTTGTACAAATTAAACATCTTTCTGAGACAGTATGTTTGTATTGCATTTTAGAATTTACCAAGCACTTTCACTTGTAACTTCCCAAAAACTCTGTGGGATATGAAGGATGGAAATTGAGAATGTCTTGTTTTATTTTATTTATTTTTTTTGAGACGAAGTCTCGCTCTTTCACCCAGGCCGAACTGCGGTGGTGCTATCTTGGCTCACTGAAAGCTCCGCCTCCCGGGTTCACGCCATTCTCCTGCCTCAGCCTCCCGAGTAGCTGGGACTACAGGGGCCCGCCACCGCGCCTGGCTAATTTTTTGTATTTTTAGTAGAGACGGGGTTTCACCATGTTAGCCAGGATGGTCTCGATCTCCTGACCTTGTGATCCACCCACCTCGGCCTCCCAAAGTGCTGGGATTACAGGCGTGAGCCACCGCACCCAGCCAGAAATTGAGAATTTCTTTAAGCCAATTTGGTTACACTCAGATTTCAGCTTCATTTTGGAAATCACAGTAACCACCCAAAAAGTTTGGGGTGGTGATAGTTACTTCTTCTATAGGCTTGATACCAAGCTGTAATGAATTCAAGCCTTAGACCAAAATATCATATAGAGATATTTATTAGACTAGCATTAATTTGCAAAGCAGGCACAAAATATTTCATACAGTCTGTTTGATAGATTGATGAACTCTCAGCTCTATTTTGTTTTAGGTGCTCTAACTATATATTAAGTAAAAAATAAAAAGTAAAAGCTTTGCTCTATTTAGGATTCTGCATCCTTTGTATGTAAATCAGAAATCCTTTTAAATCAATGGTTGGAGACAAGGACAGATTAGGGATTAAGTCTCAGGCAACATCACTCAAGGGTACAAAGTTGAGGCATCAGAGAAGTCTTGCCCTTTTTTCTTACACATGTTTCTAAATTATTTTAGCTAACCCATATGTCTTGAATACGTTTAATTTCACCAGGTAAAACCCATTTCTAAACTTTCAGCTTGCTAAATGGTAATGGTTATTGACTGAAGTAGGAGTGAGTCCATCCCCTTTCTGATGTATTGTTGCCTGACACACACACCCACTTTCGGACTGTACATTTCAGGCATTGCTTTAGCTGACTTTGCCTAGAAATGAAACTTAAATTAATTGTCACATATATCAAACCAATTAGAATGAAGTATTTAAAAATAAATTACAGAGCTTGTAACATTGGATTATCATTTTACAGACACTGAAGCTTATGATCTATGATTTGCCTAAAGTTTTTCAATTTGTGAGTGGGGATAAGACACTGAACCCAAATGTAAATGACTCTCAATTCCATGCTGTCTTTGTAATACCAATGCCCCTGACTATATGGTCACTTCCAATGCTGACCTCTTGGGATTGAGGCACTCTGGCCCTTGGCCACTTTTTAAAAAGCCTAAAGTTTAATTAATAGTAATAGTCCAACGTTAAAAAGTAAGGAATCTGTGTCTTCTGTTGACCTGGTTCCTCCTGTAATTCTTCCTGAGGGGAGGAAAGACAGTATGTATCAGATTTATGAGGCTTTGCTTAGATTTTCCAAAGGTAACTTCAGTTGCTTTAGTTCTTATAACTCTTTTCCTCAAGGAAATCGGGATACATTTTCTAGGCCCTGAGGGACATTTGTGTGTAGCCACATGGACCCTGAAGGCCATGACCCAAGGGCAGGGGCTGCTGTGGATAGTAAGATACAGATGAAGTGCTGGGCAGGTCAAGAACCTGGAAGACACAGCTGGGTGGGACCATGCCAGGAGCAAAAGTGAGAAGTTCAAGGTGGGCCAGACCAGAAATATGCTAGACAGGTACCATGGGATTTTAGAGGTTCCAGCCTATGGCAGGGATCACCTGGCCTTGCCCAGAAGAATGTAGGTTTTAGGATAGAGCAAGAATAACCAGTGTAAAATTAGCACATTTTAAGATACTGGGCGTAAAAAGCAGGAATCCCAAACTGAGAATGTTTAGTAAGAAGAATGTGGATACTGAAGAACTCAAAAGACTTTTGTCTGAATGGGGTTCTTTCTTTTCTTTTGTTTCTTTTTTTTTTTTTTTTTTAAGAGTTTTGCTCTTGTTGCCCAGGCTAAAGTGCAATGACACAATCCCAGCCCACTGCAACCTCTGCCTCCTGAGTTCAAGTGATTCTCCTGCCTCAGCCTCCTGAGTAGCTGGGATTACAGGCGTGCTCCACCACGCATGCTAATTTTGTATTTTTAGTAGAGACGGAGTTTCACCATGTTGGTCAGGCTGGTCTTGAACTCCTGATCTCAAATGATCCACCCATGTTGGCCTCCCAAAGTGCTGGGATTATAGGCATGAGCCACCGTGCCCAGCCCCATTGTGTTTCTTTTGCAGTGCTTTTGCCCTGGACCCTCTAGGCTTCTGATACATGCTAAACCAGGGTGCTTTTTCCACATTGCTCCCCACCCAACACTCTGCAGGGCCCAGATAACTCCCTGAGAGGTGCCAAGTGGCCCTAAATTTTTTACTTATTCCTATTCTTGTGTGCTGAGGCCAGCCTGTGAGTCCCAGGGTCCTTTTCACAGATCTCTCAGTACTCCCATCTGGTTCCTATACCGTGGGATTCCCGGCAGCCCCTCTAACCAGACAGAGTGCTTGAGGTAGAGGCACCATTTAAATCACCCTCTAGGACCTTTGTTACTGGTTTATAATTCATAAAAGAGATTCTCTAGTACTTATTACTCAATAAGAACAATGACATTGGTGTTTGACGTACAGGATTTGTTTAAAGGGGCATTTTATAGATCTGTAGGGCAATGGCCATTTCCAAAGCAATGACATTGTAGTATTTCAAAACAAAAGCTATTTTGGACAGGAATTCAAAACTGAACTCTGTAGATCCAAAGAGAGTTTGACTTGTGTATAGGAGTTTTTTTTCTTTTCTTTTTAGTGCCTTTCAAAACATTTCATTTAAACTTAAAAACTAAAAGATCACAAGAGATGTTTTCCACAAAGCTCTTTTGATTTCATTGTTCTGCATAGATGCTTGGAAAGGAGGGAAAATGTTTTATGGTGAAAGAATGCAGACTTCCGGTCCAGAGGATGGAGAGCGTCTATTTCTTGGCCTTCTGTGGTCCTTAGCCTCAGAAATATAGAAAGAAATATAGAAAGATCTGTGGACATGTCAGGGCTTGATGCAGTGAGTAATAGGATACAATTTTGGATTAGCAGCTGGAAATTCCAAATTTATTACAAATGTGCATAAAAATAATAACAATGATGGATTCTTTCATTTATTGAGTGATTACTATGTGTCAGGCTCTGTGTTAGGAAGTGCTCGATATACACTAACTCGAAGCTTCAACAAACTTTGAGGGTAGTTGAAGGAACACATTAATGCCCAGACCTTGGTGCTATACACCATTCATCAATAAAAGGAATCAGGGCTCCTTCAAGTAATGGCTAATACTAGGGGCAGGGAAACATTTTAGATGTGTGTTAGTGAGTATCATGTAGTTCAAGAATGTAAGGAAATGTTCAAAAAACAAAAGGATGGAGCTGTTGAAGAGACATAGGAGCCAAGCTGAAAGAGCTTCTACTGGCCACACCTAATAAATAATGTAGTATTGAGTTAAAATATAAAATAAATATACATGAGTGTATACTAATATAAATGAATAATTGAATAAATAGATAAACAGGAGAAGAGATAGATCTTTCTTACAGAAACTTCCAAATAATATGTGTAAATACTCCCATTTCTAGGAGGAAGAGTTTAAGCCACTCCTGAGGGTGGGCTAGACTTAGTGACTTGCTCTCAGAAAACAGGATATGAAAGTGAACAATAGTAGCTTTACAGTAGTGAAACCTGGTAAGTATAACCCTAACCAAGTGATGAAGGTTGATGTCACCATTGATGTTGTGTGGATATTGTATACCCCTAATGTGATGTGGTGAGAAGAGTACTACTTCACCTCCATGGTATTCTTCTCAAATATCCATAATTCATTTTAATTATCAGAAAATTATCAGATAAACCGAGACTGGGGACATTCTAGGGATACTTGGCCTGTATTCCTCCAGACTATCAAGGTCATGAGAAACAAGGAAAGCCTAAAAGGCTATTATAGACCAGAGGAGACTAAGGACATATGACAACTAAATGTGATGTGGTACTCAAGATTAGGTCCTGGGACTGCAAGAGGACATTAATGAAAAAACTGGTGAAATACAAATAAAGTCTGGAGTTTAATTAATAGTTCTGTACTAAGATCAGTTTTATACTTTTTACATATGTACCTTGATAACATGAGATGTTAACAATGGAGGAAACAGGGTGAGAGGTATGGGAACTCTCTGTACTATCTTTGCAGCTTTTCTCTAAATATAAAATTATAACAAAATAAAAAATGTATTAAATGAATAAGTAAATAAATATATATATGTATAAATAGTTGAAGATTTAACAGGGTAATACAGATTTATTTTTTAAAAATCAGAGGATGGTAGGATGAGAAGTAGAACTTCTCTGAGTAGGAACTCCAAGCCTACCCCATTCTAATAGCACAGGTAAATAGCTTAACAATTTGGCATATGTTTTCCCAGATATTTTCTATGATGTGTAGGTACATATTTTAAATCTGGAACCCTGCTTTTCATTCTGTCCTATGGCTTATTTTTTTTGTCTACTAAACCCGGAATCTCGAACTTGGTTTTCAGACAGAATATAGTGATTTTCCAGATGATTTTTAAATGTTTGAGAGAGAATATTGCTTCCACAAAGGTATCAAACTGTCGAGTCTACATCTTACTTTATTTTTAAGCATTTTAGATATATATCTTATAGACATTAAATAGTTTTTCATTTCTTCTAACCTAGAGGTCTAAAAGAATCATTTAGGTGTTCCTAAATTTGTGTTATATTAGTCAAAATTATTACCTGGGCCAGGCATGGTGGCTCATGCCTGTAATCCCAGCACTTTGGGAGGCTGAGGCAGGTGGATCACCCGAGGTCGGGAGTTCCAGGCCAGCCTGGCCAACATGGCGAAAGCCCATCTCTATGACAAATACAAAATTAGCCAGGTGTGGTGGCACACACCTGTAGTCCCAGCTATTTGGGAGACTGAGGCAGGAGAATCGCTTGAACCCTGGAGGCAGAGGCTGTAGTGAGTCGAGATTGCACACCACTGCACAGCCTGGATGAGACAGAGCAAGACTTCATCTCAAAAAAAAAAAAAACAAAAACATTATTACCTGCTGTGCTCTAAACATTTGGAATGGTAGATTTTTAGTAAAGACTAAGAAAAGAAATGTATTAATCTTTAAATACATAGAATTATGAAAGATGTTGCTGGTTGATCTTTGTTGATGAATGCTAGCTAGCCGAAGTTGTTAGTGATAGAAATTGAATATATATGTGTGTGTATGTATATGTTTATATATACATACACAATTATATCTATAAAATTTAAAAGCATTCCTTTGCTCTGGCTCAGACAGGATAAGAATGGTAACCACTGATTATCTGATCTCAGATCCAAATAAATTACTAATCTAATTTATTTGGATTAACAGGTTTTCTTTATTTTTTCATTTCTCCTTGTAACAGGCAGAGCTGTGATTTGAACTTGGGTTTGTCTCCAGTACTCCCATGCCTGCTGGATAGCCCTGATGTAGAAGCTATAGAGAGTTTCACAGCTGTGGGCACTGCTTTTGTGTAGTCTTGGGAGACCCTGTGTGTGTGTGTGTGTGTGTGTGTGTGTGTTTGTGTGTGTGTGTGTGTGTGTGTGTGTGTGTGAAGGGGGTGGGTGTCTAGGCCCTTTCTCCTATCATAGCCAGTTCTCTCTCATTCCTAGCCCAGATTGTAACAGTCTTTCATTGGTTAGCTTCACTGTGCCTTTCCCAACCTCCCATTTCTTTTTTTTTTTGGTTTTATTTTATTTTTAATTGATACAATAATTATACATATTTGGGGGGTACAGTGTGATGTTTCCGTACAAGTATGTATTTTGTACTGTTTAAATCAGGGTATTTAAGGCATCCATCATCTCAAACATTTATCATTTCCTTGTGGTGAGTGCATTCAAAATCCTTTCTTCTAGTTATTATGAGATATACAAGATTGTTAACTAGTCACTGTACTGTGCAATAGAATACCAGAACTTATTCCTTTTATGTAACTGTGATTTTATACCCCTTGACCAATCTCCCTCCATCTCTCCCTCCCTCTCTCTGTCCTCAGCCTTTGGTAATCACCATTCTATGCTGTACTTCTATGAGACCAGCTTTCTTAGATTCCACAAATGAGTGCGATCATGTTGTATTTGTCTTTATGAGTTTGGCTTACTTCACTTAACAATGCCCTCCAGGTTTATCTATGTTGCTGCAAATGACAAGATTTCATTTTTTAGTGGCTGAATAATATTCCATTGCGTATGTGTACCACATTCATTATTCATCCATTGATGGACACTTAGGTTGATTCCGTATCTTGGCTATTGTGAATAGTGACACAATAAACGTGGGAGTGCAGATGTCTCTTTGACATAGTGATTTCATTTCCTTTGGATGAATACCCAGTAGTGGAATTGCTGGAATGGTAGTTCTATTTTTAAGTTTTTGAGGAACTTCCATACTGTTTTCCATAACAGCTGTACTAATTTACTTTTCTACCAAGAGTGTATCAGGGTTTCCTTTCTCCACATTCATACCAGCATTTTTTTTTTGTCTTTTTGATAATAGCCATTCTAGTTGGGGTGCCAACCTCCCATTTCTCCACCAGTGGCTGGCACTTACCTATAGAGAACAGTGAAGCTAAGTGATAGGAATCCCTTCCATGTCCTACCTCCTTGGTACAAACCTACAAATTGGTACACCCTTCTTTACCTCCTTTCTCTGGGTTTTATAGAAAGAGGAAAAATATTGTTAAAAGTATGGCTTTTTGGCCAGGCGCAGTGGCTCACGCCTGTAATCCCAGCACTTTGGGAAGCCGAGGTGGGCAGACATGAGGTCAGGAGATCGAAACCATCCTGGCTAACACGGTGAAACCCTGTCTCTACTAAAAATACAAAAAATTAGCTGGGTGTGGTGGCGGGCGCCTGTAGTCCCAGCTACTCGGGAGGCTGAGGCAGGAGAATGGCGTCAACCCGGGCGGTAGAGGTTGCAGTGAGCCGAGATCGTGCCACTGCACTCTAGCCTGGTGGACAGAGCAAGACACAGAGATGCCCTCTCACCACTCCTATTCAACATAGTGTTGGAAGTTCTGGCCAGGGCAGTCAGGCAGGAGAAAGAAATAAAGGAGATTCAATTAGGAAAAGAGGAAGTCAAATTGTCCCTGTTTGCAGATGACATGATTGTATATCTAGAAAACCCCATCATCTCAGCCCAAAATCTCCTTAAGCTGATAAGCAACTTCAGCAAAGTCTTAGGATACAAAATCAATGTGCAAAAATCACAAGCATTCTTATACGCCAATAACAGACAAACAGAGAGCCAAATCATGAGTGAATTCCCATTCACAATTGCTTCAAAGAGAATAAAATACCTAGGAATCCAACTTACAAGGGATGTGAAGGACCTCTTCAAGGAGAACTACAAACCACTGCTCACCGAAATAAAAAAGGATACAAACAAATGGAAGAACATTCCATGCTCATGGATAGGAAGAATCAATATCGTGAAAATGGCCATACTGCCCAAGGTAATTTATAGATTCAATGCCATCCCCATCAAGCTACCAATGACTTTGTTCACAGAATTGGAAAAAACTACTTTAAAGTTCATATGGAACCAAAAAAGAGCCCACATTGCCAAGTCAATCCTAAGCCAAAAGAACAAAGCTGGAGGCATCATGCTACCTGACTTCAAACTATACTACAAGGCTACAGTAACCAAAACAGCATGGTACTGGTACCAAAACAGAGATATAGATCAATGGAACAGAACAGAGCCCTGTCTCAAAAAAAAAAAAAAGTAACAATTTTTGCAGGGAAAGCTACCTGTTCCCTGCTCTGCCACTATAGCTGTGTGACCTTGGACAATTTACTTAAATCTTGCTACCCCATTCTGTGAAATGGGGATAATTATACTACCTAAACTGGCAGTACTAAAAGATAATGCTGATGAATTCTGTTTAGCGTGGTGTCTGGCACAATAAGTGCCTGGCATGGTAAGCGACAATGGTAATTTCTTTCTATGCAAATTCAACCCATCTTCCAGGGCTTATCCAGATCTTAAACTTATCCTATTGCTCTGGCTCTTTCCTCTATCTGTAAGTATGCTCAAATCTTTCTTTCAACCCTCCCTTGATCTTGCATTCCTTTCTTATTGTTATTCTATTTTTCTTTCTCATAATCAAGCTTTTTGACAGAGTGGGATTCTCTGCCTTACTTTAAGTCAGCTCGTAAACTAAAGCAATCCAGATTTCATGCCCCCTTACACTGAAACTGCTGTCATAAGGTTGCCAGTAGGACCTCCTGAAGTGGACATGTGCTTCTGTTTGCCTAGTGTCCTTTTGCCTTCTGGCAGCATGCCATCCCGGGGAGTTGCCCTCCTCTGTGGATCCTGGTGTAACTAACTGTCAGTTCAGTTCAGGTGCCCTGCTTTCTCCCAGCCCAGGGGTGGACATATGACCCTGAGTCAGGCCAAGCTGACAAGTCAGGGGAACGACAGATGGTGACATTTCCTGCTTGCTACCCTAGTTCTCCTGGACATCCTCATTTCCTGTCCTTTCTATGGACTAATTCTTTGATTTTTCCTTGGAGTCTGTGATCTACCTCATATTCCTTCAATACATTTCTTTTTACGTACCTTAGATGGCTGTGTTGCTTACAGAAGAAGGATTCTAACTGATACAAACTATAATTGGTAAATTAAAGGGAAACATTTCAATACTTACATAATTTATTTTCTTATAGTATAGACCATGTCATCCTTGAAATTTTCTGTTGTTGTATGTAAATCCTGCAATGTTGCAGTGTTTTGGTTCTTCTCTTACCTCTCTACCTCATTATTCTTAGTCCCCTCACCGGCTCCAAGCCCTACTACATAAATGTTTGTTCCCTAAGTTTTCTCTCTTGGTCTTGTTCTCATCCCAGATGTTCTTGAATTGTGCCACAGACCGTCTGGCAGGACGGGGAGGCCTCTAAATCCCTCCAGTGTTTCTAAATGTTTTGAATGAAATGCATAGAATTACAAAAAAATCAAAATATGCTGAAATGTAATTAGAAAAATATTTCTAAAAATTGTGATATAGTAATATTTGTGCTTTTTTATTAACACAATAGACAAGATCTAGTGGTGGGCCTAACAACTACCATAATTTTGAACCAATAATGAGTATAAATGCTATTTCAAGATAGCTTTAATAACTTTAATGTGATATGAAAATATCTGAGATTTCTGTTGGTGATCACAGGTATTGTGATTTCTTTTCTTTTCTTTTCTTTTTTTTTTTGAGACAAGTTCTTGCTCTGTCACCTAGGCTGAAGTCCAGTGATGTGATCACAGCTCACTGCAGCCTCGAACTCCTGGACTCAAGTGATCCTCCCACCTCAACCTCCCAAGTAGCTGGGATTACAGGCGCCTGCCACCACACCCGGCTAATTTTTATATATTTTTTTCGTAAAGACGGGGTTTCACCATGTTGCCCAGGCTGATCTCAAACTCTGGGCTCAAGTGATCCTCTTGCCTCAGCCTCCAAAGTGCTGGGATTACAGGTGGGAGCCACCATACCTGGCAGGTATTGTGATTTAATCACAAGTACTGCTAATACTTCTTTGAATTGTTTCCTGTATTAATAATTGAGAGAAATTTTAGTTCATGAAAACAAGAACATATTTTTTTCCCCTTCACATTCTCAGACTTCCTGAATTCTATCCATAGAATCCTCAGCAGTCCTAGGACTCTAGGTGAAGAATCTTTGCCTAAGTCCTCTCCTTAGGGTTTCTCATCCATACCAGGGCTTGCTCCTACTATCCATGTCTTGCGGACTCACAGGTTTATATCCTCAGCCTGGACATCTATATACAGAGACCTTCCTCTGTTTGTCTCACAGGCATCTCCCCCTCTACACGTCTACACCTGCGTTTGCTTCTTATACCTCTTCTTCCTGGGGGTTTCTCATCTCTCATCTGCTCTGTGGTTAACTTCCAGTATTGTTCCCTTCAGTACTCCCTTAATACTGCTGCCAGAATAATTCTAAAAAGCTGGTAGGTTCTAAAATCTGAGTGTATCATTTCCTTACATGGGAATCTTCAATGACTCTCCTTTGCCTACAGGTTGCAATTCATAGTTCATTGTATGTCATAAAAAGCCCTCCACAGGCAATGTGATGGGTTCCATCTCTTGCCTCTTTGTTCTGTCCATATTCCCTTTACTCTATGCCTTCTGCTTGCACTACTTGCTTTAACCATTTAAACATATTTGGACTTTCTGCATGTCGCTTGATTTTTCATGCCCTAAACCTTTGCACAGGCTATTATATCCCCTAGCCTTGCTCACTTGCTAATTTGTACTCATCTATCAAGATGGGCCCAAGTGCTGTCTCCTGGGGAAACTTCTTTGATGCCTCACATGTAGTTGACACTCCTTCTTCATTCCCATGCTTGCACCGGACATATGCCTCTAGTAAAATTCATATTACAGTGAATTATAATCATGTCTTCATATATTTCTCTTTGCCACTAAAGTATAAAATTCTTGAGGAAAAGGACCATATTCTATTTATTTATGTGTTTCTAGTTTTTAGCATAATAGGAACTCTTACCATGTGTAGTCATTTTTGCCAACAAATATTTTTTGACATATTTAGTGTTACAAAAAAATCACTGTCATATAGTTCACACAGAGAGTGTATTTGTTTTAAGGATAAGAGCAAATTAATGAGTCTCTTCCATTCTAAATTTAGGACAAAATTTTAGTCTTACCATGTAACGTAATTGGACCTCTTTAGTGGAGAAACTAGGTCGAGGAACTGTTGCTGTGCAGGGAAAATGAAAATGTAGACATCTTAAAAGCTGGTATGAGTTCTATATATAAAAGCTCAGCCAACCATGTCTGTTTTAAGGTTATTGTTTAGTTAGATACATTATTATTTTGTATGATGTTCTTTTCTCCCATATCACATCTATAAATGTTTATCGAGTTGAGGTTAGATTTACTGCAAGTGGAAACTCTTAGAGAAATAGCCAAAAAAGTCAGGAATATGTGCAAGTCTTTACTGTGGACTGATGTTTAAAAATTTAGAGACAGAATTACTGAACAGAAGACAATCTTACAGCATACAATCAAATCTTGGCTGCTACTAACACATGTGGCACCTTTATGAAAATTAGAAAAAGACGTTCCTTTCTCGAAACACCTTACATCCACCTTTAGGAAATTGTCATAATAGATTGACTTAATTGGAATAGGGTACTTTCAACTGCCATCTTCTGGAAAGTCACACTAATTTGCAAATCTGTGGTATCTGTGATGTGAAGGACATCTGTTAGTAGTGGCGCCCGTGTGTAATGCACAATCTGCATTGTAGCATATATGGCTGCCTTAGCCAGGGGATGAGCATTCTCTCCTTGTATGTGGTTTTGCTACCAGTTATTTATTGTTCAAATGATAGTGAAGGTTTTCAGATGAAAAAGGAAAAATACCAGCTGCACTTTACTGAGAGGAAGAAGAAGCTAACTTTCAGCACATCCAAGTGACTCTGAAACCACACTAGACCATTGTGTCCTACAGAATTGAAAGAGGGCATCAAAGAGCACCATCTTTAGGTTGTTGCTTACCTGGCTTGAAAAGTATTAAAGCCTCAAGGGTTCTGAAACATCATGTGCATTAACTATGGCTCCACAGAGGGTATACCTTCCCCTCTCAACTTCCTATTCTGGAACTCTATGATATATTTCCAATTACAAATGTTAGGACTGTGGTAAAGCACCAAAAGTTGTGGCTAGAATTTGGTCTTTGCCACTTCTTACACTTGCTTAGTTCAGAACTTGGAATCCTGTTCTTGTGCAAATCCTGTGGTTGATGCTCAACACACAAAACCAAAAAACTGTTTGTTCTTGGCATAAAAATGAAATGAACTCTTGCTTATTTTCTTATAAAGAATGAAGTTTTAGATCTAAAGGAATTTGGATACACTTTATTTCCCTTGTTTTTTTCCCAGTTTGGTTTCTGACCTGTGTTGGGTGGGGGGGTTAGGTATGCAGTGAGCCAGAGCAGTTGACTGTAGGTGTATTCTGATTTTTAGCCTCTCAAGAGGACTGTCATAACAGGATAGCCATGATTCCAATAACACTGGGAGGTGGATGAAACATTCTGAGGATACGTGCAGGTTGTAGATGGGCTTGCTTACTTTGGAGCTCGGGTGGTGGGTGGGTTTCCTCAGGGGATAGTGAGAAGGGAGGAAAAACGATGAGATGTAAGTCAGATTAAAAGATGCCTGCATCAGCATGAGAAGCCTACTGCTAAGGGTCAATCATCATACAGGATGTATTTTCAATATTAAGCAGATATGGTAGAGATTTCAATCATTGTTGGACTGATTGGCCTTAGAGCTCTGGTAAAACGCTGCATCAGAGCAGAGCAGACACCTGCTGAGGTCCCAGGTGCAGAGGAGGTCTGGAGAAATGAGCATCTGGCAGGCTGGTCCCAAAGCCAGGGCTGGCTCAGGGACTGGCCTTTATTAGGTTTCCTTCCATGACAAAAACTCAGCTAACACTTATTGGATTCTAAGTGCTGCGTGGGATTAAAAGGGCCCTTGCCTCTGTAGAGTTGCCAAAAAGAGAGACGCATAACAACTCTAAAATAAAGTAGGATAAACTGAGTGTTACAGTAGAGTTTTAGTACAAAAAAAATTTTGGGGAAGTACAGGATGAAGAGCAATTTATCCTTCTGAGAGGAGCCTTTTCCAAAAAGTTGGTCTTTAAAAATGAACATTTTCCTGTTTATTTCTGATTTTTGAAGAAAAACATGCTCAATTTAAAAACAATTTTTAAATAGAAGTGTAAAATACATACAAAAAGCAGAAAAAAGGAAAGTCATACTTTAAAAAATGTTTTATTTTAAAATAATTTTATTTATGAAAGAATTATAAAACTAATAAAGAATGCTCTCATATGTACCCTTCACTCATCTTCCTTTAATATTGACATCAGACATAATTATGGTATATTTATCAAATCTAAGAAATTAATACATTACTATTAACTAAACTACTGCATAGACTTTTTTTTTTTTTTCATTAATACCCTCTTTTCTGTTCCAGTATCCAATCCAGGGTCCTACATTGCATTTAGTTACCCTATGTCCTTAGTTTCTTCAAGTTTATGGTAATTTGTCTGTCTTTCCTTGTCTTTTATGACCTTCACACTTTTGAAGACTAATGGTCAGGTATTTTGTAAAATGTCCTTCAATTTGAGTCTGTCTTGTGTTTCCTCCTGAATAGGCTGAGGTTATCAGTTTTTGGGAGGGTAACACAAAAGTGATGTACCTTTCTCATCACATCAGATTAGAGGGCTTGTAATAGCCATACAACATATTACTGGTGATTTTAACCTTGATCACACAGTTAATATGGTATTTGTCATTAAAATTCATATTTTTCCCTTTCTATGATCTGTCCCTTAGAAGCAAGTCACTGAGTTCAGTCACACTCAAGGGAAGAGAAATTGAGTTCTACCTCTTGGAGGGAGGTCTATCAAAGAATCTGTGGATTCCTGTTAAAAGCACCATAGTCATTAGTAAATCTGGCGGGAGATATTTTGAGGATATGCAGTTATCCTCTTTTTCTTTTTTCTTTTTTTTTTTCGAGACAGGGGCTTGCTCTGTCACCCAGGCTGGAGTGCAGTGGTGCAATCTTGGCTCATTGCAACCTCCGCCTCGTGGGTTCAAGCAATTCTCCTGCCTCAGCCTCCTGAGTAGCTGGGATTGCAGGTGCCTGCAACCACATCCAGCTAATTTTTGTATTTTTAGTAGAGATGGGGTTTCACTATGCTGGCCAGGCTGGTCTTAAACTTCTTACCTCAGGGATCCGTCCGCCTTGGCCTCTCAAAGTGCTGGGATTACAGGCGTGAGCCACCGCGCCTGGCCTATCCTCTTTTTCCTAAAAATTTTACCCATTGATTGTAGCATTCATCAATAGATCTTGCCTGTAGCAATCACCTGTTATATTGGTGATTTTCTATTTCCCTCATTCCCTTACATTTATTATTTGAAATTTTTCTGTAAGGAATTTTTTCACTCCTGCATTTATTTATTCAATCGTTTATATCAGTATAGGCTCACGGATATTTATTTTATTCTTGAATTATAATCCAATACTATGGTTATTTATTATTTAATACATTGCCCAGATTGTTCCAGTTTTGGCCATTGAGTGTGTGTGTGTGTGTGTGTGTGTGTGTGTGTGTGTGTGCATGCATTTTTTGAGACATGGTTTTGCCCTCTTACCCAGGCTGGAGTGCAGTGGCATGATCACAACTCTGTAGCCTCAAGCTCCTGGGCTCAAGTGTTCCTCCCACCTCAGCCTCCTGAGTAGCTGGGACCATAAGCACGTGCCACCATGCCCAGCTAATTAAAAAAAATTTTTTTTGTAGAGATGGGGGTCTCACTATATTGCCCTGGCTACTCTTGAACTCCTGGGCTCAAGTGATCCTTCTGCTTCAACCTCCCAAAGTGCTGGGATTATAGGTGTGAGCCACTGCACAAGGCCTGAACATACATATATATATATATTTGAGAAGCTTTGGAGGGTCATCTTAGATTGGACAGGTGGAACCTAGTGAGATCAAGGAATCAATGTCAGGCTCTGCTATAAATGGCATAGGATGAGGGGAATGCGGAGGATGAGGGGAATGTGGCAAATGAACTCTGTCAGACTCAGGAAAAGCTTCAGAGAGAAGGCAACATTTGAGCTGGACTCTTATCCCAAATAGTAGTTTTCCAGGAAAAGGTGTGTGTGTGTGCATGCATGTGCTTATGCTTGTATGTATGTTTGAGGAGGAGAGGGAATAGACTATTGGTAGTGGGGTTCCAGGTAGGATGAAGAGCACATGCAAAGGCATGGAAGCATGGAAGCATCAGTCAGTGAAAAACAAGTTCAGGAGGCCAGTGCTGGAAAGGAGGTGGCAAACAGGGAAGTTGGTAGCTGTTACAAAGCACAGTAAGTAGTGAATCAGGGGAACATTAAAGGGAGGCCATCTAGTTTTTTGTTTTGGATTTTGCTAAGTATGATATGAGGGAGTAATTAGCTTTATTCATTGCCTCTGAAATCTTTCTCCTTCCTGTAGGGGATATTTCTACCTGCAGTTATGATTAGGATTGAATTTGTATTGGTTTTTATTAAAGTTGCTTTGCACTTTATAAGGCTCAATCCCAACAGAGACCAGAGCTCACTTGGGCTACAGGAAAAATAATTTGATTTCTGTTTGTTCATTTATTATCAGTTGATTGCTCTTTCCCATTCATTGAGAATCAGTGGGGTGTTGCTATCCTTCACTGCTTAAAAAGGGCTCCCCTCCTGTTGTGCAGGCTTATTGTTGAATTGTATGCCGGTTGCGGGGGCTCTTCTGCTGAGTGAGTGCAGGAACTTGGGCAAGTCTTTTCTGAGTTTTTTTTTTTCAGCATTGAAATGGAAATAATTTGCCTACCTCTCAGGTTTGTTGTAAGAAATGAATAAAATGATTGATTTTAAACAATTAGCTAGCACAGTGCTTGGCCTATTGTAGGTATTCAGTAAATGCTGTGAGAATCAGACTAGAACTGAGAGGGTCCTTGAAGGATTGTCTAGTCTTTCCCTCTACCTGTAGACCAGTGAGTGGCCCCAGCCTTCAGGTTAAATGTTTTATATTTAATTTTTGCATAGTTCCAGGCATGAAGACCCCACAACAATCTTCAGCAGTGGTAAAAACATTTATTAAGAACCTCCTATATGTCAGTACTACATGACTTGTGTGCGTTACAAAGATAAACAAAGTATATCATGGGTACCAGTAAGTTTACAGTACTGTTAAGGGACACAGGTGCATAGACAGAATTAAAATGCAGCACATTAATACAAAGTAATGTGGGTAAAATGTGGCAAATGAACTCTGTCAGACTCGGGAAAAGCTTCAGAGAGAAGGCAACATTTGAGCTGGACTCTTATCCCAAATAGTAGTTTTCCAGGAAAAGGTGTGTGTGTGCATGCTTGTATGTATGTTTGAGGAGGAGAGGGAATAGACTAGTGGTAGTGGGGTTTCAGGTAGGATGAAGAGCACATGCAAAGGTGTGGAAGCATGAGCAAACGTGGCCTGTACCAGGTGATGTAACTGAGGTATTAAGTAAATAAATAGCTGGTAGGGACAGGCAAGTTACAGAGGGGAGGTAGGACATGGGACTGGAGAGGTGAGTTGGAGCCATCCTAAGGAGTTAAGACTTTATCCTACTGAATAGGGAAGTTGCACAATCAGATCTATTTTTAGAAAATCACTTTTTTGACAACTTGAAAGATCAGTCAGTGTGGGGAGGGCTGGAAGTGGGGAATGTTATAGGTCAGGTGAGACAAGACAAGGGCTGGCATGAGGTTGTGACTTTGGGGCTGGAGAGCAGTAGAGAGAGCCAGTACTTCTGAGGTATATGTCAAGACTTTGATCAAAGTAGGACTTTGATGAAAGACAGAAAAGCATAAGCCAAAGATGACTTTGGGGTTTGTAGCTTTTGCTCTTCTGGGCACTGGAGCTACAGAGAGAAAACACATGTTCCCCTCACAGAATTTACTGCCCTAATGATTAAACAGATGCACAAAAACAAACTAACAAATAAAACCCCTACCAATAACTGACCATATAATGTGTGCTTTGGGTGGTCAGTTAACCCTCTAGACTACTGATCCCATGTTGACTATGTACTAAGTGCTGTGGGAACATGGGAAAACAAGCATTTAAGTCTACCAGAGGGAGTAGAGGAAGGTTTCACAGAGGAGATGTGTATTAGTCAGGGTTCTCTAGAGGGATAGTTCAAATAGGACAGATGTATATATGAAAGGGAGTTTACTAAGGAGTATTGACTCACATGATCACAAGGTGAAGTCCCACAATAGGCTGTCTGCAAGCTGAGAGCAAGGAAGCCAGTCTGAGTCCCAAAACCTCAAAGGTTGGAAAGCCAATAGTGCAGCCTTCAGTCTGTGGCTGAAGGCCCAAGAGCCACTGGCAAATCACTGGTGTAAGTCCAAGAGTCCAAAAGCTGAAGAACTTGGAGTCCTATGTTCAAGGACAGGAAGCATCCAGCATGGGAGAAAGATGAAGGCCAGAAGACTCAGCAAGTCTGCTCTTTCCACTTTTTTTCTGCCTGCTTTATTCTAGCCATGCTGGCAGCTGATTAGATGGTGCCCACCCAAACTGAGGGTGGGTCTGCCTCTCCTAGTCCACTGACTCAAATGTTAATCTCCTTTGGCAGCACCCTCACAGACACACCAAGGAAAATACTTTGCATCCTTCCATCTAATCAAGTTGACAATATTAACCATCACAAGGTGCCATCTGAGCTTCAACTAAAAAGGCGAATAGGTGGTTGCTAGGGAAAGAAGAGAGCAGTGGGCGTTCATTCCATGGTGAGGGAGTAACATTTGCCTAGGCAAGAAAGTAATGGAAGGAGATGCATTGTAAAGGAATTAGCTGGTTTCCCCCAGTAGACTGTAAGAAGGATGAAGTCAGGGGGCTGTGTGTCTCACTCAGTATCATATCTCATCTGAGTGGTAGGAGAGAGAACAGGAGAAGCAAGCGTGGCGTGGTAAGCTGCTTTACACTGGGGAGAGGATGTAGAGACAATGAATCTGGATTGCTTTTTGTAAAAGCTGAGCAGGAAAACGAAGGAAGAAAGGAGAAAGAAGGCAGGTTTTGGGGGAAAATAAATTGATGTCAAAAATGAAATGGATTTGGAACAGTTCATTATAGTACTTTCTGGGATTTTTCTAGCTATTGATACAGAGAAGTTTCCATTGTAACCTCATATTACATTTTACCACAACCAGGACCCTTGGAAAATTTGACTGGCTTGTAGAGTGTGGTTGCTGCTGATGGGCAGGGGCAGAGTAGTCTATCTGACTGTAGACTGGCAGCTGTAACCTCAGTGCTCCCCCTCAGTTCCCTACCCAATTTGTTGAAAGGGGGGTAGTGGGATTATTTTGGTGAATATCTAAGTAATTTATCCCTTTGTCTAAGGTAAATTATAATTTTTTTGATCTTTCACACTGGAGGTATTTTTCAACCTTTTATTTATTTAGACCATATCCTCCCTCTCCACTCCAATACTACCCATTTCCTATCTCGGCGCTGTCCCCTGCCCCGACTGAAGTGTAGATATTTCAAGGAAAGGAGATATGATTTTTACTCCAAAGAAAAATCTTGAGAAGGATTTTTTAATCATTTCCCACAATTTATATTCCAGAAGTCCCAGTTAGGAAGACTACTTTTTTAGATGACAATTGACAACATGAACAGCAAATCGTGACAGCCACAGTGGGGTCCCTTTTCTAAATGGTAGATTTAGGTTGCCAGAGATGCTTTGATTCTGGAATCAGGCATGTAATTTATAAGAAAAGAGTTAAGGACGAAATTATAGTTAATAATAGAATCAGGGAATGGCTTAGAAATTAGCTAGAACCTAGACCAACCCCCTTACTTTACATAAGAGGAAGCTGACACTCAAGGAGTCTAAGCTGTGTGCCCAAGTTAGCATATTGAAACAAGGTAGGCTTGCACTGAGTCCCCACCTGGACTCCCTCACTGTTCAACAGATGCTACAGATGACAGGACACAGTGCCATATTCTCTAATTGCTTCCAGGGTTTTCTGGAATCTCTCTAATCTCTGCAGTGATTTTCTGAGCTACAGGATGGCAGTAACTGTGTCAAGTGAGTCATGTCTGGACAATAAAGTTACTTTAATGATTAAGTCGCAGGAGAAAAGGGAGAGAGATTCTCCAATTAGGAGTCTTCTGTAGCCTAGAATGCATTTCCACACTGTGTCTTTATGCTGGGTCTCTCCCTTTTGTACAGCATTGGCAGGAACTTGCCATCCAAGGTGTCTGATGTCTCACCAGGACTTATTGACACCCCCAGGACCTGTCAAGCTTTCCTTTGGAACCGACCATATAATGTGTGCTTTGGGTGGTCATTTAATCCTCTTGATTACTGATCCCAATTCTTTCCTATCTGTATAACCTCCTCTGAACAGCTTCTCCCTGCAGCCCTGGCCCCCCAGGGACCCCATTCTCTCCTGTACCATAATCTCCCATGGGTGCCACTCCTGGGCCACTTGTACCGAAGTCGACTGTCAGAAGGGCCTCTGGGCCACCAGGCCATCCTCCTGGTCAATCTTTTTCCTGTTCTCTCAGCAGCCAGTCCAAACTTTGCCTCAAACCCCTCCCCATTATCTCACCTCCCCACTTCTCCTGGAGGAAGACCATGCCCCCTACTTCACTGAGCAGCTTTTGATCATCGAGTGAGAACATCTCAGCTTCCTGGCTGGCCCAGACTTGCTAACCACCATTTTTACCTACTATTTCCTTCTGCCTTAGGGGACAGGTGTCCCTGTCCTGTTTGCAGTTAGTCCACCTCTCTCCTGCTTCCTGGGTTCCTTGCCCACTGGTCAAACCCTTCTTCCCTGTATCTTCAAACCTCTCTTTCTCTTTATTAGTCCTGCCCCTTAGGAGGTAAACCCTCTCATCGTCTCTCCCACTAAAAGAAACAAACATATAAGCAAAACCACACACATTAAACAGCAATCCATTGTCCCTACCCTCCCCCCACTACCATTTCCTCTCTTTCCTACCCTTCCTTGTTTGCACCCCCTCCATGAAGAGAGCCACCTGTGCTCAGGCACCATGCCATAATTCCCCTGTTCATCCTGTCGCTGCCCACTTGCAGTGACCTGATGCCTGATAGCCAGACTCTATTATTTTATTAGCTAACAAGTCCTTCTTCACTTAGAACACTACATTTGAACTGAGCTTCATGCTGAGGATTCCTGGGAGTTAATTCTTTGTGGGGCAGTCCCTCATGGGTTAAAAGTCTCATCCAGATGGATTCCCAGAGTGTGTGCTGATAGCCTGTCTCCTACACCACCCAGTGGCTGGTAGTGACTGTGGGTGGGATGAGTTGTGGGGGAAGTCTGTGATCCTTGGCAGATACTCTCTGACTTCAGTCCAAGGTCTTTAGAATACTATTGTGAGAGTAAGACAATCTGTCCTGAGAACCAAGCCCTCTAGGTTTTAGAATGTTGACTTTAACTGGCATTGCATATTTTATCTCTTGCTGTGCTTCTTTTCTAACTAGAGAGTGAAATCTTTCTCTCTTTATATTTGGATTTGAAAATGCTCTGTGTGTGTGTGTCTGTGTGTGTGTGTGTATTGGGGAGTAGTGGTGGAAAGTGGTATGGTCATCAAAGCTGTAAAAAGCATTTTCATTTATTTTTAGTATGTTTAGCCCAAACTATTAATTGTGAAAATTGAGGTGTTCAAATCTCAGACTTGTCCCCCTCAGAGAAAGACAGACTTATGCAAGGTTATAGCACAGCTCAGAGGAGGCTGGGGGGAAATAAGTTCCAGGTCATACTCCAGCATGTTTTATAAATCAGCCGATATCCCTCTTCATGAAGCTCTGGAATAGGTTCTTGAAAAGGGCCTGCATGGTAGTCAAACATGAGGGCATTATAAAACTCCTTGCTGCGGGCTGCTCCAATTCAGAGCATGAATTATTCAGAAGTTGTTTTGGAAGCCCTCCTGGGAACAGTGGTCTACTCCCCTGGACTGGCTCCCATGAATGAAAGAGTCCCACCCACTTCTTCAGACTTGGCAGCTGGGAATTTCTTTCTTGCTCCACTAAGTCAACAAAACAACAAAAAGCCTCCAAAACATAGATCAGTGTCGTCAGTTTGCCTCCTGGAGTCTTAACGCAGGGCTCAATAATTCACGCACTTCTACATCAGTGACTGAAAGCATGATTTAAGAATATGAAGTGGTTAGAAGTGTGTGTGCTCATAGAATTAAGTGGATGTCAACTCCATCTCCTTGCTTTTTAAAAATTATTAATTGTTCAGGAGCTAAGTTTGTGAACATTAGCATTATCAAATATTATTTATTTTGTAAAAGATCAGATCTTTCTTTTCACCTAGAATTAAAGTGAATAGATTTTTCTTTTTCTTTGTTATTATCAAAAGTTGACTACTGATTTCAATATCTATTTGTACATTTTTATTATATTTTAAACAGGAATGGATGGCCATCAACTGCATTTTTATGATTCATATTTTCTCTTCAGTGACTACATCACCATTAGTATCCTGCTTACTAAGTCTTCCCTTTTGTTCTACTTAATCCAGCCTATTTTCCTTCATAGACATGTGGAATGGGGACAGGGATGAATTCCCAGCCAGCTCAGTGAGGTATGCACTGGGGCCTTTTTTGGATTTTCTTTCCAATCTGACTTTCCAAGCTGCTTAGCTACTTCACTCATTACTACTTTTCTTCTCTGCTATTTACTACTAAAAATAGTCCAGCTTTACATCTCCACCAACTCACAGTTTGGCCTATTATGAATGCTTCTGGAGACAGGAAACTCAGTGCCTCACAGACAACACATTTATCTTCAGGTAGTTTTGACTGCTAAAAAGCCCAAACTTCTTGTTTTCTAATTTTCTTCTATTGGTCCTGCCAGGGTCATACAAAACATGTTTAATCTTTTTTCTAGAAATTTGAAGGCCCTTCATCCTTCATTTCTTCCCTCCCTCTGTCTCTCTCTCTCTCTCTCATCTCAATTTCTGGTTAGCACTCTATTAATCCTCCTGATTGCTTTTCTCTGAGGAGGCAGGAGCTTAACACATGGTACCTAGAACTGAACATAATCCATTGCAGATAAGGGAGGAATATCATCCCATTTCATCTTTATATGGCACCTTTAAGATCGTATCAGCCTATTTCGTTAATTCAGCAGTTATTTATTAATTGCATCTCAGGTGGTAGACATTGTACTGGGTGCTGGAAGTATGTATAAGTGTGATCACAGAACAAACAGACTACCAGAGTGAGAGACCAATAATTGTTAGCTGTAAAGTATGATGAGTATTAGTCTAGGAGAAGTGCAGAGTGATGTGGGCATACACAGTGCGAGGACATTTCCTAACTAGAGGGTTGGGGAAGGCCTCCAAAAGGAAGTGACTTTAAAGGAATTAGGCAGGAGATTAGGGGGATACTAGAGGTAGAGGTGGGGGAAGGAGGAACAGGTACCAACATACGCAAAGGTCTAGAGGTGAGAAAGGAACTGAATACAGTACAATCTGACTGAAGATTAGACTGTGAATAGAGGGCAGAGATGAAGTTGGATAGGTAGGCAGTGCCCAAACCGTGGACCCCTTACAAGCTAATAATTAAACATGTGTTTGAGCACCTACTATGTACTAGGTGCTGTTATGGGCCCTGGGGTTTTGCTAGTTATCAAATAAGACCAAAATAAGACTAAATAATCCCTGCCCTCTTGAAACTTATAGTTTAGTGGATATTAAGAAGAAGAAAAAAAAAACAAAAACATGCTGAATAAATGTGGACTTTAAGGACAGGGATAAGCCACTGAAAGTGTTAAGTGGGGGAGTGATGTGGTTAGAATCATACTCTTTAAAGTTAGGCATATAATTTCACCCAATGGAGGCACTTTTGAGAATGAACGGGCTTTATTAATAATTATTCTGGGACAACAGGCATAAACTGGGCAAATCAGGAAAGATGGGCACTCTTCAAATGTGGTTAAAAACCAGAGGGAAGCAAGACTGGAGGCAGAGATTGGTCATTGCAGGGACCCAGATGAAAGATAGCCAGGACTGCTACCAAGATATGCAGTGAGGTGGAAGGAAGTGAATGGATCTGAGAAGCTCTTAAAGGAAAGATCTGTTCACAATAGGCAAGGGACAATTAATACAGTGTGGCACCAAAAAAACCTCCTTCCAGACTGATAAAGACCCAGAAACCGGTAACTGTTAGACAAAGTCATTAGATGTGTTACAGATTTCCTGTTGTCCATTATCTTGTCCACATCTCAATCAACATAGTTAAAATATTTGATGAAATTTAGATAGGTATACATATGGATTACATTTTCTAAACCGTTAATTTGGCAAACTTGTTAAAAACAAAGAAGTAGGAGGAAGTTAGCCTGACACAACTTATTCACAGTGATCATCCTTTTGATCCTGGGTCACTGTTTTCTTCCAAGTGCTGGCTTGTGGTTAGTGCACAGTACATTTATTAAATTCATTTAAAGAATCTTTTCCTCAACAGGTGAGGGAGAAAACAATCCATTTTAAGCACTGAGTTTATTCCTTTAGTGGTTGGCTTGCTCCAAATATAAATAATAGTTCTTTTCATTGTTCTCCATGATTTAAACAAAACAAAATGTGTAAGTTCCCTTTAAATCATAACCTCCTTGGGAGGCCGAGGTGGGTGGATCACCTGAGGTCAGGAGTTTGAGACCAGCCTGGCCAGCATGGTGAAACCACATCTCTACTAAAAATACAAAAATTAGCCGGGCATGTTGGTGGAAGCCTGTAATCCCAGCTACTCAGGAGGTTGAGGCAGGAAAATTGCTTGACCCCAGGAGGTGGAGGTTGCAGTGAGCTGAGACCGCGCCATTGCACTCCAGCCTGGGCGAAAAGAGCGAAACTCCATCTCAAAAACAAACAAACAAAAAATTATAACCTCCTAGAGCAGCTTAACATGGGGTCATTACATGACCATTATTTCTAAGTCAGTATGTTGTGTTCCACTTTGGCCATATGATGCTTGGCATTTTCAGGACAGGGTCAAAGTTCTGAAACACCTGCCATCTGTCAAGAGGAGACCAGAAAGACTGTCCACAAATTAGCACAAACCAGAAACTGCTGTTGGAAAAGAAGCTTAGTGGTTTCCCTAAGGGGAGTAGCATCACCTTCACACAGAAGGGAGAAGCTTTCTTGGTCCTTAGCCACCATCAGTTTGTGCCTTACAAAGACAGTGCTATCGAATTGATGGTGTTCTAGGTTCTTAAGAGGAATGCTTATAAAAATGGTTGCTGAATGTCAAGTGCTGTTTAAATGCTTAATTACCAGAAGTGAACACAAATAATGAGGGAGTTTGATTCCCTACAAACCAGAACTGTTGTTCCTGATATGTGACCATTAGCAGAGCTCTGCAGTGTCTTTTATTGCACGGTTCTGAGGCTTTGCCGTTAACAACTTATTAATTGATCAGGGAAGAAACCAGTGGCTGTATTAGTGCTGGTGAAATGGAAGAAAGACTGAGCAACTTGCATAAGATAAATCTTTTACTACACTGTAAACAATGGAGTGGTGGTAAGTTCTCTTAAAGCTGAAAACATTACTGTTATGAAGGCTCTGAAAATGGAAAAAAATGAGAAAATGATTAAAGATCTTTTTGGGGTTAGAATTTTTTAGTTTTGCTGGCATGAAAAGACTTGGGCAGATTTTAGTACTGGAGGGACCTGCCTTATTCGTTGTGTATTCCATTCATGATTGCTCTTTCCTTGTGTAAGAGGAAGAGGAGTGACTCATTATGACTCTTGGTTTTAATTTCAGTAGATTCCTGAAGGTGCAGAACTGAGTGAACAGATCATCCTTTTTAAACTCACTCAGGCTGATTTCTTTTGAGGGATGTTATTTGTTAGTTTAAATAGTAGTACTGAGAAGTAGAGGAGTGTATATTAAACTGTGGCAAGAGAACTTCAGAAACAGGAAAAGTAACTAAGTCCTAAAAATAAATTCTTGTCTTGTTTTCTGTGACTGATAAAACATCATAAGTAAGACATATGCACCATAACCCCAACCCCTAGTGAATATACATGCATTTTATAGAGCTAGAACACACATATGTCAAAAGTCACCTTAAAATCTTTCTGAGAAAAGGATAGGTAAATACATAAAATGTACACATGAAGACTACTATTTGTTTTTATTTAAGTGTTAACATGTTTGTATGTTTGGGAGGCCAAGGTAGGAGGATCACTTGAGGCCAAGAGTTCAAGACTAGCCTGGGCAACATAGTGAGACCTCCATCTCTACAAAACAAAAACAAAACAAAACAAAACCAAAAACCAAAAGAATTAGCTGGGCGTGGGGGTGCTCATCCGTAGTCCTAGCTACTCAGCAGGCTGAAGCTGGGGGATTGCTTGAGCCCAGAAGTTTGAGGCTGCAGAGTTACGATCATTGCACTCCAGCCTGGGTGACAGAGCAAGACCCTGTTTCTAAATAAAATAAAATGATTCTATAAAAATTGGTGACATTGGTCTGCAGTAGAGGGAAAAATCATGGGGAGTTGAAATAGGTGAGAAAAGCTTCATGAAAAGGTGGGATTAACTGTTGTTTTTTGAAGAATGATCTCATAAGAGGAAGTTAGAAAGAGGCAGGGTACCTCAAATGTGGAGACTAGAAGGAACTAAGGTGTAGCTTGGAGTCAAAGATTCCAGGTGTAGTGGGGTGGAGTGGAAGCTCCTTAGGGAAGCCACTTACCTGATTTGAAGGGTGGTTTCCTCATCTGCAAGATATGCAGATTAGTACTCTTTCACTCCTATTTCTCTTTCTCTCTCTACTTCTCTTTTCTTTCTTCTCTCCTTCTCCCTCTTCCTCCCTTCTCTCCTTCCTTCTCTTTTTTTTTCCCTACACATATTTATAAGTACCTACTTTATTCCTTAATTGTACTGTGCCCTGGGGATATAGAATGCTCCTACAAGGGTCAGGGCCTCACAGAGGAGATGAACAAATAAACTGCTGTACAGAAGGATGCACATGGTCCTGAGGAGGCTAGCTTGAGGAAGGAGTGGCTAACAGGTTGGGAACTGGGGAAGACTTGTTATGCAAATCAAAATTGTAACCACTTTGTAAATACTAAGTATTTATTAATGTAACATTTTTTTCTTTTACTTGTGATGCATTTTTTTTTTGTGGCTTCTGTGACTCTTTGTAAAGGAGTTCTGAGTCACTAGTTAAGATTTTTTATAAAGAAATACACCATTAGCAGGCCGAGGAGGGGATGTTTTAGTTTAGTGAAACTTGGACCAGTGTCAATTTAATGGGTCAGACGTAGTGTTTGTAATGGGTAAGAAGTACTAGTCATCCAAATCAAATGGCCATAACAATGAACTCTGAAAATAGTTATATATTTTTTAACAGAGTAAAGCTTCTTTATAGCAATATAATTCTTTAAGATCACTTTTTTTTTTTTAATTTTTGGAAGCTAGAGACAAAGTAGAGGAACTGGCAAGATTCAGATTTTTGGAATCAAGCATTAAATTATTAATTGGCAAGAATTTTTCTGAAAACACTAGTAGGAGGAATTAGGAACCCCACAAGCAAAATAACATTACCTTGGAAGAATGAATGGTATATTCAGTTTTACCTCTACATCTTTTTGTTGCTCTGTGTGTGTGTGTGTGTGTGTGTGTGTGTGTGTGTATTCACATGTGCTTGTGTGTCTGAGAGAGAGAGGAGAGAGAAAAAGAAAGAGAGCGAGCGAGCATTATGGGATTTGGGTAGTTTTGGAAACTTTCTTTTGAGAATACTGAGAATGATTGGGGGAAATTAAGTGAGTGGTTGAAGTACTATTGCTAATTGTTGCTTGTTTTAGGAAAAGATGATGTCAGACACAATCCTTGGTAGAAATTTTGAGAGAATTTTTGATGTTTCAGAGTCTGACGGTTCTAGCTCTTTATAATATAAATTTCATTTCAAAATTTATGGCTTTTTTGGGGGGGTGGGGTATAAGTGTAACTGCCTAAGGGATTCACCTTGCCTGCTGCCTAGACAGAGCCGATTCATCAGGACAGGGGAACTGTAATAGAAAAAGAGTAATTCACACAGAGCCAGCTGTGCGGGAGACCAGGGTTTTATTATTACTCAAATCAGTCTCCCTGAGCATTTGGGGAGCAGAGTTTTTAAGGATAACTTGGTGGGTGGGGGAAGCCAGTGTTCCAGGAGAGCCGATTGGTCAGAGATGAAATCATAGGGAGTTAGAGCTGTCTTCTTGTGCTGAATCATTTCCTGGGTGGGGGTCCAGAAGATCAGATGAGCCAGTTTATTGATCTGGGTGGTGCCAGCTGATCCATCAAGTGCAGGGGCTGCAAAATATCTCAAGCACTGATCTTAGGTGCAGTTTAGGGAGGGTCGGAATCTTGTAGCCTCCAGCTGCATGACTCCTAAACCATAATTTTTAATCTTCTGGCTAATGTGAGTCCTACAAAGGCAATCTAGTCCCCAGGCAAGAAGGAGGTCTGCTTTGGGAAAGGGCTGTTACTGTCTTTGTTTAAACTGTAAACTAAGTTTCTCCCGAAGTTAGTTCAGCCTATGCCCAGGAATCAACAAGGACAGCTTGGAGATTAGAAGCAAGGTGCAGTCAGTTAAGTTAGATCTCTTTCACTGTCTGTCATAATTTTGCAAAGGCGGTTCCATAAGGTCATTTTTAGCACTTCTAGAAATAGACCAAGCATTAGCTAATTGTCAGTGAACTTCTCCTCACACGTAAAAGTCTTTATAGGAAGAAAAACCCTTACTCCATAATTATAGAAGACAGATTTGAAATGTATGTAACCCATTTGGATTAAATACAACAGCTGATATACTTATCCCTGGTTAAAGATGAGCGATAGTAAAAACCCCTGGCGTATGGAACAGAGGACAGACAGATTGCCACTGAGCAAAGTAAAAAGGCCCAGAGACAGCAACTTAAAACTTTGCGTAAGGAATAGCATACTTCTTAGTCTGGTGTTCAGTTTAATTCAGAGACATATTGAGGACCTAGAATGTGTTGGGATATGCTGGGTATTGTGTATACAAAGACTGGGAGATAGTCATCAAGGAGCAGCTAGTGCAGTTGGGAAAAACACATACGTAAGTATTAATCACAGCTCAACACGGTAAGTGCTACAATGCAATTGAGAGAGAGAGAGGCAGAGAGACAAAGAATGAATATCAATCAGTTAACTTTGTCCGGGGAGTCATCCCAGAGGAGATGCTGCTGCTGTTAAAAATGATTAGACATTTGCCAGACAGAAAAATAATGAAAGGCTCTTCCAGGCAAAGATAGAAGGATGACAAAGGCTTAGCCACAAAAAAGTCTATAAGGCATTAAGGGGATGTTGATTCATTCCATTTGGTTAGAACATAGGGTCAAATCAGTAGGAGGATGGAAGGCTGGAGTGGTAGATTGGAGCCAAGTTGTGAAGGGCCTACTTAAGGTATTTGGATGCTACCCTGTAGACAACCCGGAGCCTTCATAGTTTTACTCCTCCTTCCCCAACATTTTATTATGAACAGTTTTAAAGTATAGATTTTATTTTTAAATAAAATGGAAAGAATTCTACAATCAGTACTAGTATAACTACCATTAGATTGTACTATTAACATTTTGCTAAACTTGTTTAATCACCTATCTATCCCTTTATAATCCATCAATTCATTTTATTTTTTATACATTTCAAAACAGATTGTACGTTTCAGTACATTCCTCTCTAAATACTTCAGCATGACTATCATTAACTAGTGTTCATTGTTTGTTTAAGGTATTTGATAGAAAAATTATAATCTTTGTAGGTTTTAAGATATGAAAATAAGATAATCAATTTTGTATTTAAGAAACATCATAGTGTGGAGGATCAACTGGAAGAGTGAAACAAATTAGAAACCTATTTCATAAATCTAAATGAGAGGTGATAAGAATGTGATGAAAGCCTGTAGTAGGAATGAAACAGTACTAATCAATTCAAGAAATAATCTGGAAATGGAATCAGTGGATCAGTTGATCACCCAAATGTGGGGAGGGAAGTAGTGGAGGCAAAGGCAGGGTTGAGAGAATAGAAAAAGTAAAAAATGAATTCAAGGTTTTCTAGCTTTGACGACTGGGTGTTTGATAATGGGACACATAATACAGAAGGGAAAAGAAGTATGGAAGTACACTACAACAGAAGATACTATGTGCAGTTTTGAACATGATAAGCTCAAAGTACCTGTAGGACATTTCAGGTACACATGTTCAGGTGTTGTTTGGAAGTACTCTCTGGAATTTTAGAGAAATATCAGGGCTAGGTTTGTAGATATGGAGTGTATCAGGCTAGGGAATTGAAGCTATCACTAAAGGAGAACATTTAGAGTAAGCAAAAAAAAAAAAAGTGGCTAAAGGAATTCTAAGGAAAGCCTATATTTAAGGAACCTGAAGAAAATGCTGTGTCAATTAAGGAAGCAGAGGGGATTATTCAAAAGGCAGGAAAGGGAATCACCCCAGATGGAAAGATAAATAACATTTATTATTTGTCAGGTATGATAAGTAGTTTATATTCATGGGCTCATCGAATCCTTCCTGTTAACAACCCTATTTTATAGGTATGCAAATAAGGAAAATCAGGGAAAGAAAAATAATTTGCTGAAGGTCTTAAGATTAGTAAGTGAGTGGCAGAGCAGATTTTGAGCCAAAGTCATTCAGACTTGCCTTAACATAGTGGCTAAGGAAAGGGAGTTTCCAGGAGAGAGTAGTCAGCAGGTCACAGTCATCCGTGATATGACTCTAACTTACCTTTCCAACTTTGTCTTCTTCACTTACTTAAGATTGGTCAATTTAAAATGCTCCATATTTTCTGCACAAGCTCAAACTGTACTAGGACTTCCAAAGTATTTTGTAGATCACTAGTTCCATGAGATGCTCTGAAAAAAAGTGTACTGTAGTCAAATGAATTTGAGAAATGTTGCCAACTCTACTATCCTCTTGGAAATTTGCGAGTTAAATTAGCTCATCAAAGGTATTGGGAAGTCCTACAGTAAAGAACCTATTCTAACTTGTCTACCAAGTGTTTTCCAAAGTTATTTGAACTTATTTGACCTTGGGGCACCCCCCACTCCCTTAGAAAATCTATAAACTTCCCCTCAGAACTAGGGTTCTGAAACACTTCAACGAAAATTAGTTTTTACTTTTCCTTAGTTGCTTTTAAGTGAGATATAATAAGCTTTATCTGTGTCTTATTCGTGGTGGTCATAGACTACATCCTCCCCTGCAATATCATTATTTGTGCCCTGTAGTAGCCCTCCTGTGGCCCCAGGAAAATGGAGTCTACGTCTGTTTCATTTTGGGTTCTTACATAGGACCTATTGCAGTGCCTTTCATATAATAAATGTTTGGTCAGTGTCTATTGAATAAATAAACAAAATGGATAAAACACAGAGAAAATTAATACTTATTCTTTTAAATAAAACTAAGTTCTCTATTAAAACCAGACAAAAGAACTATCTGTTTCAAAATGTGGATGTAAAGTTATACTCAAACCAGGCTTTCATCTGAGAATAAGAAGGGTATATGTTTGCAGTTTCTTTTTTCTTTTTTTGACAGAGTATCACTCTGTTGCCCAGGCTGGAGTGCAGTGGCGCCATCTCGGCTCACTACAACTTCCGCCTCCTGGATTCAAGTGATTCTCCTGCCTCAGCCTCCTGAGTAGCTGGGATTACAGGTGCCCACCATCATGACTGACAAATTTTTGTATTTTTAGTAGAGATGGGGTTTCGCCATGTTGGCCAGGCTGGTCTTACTCCTGACCGCATGTGATCCGCCCACCTCAGCCTCCCAAAGTGCTGGGATTACAGGCATGAGCCACCGCGCCCAGCCTGCAGGTTTTGTTTTCATTTGAACTGTTTGCTTTTGGGTTTAGGTGAGGAGTAAATTGAGGAAGGCAACATTTTGGTTATTTCTGTCATGACTGCATATGGAATATACCAGTAGGTCCTGGAAACATCACTTTTCCTAAGTGGTTCTGGTCTTGTCTTATAATTTAAAGTCGGACTTGGATTTCCTAACTAAATCAGTGCCTATCTATGCGTACCCTTTGAACCTTTCTTACTGGTTTGATGCAATTATTTCTCTCGCTCATTCTAGCTTACTATTGGCAGCAGTTCCACTAGTTTCATTATTTCAACTGTGAGGCCTTATATGGAATTTAATCAAATGTGATGTTGTGTCTGATCTTTGTCTCCTTTGAACTGTATAACACATTCAGCCATGTCCTCTTTTGTTTTTCCCATGAGAATAGAAGAGAGCCTTCTCTGACAACCTCCCACATTTTTTTTTGTTTGCATCATGTGGCTCGTCACTCCCATGTGGAAATGTGCATATATGTACGTGCATGAGAGAGAGAGAGAGAGAGAAGCCAGGGTGCCATGCTGAGAGAAAGGCCAGCTATGAGTACAGTCACAGGAGTGTGGAGATTCCTAGAAAAGGGCTGCCCATTTGGGTAAAAATCACTGCTTTCCTCCTACACAGACATCAGCCACACCTGTGTTCAAGTTTCATTTGACTATTTGTTAGCTGGGTGCCCTACTTCTGGAGAACACCAGAATCTTGTGAGTTCAGAGGGCTCTGTAGGAGTTTTATTAACTTACAATACTTGTTTAAGAGCCCCTGAGTAATCATAATTATTATTTTAGAATGAGTCTGAGATTTTTTTATGGAGAAGATAAACTGTACTTGGAGTATATTTTCTTGTTTTCACAGTCTCTTCAATGCCATGAAGAGTAAGTTATTTGAATTTGCATATGTTAAGGTGGTGGTGGTGGTATATTGAAAATTATGCAGAGAGGCAGTAGACATGGTGAATACTTATACTGAAAATTCTAAACTTATTAAATTATTTGCATTTGGGGAGAGAAAGAGAGTCTTGAGAATCAGATCTGGCTGTGTATACTAAAAGAACATTATGCTCTAAAGAGTAACTCTCAAAATTTTTCATAGTGACATTATGGTATGTAATTAAAATGGCAATATTTTGCATGGTATGACAAAACCTAATTGTCATGGCTGCCATATTATATAGGGGAAAAAACTAACATTTAGCATCACTATAATAATACTGAAATATTTAGAGCAAGTATTAGATTTTGTTCTAAAATAAACAACTATTATTATGTCATTGAAATGGAAAGTGTTGCAAAGGGAAGAAATACACTTTGGCTGAATACATGGAAAATGCTGGTGGTATTCATTAAGCATGGAATAATAAGAGGAACAAAATTTCCATCTCCATCCCTTCCCCCATGAAATATCTTATGTGTGTTCAGAGCTCCCTTTGAAGTCCATATATGATCTTTGCTTTAATCCATTTTTAAAGCTTCCTTTGAAGTCAGTGGGAGCTCATTTCTGGAAGAGAGGAAAGTGGCTGAGGACTGGGTACCTGCTGGGGAAGAGGGACCAGCCTAATCATAACAGGAAATAATATTTATTGATTGTCCTCATGTGCATGATCTATTAGGCTGCACACCAAAGTGACTTTCAAACTGGTTTGATTTATTTTCTAGTGTTACAAAGCTATTAAGATGACCAAAACTAGTAACTGCTTTTTAGGATAGTATTTTTTGTTTCAAATAGCTGGGGAAAAATAATACTTATAAATGGAAATACTTTTATTTTGACACTCTCACAGACATCTCATCTATGTGAATTTTCCGGATAACTGAAACTAATACTTATCTAATAGAGCAATGAGCAATTTCTTTAAGGACAATTGAAGAGTGTAGGATTCTTTTCTGTCTTTCTTCCTTTTTTTTTTTTTTTTTTGAGACCGAATTTCACTCTTGTCACCCAGGCTAGAGTGCAGTGGTGCGGTCTTGGTTCACTGCAACCTCCGCCTCCTGGGTTCAAGCGATTCTCCTGCCTCAGCCTCTGGAGTTGCTGGGATTACGGGCATGCACCACCACGCCTGGCTACTTTTTTTGTATTTTTAGTAGAGACAGGGTTTCACCATGTTGGCCAGGCTGGTCTCAAACTCCTGACCTCAGGTGATCCGCCCCCTTGGCCTCCCAAAGTGCTGAGATTACAGGTGTGAGCCACTGCGCCCAGCCATGAGTGTAAGATTATTTTCTTCAGTATGAAATTACTTCAGACTACTTAGTTTTTTAAAGAAAATCTCATTAAATACTTTGGAGCAAGGTAGAAAGCTATTTTCATTTTTCCTGTGTCTTCTTTGCTGCTGTCAACCGTCCTCTGTAATACAGGTTCTCTGTTTCTATTCTGCTGTCTTATTTTACACAGAGTTGCCTGAGGAAGAGCCAGGAAGCCTGAGATAGATGTATACTTTTACATCAGAGTAAAGTATAAAGACTGTTTCTTCTCTCATTTCCTTTTTCTCTCCCCATATCTCATTCTGCTCCTCACTTCCTGTCCCTCCTCTCCTTGGGCTTCCTGCTTCTTTTCCTTTCCCCTTTGATCCTCTTTAATGATGTCAGCCCCTCCTATGAGAGGGTGTCTCCATCATTGTTTGGTATGTAGACTTTGGTCATAGGCTTGAGCTCCGTATCTCTGACTGGATCTTGACCTGGATGCCTCTCAGAACCTCAAACTCAACACTTTAGAACTGAGCTCAGCAACTCCTGTCAAGAACATTATTTTTAGTCTCTAGGTATGATATCACCTTCCATCTAGCTTCCATCTAGCCTGATAATCTGTGAATTGCCATTGACAATGTCTCCTCCCTATCACTCCACCTCTAATCGTGTATCAAACCCTGTCACATCTGCCTTAGAAATTCACAATCAGCCCATCTTTTCTACTCCTCTCTGTCTCTGTCTCATCTAGTCACTTATCACATCTTGGAGATGACCACAGCTGCCTTCTCTCTGGCTACTTCCTTATATAAATTTGTCTTTACAATGTTGCAAATTTTCTTCTTCACATTTGAAGCTCTCCATGTCATTCTCAGACTGAAGAAACCCATTTGTCTCTGCTGAGCATCTAAAGACTTTTACTATCTGATTTGAATCTCTAGCTCCTTTTCTATCCTGTGAGCCTATTGCTCCTGGCATTGAAAATGCACTTGGCAAATGTCTGTGTATCCTTCAAGACTAGAGGGATTATCCTTTCTATGAAGGCTTCCCTAGTGTCTTCAGGCAGTAACTTCCCCTTTTCTGAGTTCCCACCGGCCCCCCGTTCTTTCCTTACTTGTAGTACATGATCGAGCGACCTGTGGTAAATTGTTTTTATGTGTCTCTTGCACCAGAATGAAAGCTCCTAGAGACAACATTTTATAGTTTATTTATCTCTCACTCTCCCTGCCAGTGCCTACCTCAGATCAGGTACAAACTAGCAAATGTTTGGTGAGTGACTGAATAAATGAATGAAGATTTTGAAAGGTCTTTTCTACTTACATTTGGGCTTGAAGTTGTGTTTTATGTTATCAAAGTCGGTGGTTCAGACATTAGTAAAATATTTTAAAACAGATTCTTCCTTCAAGAGGCATATAGACAGAAAAGCTATAAAATTTCTGCCTCTCATAAGGGAAAGCAATCCCAACACACAGAAGGATAGAAAGTGCTGGTCCTTATTGATTTCCCCAAGCCTCTGTACCACCTCCAGAATTATTTGCTGCTAGAGTCCTGTCACGTGAGAAAAGCAACTCGCTACCATTAAAACCACTTGTAGTCAGTTATAGAGAGCAACCATCTGCTTTAGAACTTCGACTTCTCAAGATTTCTCAGATTTCAGTGAATATTTCACTTAAGACCCTCTTACAAAAGAGTTTTTTTTTTCCTTAGTGTTTTTAGCAGGCCTTATACATAAAACAAATCTCCAAAGTCCTATTTTTAAAAATTACAATTCAGTGGAAGAAACATGCCCTCAGAGCACCTAGTCTATGGTAGGAATAAGACAAATTTAAAGATACGTATTAATAGAAAATATCGGCTGGGCATGGTAGCTCATGCCTGTAATCCTAGCACTTTGTGAGGCTGATGGGGGCAGATCACTTGAGGCCAAGAGTTCGAGACCAGCCTGGGCAACATGGTGAAACCCTGTCTCTACTAAAAGTACAAAAAAATTTAGCTGGGCCTGGTGGCACACGCGTGTAATCCCAGCTACTCGGGAGGCTAAGGCAGGAGAAGTGCTTGAACCTGGGAGGCAGAAGTTGCAGTGAGCCAAGATTGCACCTCCACACTCCAGCCTGGGTGACAGAGTGAGACCCCATCTCAAATAAAAAAAAAAATCAGTAAGGTCTTCTTATGATATTTATGGAGATATTCATATTTACTTATGAAGAGAAACTTGGTTCTAGTTTCAGTGAAGTTTCTGGGTAGTGGTAGAGATAGAAAACTATCTTTTGAGTTAATTTAAAAACTAACTGAGAGCATATGACTTTATTCAATCAACATATAAAGTAAAAGTATACTTTGGTTCCACTGTTTGGGCCATTAAAGGAAAGGAAAAGAAAAATAAGACTAAGATCTGGAGGTAGAGCAGTGGGGGAACTAGGAGACAGTGAAGTTTACATTAGAGAGAAAGAATGGGAGGAAGAGAAGAGGAGGAAGAGATCAACATCTTCTGCTTTTTTGGCCATTCCTTTAGTTACCCCTATTCCTCCATAAACCTTCTATTTTAGTTCTCTGCTTCATTGTCCCTCCTTTTCTTCTAACTTACCTCATCTGGCCCCAAACCCTCCTCTAATGACTTGTGTACCCAAGGCTCCTCACATTCTTCCTTTGGTTTTTAACCAGTGTCTCTCCTCACCTCCATCCTCAAACCCTCACCTGCCTCAGGTCCAAAGTACTACTCACTGTATGATCTCGTCTCTTCCCTCTCTTTTCCTAGATGAATGAAAATTTCGGCCTGTTCATTTCCAGTTTGGTGGAGTCCTGACTTATCTTACCTTTGGTGTGTTACTTAACTTTCTGGGCCTCAGTAATCTTATCTGTGAAAAGGGGATTAGTAATACCTTACAAGATTGTGAGTCACCTAGCAGGTCCTTAGCAAACATTGGTTTCCCTTTCTGTCTTTTCTTTTTGCTGCTGTTTCCATTCCTTCACTTCTCTGCTGATACTAGTGCTTTTTGGTCCTCTCATCAGTTAAGCCATCTGCTGGGAATTTGTCTCTGGAATTCTGCTTGGAGCCTACCCCTCTGTCTGAGAGTAAGATTTCAGAGGGAGCCTCTGAATTGAGGACATTTCTGTACCAGCATCAGAGTGGGACATCACAGGTTCAAGTCCTGGTCCCACCATGTTCTCACTGTGTGAGCGCTGGGCGGGTTGCACACTGTCTTTGAGGCTTAGTTTCCTTGTCTATCATTTGAAGATAATAATGATTTCTACTGCATAGGGTTATAATAAGGATTAAGTGAGCTACTTCATGAAAATGTTTAGTAGAATGCCCAGCACATTGTAAGTGCTCAATAAATGTTAGCTATCATTGGCAGATACTTCAATTTAGAAAATTTGTTGAGTGCTTTGTGCCCAGTGACATGATGTCCTTATGCTTTTCATCTTTTCATCTCAGAATGAAAAATTGGCAGGATTCAAGTGCCAGTTACAGTGGCATGTCCAGAGAAAATTCTTGAGAGATGCTTGCTGGGTTTTACTGCCTGTGGTAGATGGGGAGTGTGGAAGTGTATACCAGCTTTGTTTTTCATGGGAAAGAAACTGTACCAATAGGAGTAAACTGTGGTACAGGGGAAGGATGCAGTGATTTGGATGTGGTTGCCTGGAATAGGAGAGATGTGGTAGCAGCTGGGCTGAGGAGAGTGGGCCCGCAAAGAGTGCTGCTGCCACCACCTGCACACCATTGGTATCTCCACCAGCCTTACCCTCTGGACACTAGCTTCAAAATTCCTATATCACCAGAGCCCTACAACCCCTGGTTTAAAAAAATTACTGCTTCAGAAAGATTATGCTTCATTCTAGAATTAGAGATAGAATTTTGAGGTTCTAATCAGGAGGGCAGATTTTATGTGTGTGTGTGTGTGTGTGTGTGTGTGTGTGTGTGTGTGTGTGTTTCTGTCCCAGTGAAAAGTAATGAGAGAAGCTGAAGATGAAACTACTTCAAAATATAAGCAAAATATTTAGTTGTGTAAAAGAAGAATTGTGTTAAAATAACTTTAAAAGAATATCTTTTATTTAACTGTTTGTCAAAAATAGTATATCATATACTTGCCACAGTAATAGATCAAGGCTTTTTAATAGAAAACAAGACAGGACTGTACCTGTCATGACTGTACCATGTCATTTCCTAATCTAGTCTGAAAAAGTGGGTGAATTATCTTTCAAAGAACTGTATTATTTTCTAGAATGACTGCAGTCTCTGAAACCTGTAACGTGTCACATACTCTGAGGCTGAGACAAAATATCTGAATTTGGCCCATCCCAGAAAATTCAGTATGCTTGCCTTAGTGACATTACAGTGGAGTTACATCATGTGATGTAACATATATAAATTCAACTGGGAGCATTTGGAAAGAAATTTAAATATCATGAGTAATTCTGCATATCAATTTACTCAATAAGCCCAGGCCTGCTCTGGGAGCTCCCTGGGGATGGGGAGCATACATTTGCTTTTCCTTGGTTGATCTCAGTTTTCTTGGGCCTCTCCTTGTGGGAGCATCTCCCTGAACTCAAGGTAATTCTGGTGTTTAAACATGGCTCCTGAGTGCAAGCCAACTTTTGCTTAACTCAAGAAACGGTCATCATCTGTTCCAATCCTAGAGGAAAACAGCATTACTGAGAGGCCAAGTATCAATCTCTCATGCGGCACTTTGCTAATGGATTTCAAAGTGAGCATCTTTGACCATATCTGCTGCCTTGAGAACTTAAAGTTCTGATGAACACTCCAGTGTTCTCTGCTTTTGCCATTGTGCATGTAAGTGACCAAGGGTAGGCTGTTAATGGACTGGTTCATGACGCACAAACAGCCACCAGTAATGTGATGTACAGTGCTGGAATTAGGAGCACCTGATTAAGAGTTAGCACTCTGCTAACTAAAGGCTTACGTTTGGTAAATGCTATGATGGCGCAAAATCCCTTAACTGTTGAAATGAGGCTATAGGCCCAAGAGGAATGAATCTTTGGTCAGTGTGTTCCCTTCTTGCTAGAATAATGGGAGGAGGGCTTTCTTTCTTTACTCGGTAAATTTTCGTGATACCGGAGCAATAGGTAAAGTCTCTAGGGTAAAGATTCTGTGTCTTACATTGCCCTAATCTGCAGAGTATTCAGGATGATCTTAAGACCACTAGAAAAATTCTCATGAGGGAGTGGGGGCTAAAATGTGGGAAATTCTAAAGTTGTCACATGTTTTGTTGTTGCTTAGTCATGTGAGGAGGAGAGAAGCAAAGGATAGCTGATAATGGCTACCTACAAGAAGTCATAGAATCATAGAATTTTGGTAACAGAGGGGACCTCAATGCCATTTCTTGAGTTTTAGAGGAGAAATGATTTGTTTAATACGTGGCAGAGCTAAGACCAGAACCTCAGTTTCCTAGCCTCAGGCTGGTGTTTACTTGTGTTATTTCAGTGTCTCTGATGCATTGGTTTAATAGGAACTGGTTTATCCTGCTTTGTGGGGGTTCAGCTCCACCCTTCAATGAGCTCCCTGAAAAGAACAAAGTCCACATTATTGTTACTTGTTTTGGTTTTAGGGGGCATGATTGTCACTGGCAAGGTGTGAAGTGTACGTAAATTCTGAAAACATTTTGTGCTCATATATGCAGGGGTGGGGAGAGATTAAAATGGGGTCTGTTAGGGTGGGTGGAGGGATATGGATGATGCCTATAATGAAAGCTCCAGTTGCAAAAATTGATTCAACTTATGGTAATGGGTGCTGATGGAATTAATGGGGTTTTATGAATATTCCATGCTTTGATCTGCTTGGCATTAGGGAGATCTGCAAGGAGCAAATTTGAAATGATAAAAAGCTCTAGACTACTTTTTTGGTGCTTCACCTGTCATGATGCTGTCGCTGGTCTTGCTTGGCCTTCACCTTCAATAAGAAACTCCATCTTGCCTCATGACACTCTGAAAAAAAAAAGGGTAGATGTAAGAGACATTTTTTTTAGAGAGAAAAGCCGCATCCATTATGCAGATTGGAAGCATTTACTTAAATGTTTACTCTGATTCAAGCTTTGAAGCCCCAGAATTCAGGTCCCATAGCCATAAAAGGAGAGGAATTCTTCCCCTTTATCTTTTGATGGCATTGGTTTGAACAGAAGTTCTGTTTTTACTAAGATTGTTATTTTTTATTTGCAACTAAATGTCTCTGTTTTTTATTTTTATTTCTTTTTTTTTTTTTAATTTCCACAGGTTATTGGGGAACAGGTAGTGTTTGGATACATGAGTAAGTTCTTTAGTGGTAATTTGTGAGATTTTGTTGCACCCATCACCCTAGCAGTATACACTGCACCCTATTTGTAGTCTTTTATCCCTCACCCCCTTCCCACCCTTTCCCCCGAGTCCCCAAAGTCCATTGTGTCATTCTTATGCCTTTGCATCGTCATAGCTTTGCACTCACTTATGAGTGAGAACATACAATGTTTTGTTTTCCATTCCTGAGTTACTTCACTTAGAATTATAGCCTCCAATCTCATCCAGGTTGCTACGAATGCCATTAATTCATTCCTTTTTATGGCTGAGTAGTATTCATCATATATATATGAGATATATGTATATCATATATGATATATCGTATTCCTATATATGGTGATATATATAGTATTCATCATATATATGATATATATCTTACACATATATCATATATATCACAGTTCATATATATTGTACATGTAGTCATATATTATAGTTCATATATTATATATTATACATATATTCATATATACAGTTCATATATTATATATAATACATATATTCATCATATGTATCTATATCTATATCTATCTATCTATCTACATCTCACAGTTTCTTTATTTGGGTTGGTTTCACGTTTCTGCAAAGTATCATTTTCATATAAAGACTTCTTTTCCTCTGGGTAGATACCCAGTAGTGGGATTGCTGGATCAAATGGTAGTTCTACTTTTAGTTCTTTAAGGAGTCTCCACACTGTTTTTCAGAGTGGTTGTGCTAGTTTACATTCCCACCAGCAGTGTAGAAGTGTTCCCTGTTCACCACATCCATGCCAACATCTATTATTTTTTTATTTTTAAATTATGGCCATTCTAGCAGGAGTAAAGTGGTAACGCATTGTGGTTTTGATTTGCATTTCCCTGATCATTAGTGATGTTGAGCACTTTTTCATGTTTGTTGGCTATTTGTATGTCTGCTTTTGATAATTGTCTCTTCGTATCCTTAGCCCACTTTTTAATAGGATTGTTTCTTTTTTTCTTACTGATTTGTTAGAGTTCATTGTAGATTCTGGATATTAGTCCACAGTCAGATGTACAGATTGTGAAGATTTTTTTCCCATTCTTGGGTTGTTCGTTTACTCTGCTGACTGTTTCTTTTGCCATGCAAAAGCTCTTTAGTTTAATTAAGTCCCAGCTATTTATCTTTGTTTTTATTGCATTTGCTTTTGGGTTCTTGGTCATGAAATCCTTGCCTAAGCCAATGTCTAGAAGGGTTTTTCTAATGTTATCTTCTAGAATTTTTATAGTTTCAGGTCTTAGATTGAAGTCCTTAATCCATCTTTAGTTGGTTTTTGTGTAAGGGAAGAGATGAGGATCCAGTTTCATTCTCCTACTCGTGGCTAGCCAATTACCCCAGCACCATTTGTTGAAAACGGTGTCCTTTCCCCACTTTATGTTTTTGTTTGATTTGTGGAAGATCAGTTGGCTGTAAGTATTTGGGTTTATTTATGGATTCTCTATTCTGTTCCATTAGTGTATGTGCTGATTTTTATACCAGTACCATGTTGTTTTGGTGACTATGGCCTTACAGTGTAGTTTGAAATCAGGTAATGTGATGCCTCCAGCTATTGTAAAAGGAGTTGAGTTCTTGAGTTTATTCTCAGCTTGGTCGCTGTTGGTGTATAGAAGAGCTACTGATTTGTGTACGTTAATTTTGTTTCTGAAAACTGTGCTGAATTATTTTATCAGTTCTAGGAACTTTCTGGAGGAATCTTTAGGATTTTCTAGATAAATGATCATATCATCAGCAAACAGTGACAGTCTGACTTCCTCTTTACCAACTTGGATGCTATTTATTTCTTTCTTTTGTCTGATTGCTCTGGCTAGGACTTCCAGTACTATGTTGAAGAGAAGTGATGAGAGTAGGCATTCTTGTCTTGTTCCAGTTCTCAGAGGGAATGCTTTCAACTTTTCCCCATTCAGTATTATGTTTGCTGTGGGTTTGTCATCGATGGCTTTTATTATATTTATTATATTTATCATTTTTTATTTTATTATTATATTTTATATATTATGATATTTATAATATATGTATTGTTTATTATTTATTATATTTTTAATCATAAAGGGATGCTGGATTTTGTTTAATGCTTTTTCTGCATCTATTGAGACGATCATGTGATTTTTGTTTTTAATTCTGTTTATGTGGTGTATCACATTTATTGACTTGCATATGTTAAACCATCCCTGCATCCCTGGCATGAAACCCACTTGATCATGTTGGATTTTCTTTTTGAGATGTTGTTGGATTCAGTTAGCTAGTATTTTGTTAAGGATTGTAGCATCTATGTTCATCAGGGCTATTGGTCTGTAGTTTTTTTTTTTTTTTAGTTATGTCTTTTCCTGGTTTTGGTATTAGGGTGATACTGGCTTCATAGAATGATTTAGGGAGGGTTCCCTCTTTTTCTATCTTGTGGAATAGTGTCAATAGGATTGGTACCAGTTCTTCTTTGAATGTCTGGTAGAATTCTGCTGTGAATCCATCTGGTCCTGGATTTTTTTGTTGGTAATTTTTAAATTACCATTTCAATCTCGCTGCTTGTTATTGGTCTGTTTAGGGTATCTAACTCTTCCTGATTTAAGCTAGGAGGGTTGTAGCTTTCCAGGAATTTATCCATCTCTTCTAGGTTTTCTAGTTTATGTGCATAAAGGTGTTCATAGTAGCCTTGAATGATCTTTTGTATTTCTGTGGTGTCAGTCGTAATATCTCCCATTTTATTTCTTATTGAGTTTATTTGGATTTTCTCTCTTCTTTTCTTGGTTAATCTTGCTAATGGTCTATTAATTTTATTTGTGTTTTCAAAGAACCAGCTTTTCATTTCATTTATCTTTTGTATTTTTGTTGTTGTTGTTGTTTGTTTGTTTCAATTTCATTTAGTTCTGCTCTGATCTTGGTTATTTCCTTTCTTCTGCTGGGTTTGGGTTTAGTTTGTTCTTGTTTCTCTAGTTCTTTGAGGTCTAGATTGTCTGTGCTCTTTCAGACTTTTTGATGTAGGTGTTTAGGGCTATGAACTTTCCTCTTAACACTGCCTTTGCTATGACCCAGAGGTTTGGTAGGTTGTGTCACTATTGTCATTCAGTTTGAAGAATTTTTAAATTTTCATGTTGATTTCATTTTTGATCCAATGATCACTCAGGAGCAGGTTACTTAACTTCCATGTATTTGCATGGTTTTGAAGGTTCCTTTTGGAGTTGATTTCCAGTTTTATTCCACTGTGGTCTGAGAGAGAGTGCTTGGTATAATTTCAATTTTATTAAATTTATTGAGGCTTGTTTTGTGACCTATCATATGGTCTATATTGGAGAAAGTTCCATGCACTGTTGAATAGAATGTATATTCTGCGGTTGTTGGATGGAATGTTCTGTATATATCTGTTAAGTCCATTTGTTCCAGGGTATAGTTTAAATCAATTGTTTCTTTGTTGATTTTCTGTCTTGATGACTGTCTAGTGCTGTCAGTGGAGTACTGAGGTCCCCCACTATTACTGTGTTGCTGTCTATCTCATTTCTTAGGTCTGTTAGTAATTGTTTTATAAATTTGGGAGCTCCAGTGTTAGGTGTGTATGTGTTTAGAATTGTGATATCAAGGCCTTTTATCATCATATAATGTCCCTCTTTGTCTTTTTTAACTGCTGTTGCTTTAAAGTTTGTTTTGTCTGATACAAGAATAGCTACTCCTACTTGCTTTTGGTGTCCATTTGCCTGAAATGTCTTTTTCCACCCCTTTACCTTAAGTTTGTGCGAGTCCTTATGTGTTAGGTGAGTCTCTTGAAGGCAGCAGATTGTTGGTTGGTGAATTCTTATCCAATCTGCAAGTCTGTATCTTTTAAGTGGAGCATTTAGGCCATTTACATTCAATGTTAGTATTGAGATGTGAGGTACCATTCTATTCATCCTGCTATTTGTTGCTTGTATACCTTGTTTTTTTTTTAGTTGTATTTTTGTTTTATAGGTCCTGTGAGATTTATGCTTTAAAGAAGTTCTTTTTTGCTGTGTTTCCAGGATTTGTTTCAAGATTTGGAGCTCCTTTTGGCAGTTCTTGTAGTGGTGGTTGGTATTGGTGAATTCTCTCAGCATTTGTTTGTCTGAAAATGACTGTATCTTTCCTTCATATATGAAGCTTAGTTTCATTGGATATAAAATTTTTGGCTGATAATTGTTTTGTCTGAGGAGGCTGAAGATAGGGTCCCCATCCCTTCTAGCTTGTAGGGTTTCTGCTGATAAATCTGCTGTTAATCCGATAGGTTTTCCGTTATAGGTTACCTGGTGCTTTTGTCTCACAGCTCTTAAGATTCTTTCCTTTGTCTTAACTTTAGATAACCTGAAGACAATGTACCTAGGCAATAATATTTTGGCGATGAATTTCCCGTGTGTTCTTGGTGCTTCTTGTATTTGGATGTGTGGGTCTCTAGCAAGGCCAGGGAAGTTTTCCTTGATTATTCCCCCAGATATGTTTTCCAAACTTTTAGATTTCTCTTCTTTCTCAGGAACATCAATTATTCTTAGGTTTGGTCATTTAACATAATCCCAGACTTCTTGGAGGCTTTATTCATATTTTCTTATTCTTTTTTCTTTGTCTCTGTTGGATTGGGTTAGTTTGAATACGTTGTCTTCGAGCTCTGAATTTCTTTCTTCCTCTTGTTCATTTATGTTGCTGAGACTTTCCAGAGCATTTTGCATTTCTAGAAGTGTGTCCATTGTTTCCTGAAGTTTTTGTTGTTTCTTATTTATGGTATCTATTTTCTTGAATATTTCTCCCTTCACTTCTTGCAGCATTTTTTGGATTTCCTTACATTGGGCTTCACCTTTCTCTGGCACCTCCCTGATTAGCTTAATAACTAACCTCCTGAATTCTTTTTCAGGTAAATCAGGGATTTCTTTTTGATTTGGGTCCATTGCTGGTGAGCTAGTGTGATTTTTTGGAGGTGTTAAAGAACTTTGTTTAGTCATATTACTAGAGTTGGTTTTCTGGTTCATTCTCATTTGGGTAGGCTCTGTCAGAGGGAAGGTCTAGGGCTGAAGGCTGTTGTTTAGATTCTTTTGTCCCACAGTGTGTTCCCTTGATGTAGTACTCTCCCCCTTTTCCTATGGATGTGGCTTCCTGAGGGCTGAGTTGTAGTGAGTGTTATCTCTCTTCTGGATCTAGCCAGCCAGCAAGTCTACCAGGTTCTGGGCTGGTACTGGGGGTTGTCTGCACAGAGTCCTGTGATGTGAACCATCTGTGGGTCTCTCAGCTGTGGAAACCAGCACAGTATTTGAAGTGTCTCCTGGGTCCTGCAGGAGCAATGTGTTGCCTTCAGGGGGTATGTGGGTCCTCTCAGGTTTCCTGATTTATTCCTGAAGTTGTTCTGGAGCAAAAATTCACGACGCAAGCCTCCATATGCTGCTCTGTCCATCCAAGTCAGAGCTGCAATCTAGTCCTGCCTCCTGTCCGCCATGATCCCCCAAGAATCTAGTTGTCTCTGTTTTTTAAACGTTGCATTTGCTACTAATGTAGCATGTGCCTCACCCAGCAGGAAAATATCTTATTTAGGTACCAGTGCAGGCTGCTTCTCTGTAATACGGGTACAGGACCTACAGTTGTTCCCTGAGACCCAGATGTCACTCCTCAATGACACAAGACCAGGTGCTTTAATAGGAACTTTGTTAAAAGCAGTTGAGAGATTAAGTGCAAAGAACCTCAGATTGTTCAATGTCAGCTTAAAGCAAATAGCAGATAACATGCAACAGCATTCTCATGTTCAATCTCTAGTGCCTCCTGATTTGGAAGTTGCAAAATTCCTTGGCTGGAGTGTCTCTGCGCTTGTCTTATTTAGATGTTTTTCTCTGATGTCTTGGTCTTGAGTCTTCAGCTTTTTCCCCTCCCAGGCTTTTATTACCAACTGGGAAATCTTGCAGTGTCTTCAACAGCAGTAGCTGGAAGTTCATATCCTTTTTGGCTCTAGTTATCTCTGTTCCTACATGTTTCTAAACAAATATGTGAAAATCCAGTATATTAAGAGGTTTGCTTTCCTTCAAAGCATATTCTTTGGAATCAGCTCTTCCCTGACCATTGGGCAATTGAGAGAGCAGCTCTGTGGTCCACCTGGACTCTGGTTGGGCGGTTTCTCATGGTTAACACCATCTCCCTCGGTGCTGTTGTGGTGATAGTGAGCTCTCTTGAGATCTGGTTGTTTGATGAAAGTGTGTGGAACCTCTAACCCCACTGCCTTGCTTCTGTTCTGGCCATGTAAGATGTGACTGCTACCCCTTTGCATCTTCTGCCATGATTGTAAGTTTACTGATGCTCCCCAGAAGCAGAAGCCACTATGTTTCTTGTACAGCCTGTAGAACTATGAATCAATTAAAGCTCTTTTCTTTATATATTACCCAGTCTCAGATATTTCTTTATAGCAGTGTGAGAATGGACTAATATGGGAGGGAAAAAGTGGAGGGGAATGGAAATGGAGAAGAGATGAAGTGGGAGTGAGTCTTATCTTAATATATCTTTTTATATACTTCTGACTTTTAGAACCATGTTAATATTTCACTTACTTAAAAAAAAATCATCCAGGATTTGGGGAAACCCAAAGTGGAAAACAACTAGTAATAAATGAACCTAACTATCACACATGAATAATATAACAACAGTGAATGGGATAGTGAAGGAAATAATTAAGTAACTTTGGAAAACAGTTTTTGATTATATATTACAAGGTGAAAGAATTGCACACAATGTTCTTTAGTTAATAGCTTGTTTTTCACAGGGTTAGCAATTTTGAAATTATGTGTCCTTTAGAGCAATTAAGTAAATATATTGCAGTAAATAATATAATGAAAACTAAGTACATTGTCAGAGGAAGAAAGTACAAATAAGGGAAGAAGGAAGGCTGGAATGACCTCTGTGATGGATTAGAATTGGAGGTGTGAATATGAACTCATGGTTTCTAATATATACACACAAATATAAAGAAATAGATACAAATGCTTGTGTATGCATGGCTTTAGTATACATACATATATTTTCCAGTTCTGTCCACTGAGAGTCCTAGAAACAGTGAAAGCCCAGTAGCCATGAGCACTCCTAGCTAAGATCTTGGTTTCTAAATACCTTTTCCAAATAAAGGGAACTTTAGCTCCTCAAAGAAATGGCTGATTCCAGGACTGAGGCTGAGAAAGTATAAGATGACCCTAGAGCATCTTATTACACCAGAAACTACAGCTGTGCTCAAGAAATGTTTGGGATGTGTCAAGTAGATATAGGAGCCCAGTTAAAAGAGCAACCACTGGCCAAATTGAAAACAAATTTGAGCCACAAAATAAGTTATGATAGTAATGAATTATAATTCATAGACTGAAATAAATATCCATGAGTTTGTAGGGTTAAAATTAATAAATAAACTGGGAGAATGGAGATTTCTTCTTACAGTAGAACTCTAACAAATGTTGAAGAAATTATGGAAATAGAAAAATCACCATTTATTATTTTTTAATTTTTAATTTTTTTCTTCTGTATATTACCCTCAAAACTGCCAACCATTTATTAAATACTATAATAATAATAGTTATAGCAAGAATCATCACTGGTTGCTAAAACAATTGGATGAAAGTATTTGCATAATCTCAAAATATAGCTCTACAAAATGCCTAGTAATTTCAAAGAGAAATACAGTAACTTTATGTTGGATAAGCCTGGCAGACACCCCATAACCAAGTGACCAAAGTTAACATTATCAATATTAAGACATACTGACATGTTTGCCTTGATAAACTGAAAAGGGTATTTAATATCATTAAATGACAGTCTTGCCAAAAATGTATAACCTGATTTTAATCATGAGCAAAGATCAAACAAACCCAAATAGAGGAACACTCTATAAAATAACAGGCTGGTACACTTCAAAACTGTCATGGTCATAAAAGACAAAGACTGAAGAACTGTCTTGGATTGGGGCAGACTAAGGAAGCGTGACAAATAAATGCAGGGAATGACCCTGAATAGATCCTGGACCAGAAAAAGCATATTAGTGGGACAAATGGCAAACTCTGAATAAGATTTGTAGATGAGTTCATAATATTTCATCTGTGTTTATTTTCTGGTTTTGACAAGTACTGTGGTTGTATAAGATGTTGCATTCAGGGAAGCTAGGTGAAGAGTTTACTGGACTTTCTTGTCTATTTTGCAACTCTTTTGTAACTCAAAATGAAAAGTTAAAATTTAAAAAAATTAAGAAGAAAAATTATAATGGGGAGAGATTTAAGGGCAAATACAGGTTCTAGTTATCTTCTTGGCTATTATTATTTTTGGACACGACCAATAATAATAGAGAAGAAAGTACTCTTTTTCTAAAGAGATACATACATTTGTAAACACTTCAGGTTTGTCATGTATTTGAAGTTATTTGTTTTAATTCCAACTGGCAAATTTGAATATAAGTAAATAATAGAATTAGGGGTAGAAATTAAATGGAAAGAAATGAAAAGAAATCACACAGCAAATTTTGACCTTCAACTTGGTTCCCCTGACTTTAATTATGACATATTTAAAATCAATAATAATCATCAAATGCTCTCACCTACAGAGTCATGTTAAATGATTACACATAATATAGTGCATGAATTCTGCCTTTTTGAGTATGAAATTGACAACTGGCATTATACATTCATTAAAGTGAGATCTGAGTAGAATATTAAATTGAAAGCTATTTGGTAGTTCTCTTTCAGGAGGAGTTTTTCTGATGCTCTTCTTCCAAGGGACATTTTCTGCTACCATCATCAAAAAAATTGATTGAACATCCATGATGTGTTGAGTGTCACTCACAAGAGATATGTTCTCTGATTGCTTGACTCAAATGCTTTATGCTTCCAAAGATTTAAGATTCCAAAGGAGCCTGGCAAGTATGGTTATAACTTTAGGGAGATAAAGGTCCAAAACTGGAGCCATAGGGTGGAGTAGAGTACGACCTGTGGTCTTGTACTTCTACAAGGTGAGATGGAACATCAGTGTCAGAGTCTCAAAAAGAATAAAATAAAAAATGTGGGGATGCCGATGCACGTGACAAATAGACCAAAGAACAATCAAGGTTACCTACTCTGAGAGAAATTTATATTCACATCAGTTCGTAGTTCTCTTTCCCTTTCTCTTCTCTATGCCTAAATGTACACACACATGTATAGACACTCATACAGTTACTTCTGAACTTGGCTGTGCTGCATTTGTTTGTTGCATGTGTCTGTTTTTACTGGGGTGACCTTTGGTTCCTTTCCTAGTCAGCAAAAACATGTAGTTTTACCGTGATTTTTGGTTATATCATTAAGATGGAGAAGTAGTTCCTGACCTGTAGCTATGAGTTTAGTTTTATATTAAGCGCTATATATTTGCCATTCTTAGAAACTAAAGGAAAAGGAGGAAAATATCTCTGCAAAATTATGGGGCAAAACAAATTGTGCGTGTAAATAATTGTGTCTGCTAAATAGCATCACTGAGTGGATCCTGAAACATTTCAGGGCCACCTTGGTTTCCTTCTCAGGGGCCTTGGTTACCACAATTTAGGAGTTAACTTCAGGAATTAAGTAGTAATATGGCGTTATCCCAAAGCTGCCCTCCTAGCCTTTTCCCACTGGGCCTTTAGACCCTGCTCATCCCATGTATACAATAATGGGAAACCCAGGAATATGTTCAGTTCCAAGCAGGCTAAATATAACTCCATCTTCTTTCTCTTTCACCTCTGAAAGCACATGAGAATGCAGAGGATAATAACAAGATTATAGTGATAACCTTGAACCTGCTCTAAGTTATTAATAACTTAGAGAACCTGCTCTGAATTATTTGTATAATATATTCTAGTACTTTATCATTAGTAGCAAGTTACTTTCAACACATCTCATAACAGGTAGATACAGCCCTTGAGCCCCCACAAGAAAGTGAGGCACAGTGCCCCATTTTCACATTGCCGTCTCACTGGGATACTGAGGGTGAAGTTAACCCTCAGAAGAGGGCAGAATTAATGGAATTTGGGGGAAATCAAGCCAGGGCTGGTAGATTAGGTCAACCATAGAACTCGCCCTTATGCTAGTTTTCCAGTTACATGAGTCAATAAATGTTCTCACTTTTTAAGCTAGAAAGAACATCCTGCTCTGGGACAGTTACCTGCTTTGTTATCCAGAAGTAATCTTATGTTGTTTATGCCTTGTTTTCTATGTTGATGTCTAAGGATTATCTAAAAACTTACACTTATTTTTCCCCCTATTTATCCCTCAAAACTTTCCTGGGTTACCACCTCCATCCCTTATACCTCAGATGGAGTTCATTACTTTGGCATTTGTAACATATATATAGTGTGGGCATACTTCTATTATTGCCCACTGCATATTGCATTATGTCCATTTGTTCATGTGTCTGTCCCTACTACTCCATGAGTCCTAGAGATGAGGACCCACTGTTATTTATCATTAGATATTCTTTGCTTAACACTGTGCCTGGCTTAGAATTGCTGCTATACTTAATGTCTGGTAATCTATGGAAATAGTTCTAGGATACATTATTTGTGAGAGAAATATGTCATTAATGAGCTATAATGTGTATATATATATATCAGTGAAGAAATGATCAAAAGACTGCTACTATTTAATTTAAAATTAAATTGTTTCAGGGTGGGAGAAGAGGGAGAATGATGGGAGGAGAAAGAAAAAGGAAATAGTTTTTCCTTTTCACTTACTTGAGTTTGCTTGTGAAATATGATAAATTTCACTCCAGACTGATTGCAATTCAATGCTGAGGGGTTTGTGGTCATGGCTTGCCAGCCTCATGGTGTTTAGCTTTCACTGCCATGTCAAGAGCAGATGACTTCCTTTCCTAAAAGCATGTCCTTGGAAACTCATTAAGAAACTCATTAACTTTGGGGTTGTCTACCTATCAGTCATTCCTCCTTTCTCCTTCCTAACTGAACCCTGACTTTCTTTTGCCATCTACCCCATTTCTACATGGAGCAGGTGCCTCTGCAGGTGGACTCCACCCCTAGATGCAGGTATGGACCTGATTGATCAATCCCATCCTTCCTGCCAGTGATCAGTTCAGGAATGTGTATGTGCTGCTGTTTGGGCTAGTGATAAAACAGGAAAGGAAAGGTGTGTTGGGGAGTTCTGGGAAAGTTTTCCCTTACTCTTTTGTGAGAGTTTCCAGAAGTAAGCTCTCTCTCTCTCTTTCTCTGGAGGCTTTTGTATGCAGATGTGAGACTGAGCTGCCCTTGCCATCTCACTGGGAGCCTGAGGGTGAAGTTAACCCTCAGAAGAGGGCAGAATTAATGGAATTTGGGGGAAATCAAGCCAGGGCTGGTAGATTAGGTCAACCATAGAACTCACCCTTATGCTGGTTTTCCAGTTACATGAGTCAATAAATGTTCTCACTTTTTAAGCTAGTTTGATAAGTGTCTGCTGTGACTTGCAGCCTAAAGTGTTCTAACTTATTAACAAACAAACAGACAAACAAAAACACTTCTCTAATGTTGAATAGGTGGAAAGTGGAAACTAGGGCCAGTGAAAGACAATTTGGCAGGTAGGAGAACAAAAAAGTAGTTTCCTTAGACCAGTGCTTATTGAAACACAAATTTCTGGGACTCAGTCCCAGAGCTTCCAATTCAGTAGCTCTGGAGAAGGCCTGAGAATTTGCATGTTTAAAAAGTTCCACAATGGTGCTGTTGCTACTGGTCCAAGGACCACACTTTGAGAACCACTACCTTAGACTTCCAAGCATGCTGCCTTTTATGCCAGGATAGCCAAGGGTGGTGGGCAAGGCCATGGTGCCAAGAAGTGAGCTCTAGCTATTCATTGGAACAGCCATTGGGCCCCTCAAAGCAGGTTGAGTAGGTAAACCCACATAATGGTACAGAAGTTATCAAAACACTTTTTATTGTCTTTTTTTTTTTTTTTTTTGAGATGGGGTCTTACTTTGTCACCCAGGCTGGAGTGCAGTAGCGTGATCTCAGCTCACTGCAGTCTCTGCCTCCCAGGTTCAAGTGATTTTCCCACCTCAGCCTCCTGAGTAGCTGGGACTACAGGTGCTTGCCACTGTTCCTGGCTAAACTTTTTATTGTCTTCTTAAACCGTAAATTCCATGAGGAGCGAGCATATGACTTGAATATCTTTATTCCCCAATTGGATTTAACACACACTTCTAAGCACACTATAGGCACTCAGTAATGCAGAATTAACTCACTGGAAATAATTCTTGGTTAACTCACTGGAAAGAAAGCACTATTTGCCACATTCTGTGGCTGGATATTTTAAGGCAAGGGTAGGTACAATATAAGGAAGGCCAAAACTAGCCCAGGATGATGAGTATGTAAATAAGAGCTCACCTCCTTGCTAAGAAGCTCCAGCAACTTTTCCTTTGGGGAAAATGCAACACTGAGGTCTCCTCTTTGAAGGCTTTGGCTTTTGCTCTGAAAACCTGTCATCACCTGTCTCTTTTTACTTTTCATACTATCCACAAAATAAATCTCTGATAGTGCTGTACTAGTCTGGCAATGTTGCTTTTTCCTTCAAATATTTACTCCCTCTGTGGACACATCAACTCAAAGATTACAATCAGGGGAACCTCCTGTGTTTCAGATAAATAAACTATCACTCTGTAAGAGAAGAGAACTCCCTCTGCCCTTTATGTAGTTTGCATTCAGACAAATAACTGTTTCTTAAATGAGAAACATAATTGGTATTGTGCAAGGGCTGGGAGTGCTCCCATGCTTTCTTCCAAGCAGCAAATAGTGGCCCCAAATGCAGTGAGGCTCTGCCTCTGATTTGTGATGGAAGGAAATTGTGTGTGTGGGGCCTTCTCCTTGGCTGGAAGGATCTGCTTCCTCTAAGCCTCTGTTTAAACCAGGTGTTTATTTACCTTGAGGCAGGGTCAGACAAGGGCTTCTTGGCTTTACCACTCTTTGCATTTCTTTTAACATCAGGTTTTGCCAAGTGATTCATACATGCTGGAAATGCAGAGAGGAATCTACAGGAGTGGCATTTCCCTTAGCCAGGAATGGATTAAGACAGAAACATTAAATGTGATGGATGTGGTTTGATACATTCCTGTCCTTTCCAGCCATCCACACCATGTACTGAGGCCTCTCCCATGGTTCCAGGCTTCTCCTGGGTCTAGCCAGCAGAAGGAGAGGGGACAGTCTCTGTGAATATGTAAACACATGATAATTGTCAAACTGTAGGCCTTTATAGTGGCATTTCTCCAATAATATAATTGAATTTTGATTTGGAGCAAATTGATGGTACTCTTTACACACTATATGTTTGCCCTTTTCTTTCTTTTCTTTTCTCTCTCTCTCTCTCTCTCTCTCCCCCTCCCCCTCTCTCCCTCTCTCTCTCTCTTTCTTCCTGTTTTTTTTTTTTTTTTTTTTTTTTTTTGATGGAGTCTTTCTCTGTCGCCCAGGCTGGAGTGCAGTGATGTGATCTCGGCTCCCTGCAACCTCCGCCTCCTGGGTTCAAGCAATGCTCCTGCCTGCCTCAGCCTCCCAAGTAGCTGGGACCAGGCATGCCACCATACCTGGCTAATTTCTTTTGTATTTTAGTAGAGACAGGGTTTCACTGTGTTGCCCAGGCTGATCTTGAACTCCTGAGCTTAGGCAATTCACCCGCCTTGGCCTCCCAAAGTGCTAGGATTACAGGCGTGAGCCACTGTGCCTGGCCTGCCCTTATATTTCTACAAGTTACTAGAAATAAATTTTAAATGAAACACTTCTTATTTAGGGAGTCAGAGCAAAAACTACAATAAGTTTGATTAAGAAGACTCATTCAAATATACAGAGGTATGAGTTTAATATGGTAATTCTGAAAGATTGGACTTTGTTGTGAAGTATCATAAAATATAACTATTAAGCTGAGAGGTTAAAACATGATAAAGAGGTTCTGCAGATCAAGAGGTTTCACAAAGCTTTTTCTCAAATGCTCTCCCCATACTCTCAAAAATATGATCAGCAGTAATTTAGCTGTCATCCAGTGTCTTGTCACATTACAGGAAAGAATGGGGATAAATCTTTTCATGTCTTTGTAGGAGTACACATTGGATACCACCTCAAGCAGGGCCTTCTGGGGACTCCCCACCTAGATACCCAAATTATAGAACACTTTACAAAGTGTTGAGAATAACCTCAAGCTTCCTCAGGTTCTCTGACAACTTCTCTTCCAGCCCAGGCTGATTTCTTGTTGAGGTCATACATTTCTTGTTGAGGATGATAGAAGCTGGATATTTCCCTTTTGCATCTCTTTTAAATCTGCTTGGTTCTTTTTTAAAAATAGTATCTATTCCTTTCTCTCGTTTTTAATTCCCTTTTAGACTTATAATAATAGTTTAAAACCAGCTTGTTTTATAGCTCTTCCTGATAATTCTATTATGTGAAGTTCATATTTTGCTGTTTTCTGCTGAGCCTTGGTTATGGTGCTGTGTTTCCCCAGGTGTTTTGTGAGTTAAGGTTGCAAGCTTTCGTTATCTGTGAGAATCCTGTGTGACCTTATTTGAGGATGTGTTCTTACCAAGAGGCTTCTTCTTTTCTTCCACCAGGACCTCAGCAATGACATCTGGGAATCCATTTTCATGTTAATTTATCTGCTTGGGGTTTACCTGCCCTTGTAGTAGTGTAAATCTGTATCTCAAACCCACATGAGGGCAGGTCTGTGGTTATAAATTCTCAGGGGAAATTTTTTTCCCTTCACCCAGAGCTCAGCCTGAGATAGAGGAGGTTCCTTGTTGCTTACTTCTGTGGGTGGATTTTTTTTTTTTCCAGTCCACCTGTTTTCAGAGGATATAGACCTCTAGGGTCCTGGTTCATCATAAGAATCTCAGTTTTATCACCCTACCTTGTGGCCACTCCATGTGTCATTTACACACAAGACCCTTTGTTACTTAGATTGGCAGTGACATTTAGAGTTACAAAAGTTTGAGTCCTTGTTTTCCAGATTTCTCTTTTTGTTGGGACTTTGAGGGTTTCACTTTTCATTCCTGAGAGTTTATACATTTAAAAAATTGTTGGTTATATTTTATGCAGCATTTCCAGGTGCTTGGCGGCAGGAGTATTTCAAGATATTTAGTCCACTTTTAGCAAAAAAAAAAAAAAAAGACAGTAAGCATTCATAAATGTCATAATGCTAGTCAAAAGTGACTCAGGTTATTTTAATAGTTGTGGTCTTCCTAATTGCTGACTCCTTGACCAGTGTCCTCATTGTGGTTGAGAATCCAACATCCATTCCACTCTGCTCCAAACCAATGGTTCACAAACTTAAGTGCATCTGAATCTCCTGGAATTCTTATTAAAACACAGATTGCTCTGCTGCTGTGCTTCAACTCTAGAGATTCTGATCCAGTAAGTCTGGAGTGGATCCTAATAGTTTGCATTTTTCTCAAATGCTGCTGGTGGCCTGGGGACCACAATATAAGAATCAGTCATGATAATCCTATTCTTTCCACTTGAGACTAGTTTAGGAATGGGCATACGATCTAAATCTACCAGAAGAGATGAGGGGAAGTCTGCTGGGGGCTTCCAGGAAAGTTTACCTCAATCTTGAGAAAAAGGCATAGAAAAAAATGGTTCTGTTTTCCTCTGGACATTGTCATGTAAGGACATGATGCCTAGAACTGTCACAGGCCTCTTACCTTCCTCGTGAGAATGAAGCTAATCTAGGGTATAGGGGCAGAGCCAGGAGAATCTCAGGGGAGCAGAGAAGGAATCCTGATAGCTCTTCCTTGGCTAGGTCCTGCCCTACTTCTGTTATTTCATTATGTGAGATATTCCATAAATAGAAAAAAAATTAAAAATTGAAATGAGTCAGGGTTTTCTGGTTACTTGTAGCCCCAAAGATTCTAAGTGGTACAACTATCATATGGGTATGTTGAGTCTTATTACCTGCCACCCCCAGCTACAGAGTGCCGAAGCAAGTTCATTTCAAATTATGTTTTTTTATTTCTTTTTTTGAACTACTAATTTTCTGTGACACTTTTTTCTCTACTTTACCCCACCACACACACAATCTCACCCAGCCCTCTGGGAATATGCTGTAACACTTCAAAATTGTGAATCTCTTGAAAGGAGGCAGCTACTCCAAACTTTCATCTCATTTCTACATGTGGGACTGCAGGATCCATTTCTAGTTGAATGCATGATGACAGCTTTACAGGAAGTCGTCTTCCTTATATTCTCTTTTTATATATTGCTGTTTTCTGGCAACCCTAGCTAATTAATAACTTAATCTGTCTCTCCTTAGACTTTAATTCTAATTTTCAGAATTTCCCAATCAAGTCAACATTGATTTTATTGGAATTTCAAATATACTCTGTGCTACTGTGTTGTATTTTTGGTGGAAAGAATTGTAGCAGGAATCAAGCCTCATGATGCAAATGCCTAAATCCTGAATTGTGACCAGGATTGCAAAGAAAATAAAAAGGTCGCTCTCTAGGGAGTTGAACTAGCTTAGCACCTCCACATGGAATCTCAGAATGAGAACAGTGATTTTTTTCCCTCCTCTTCTGTTTAATCCTAGTTTGGACAGCTCTTTATTCAGAACATCAAGGACTGTTGACAGTTGAATAAAAAGGGCGGAGGCTTATGGGATTGCTAATGAGATACAAAGCCACCTTGGAATAAAAATAAATTTCTCTCTGTTGGCTCCTCCGGCCATGGAGAGGTAAGTTAAGAACCTCAAATCAATTTCTACTGACAGGTATTCTTATCATGGTAAACAGTGCAATGCACATTTTAGTTGGCTTCTGAGAAGGAAGGCCAGGGGCTTCCAGTTGTGTGATATCTTTTCAGCAGATAGCTGGGCTAAGGTGAACAAATTGTACTGATGTGGCGTGAGGCACACTATCTGGTCAGAAAATAAAGTTCTTAGTTATAGTTAACATACAGCATTTTTCCTAAAATTAAATTTTTCAGCCCACAAATTCAGGTAAGTGTTAAAATGAAGAATTTTATTATTTCCTGATATCAAATGCCTTTTCCTACTTTCTTTCCAATCCTAATAATTTATCTAGACCAATTCATAGTTCATGACCTCTTTTGAAGCCTTGCCTGACAACCCAAGCTAGAAATGATATTTCTTTTGAGTGCCTGGAGAACTAATGTCCCTACTCTTGTCTTATTTTGCAAACTTGACTATACAGCTGTTTGAAGGCAGGGATTATATAATATCTTTTCTTGTATTATCCACACAAGATCCACTGCAGTGTTTTGCACATAGCAGTTGCTCAATAAATGTTGGTTGGTTGGTTGATTTTTTTTTTTTTTCTTTGAGACAGAGCTTTGCTCCGTTGCCTAGGCTGGAATACAGTGGCGTGATCTCGGCTCACTGCAACCTCTGCTTCATGGGCTCCAGCGATTCTCTTGCCTCAGCCTCCTGAGTAGCTGGGACTACAGGCACATGCCACCACACCTGGCTAATTTTTTTGTGTTTTTAGTAGAGATGGGTTTTCACCATGTTGGCCAGGCTGGTCTAGAACTCCTGACCTCAAGTGATCTGCCCACCTTGGCCTCCCAAAGTGCTGGGATTATAGGTGTGAGCCACTGCGCTCGGCTGGTTGGTTGATTTTTTATTCCTGTGAAGTATACAACACTGTAGACTTAGAAATCATCCAAGAAGAGGGTTTTCTCACATAGAACCTGTGGATGCACATCAAGGCTTCTGGAAATTTATTGAAATTGAATGCAAAGTAGACATTTTCTTGGGAGAGGGACCATAGCTGTCAACAGAATCACAAAGGGGTTCTTGATTCCTTTCCAAATGAGGGGAATTACTGAACTAGGCTATTCATTTTCTTTTCTTCTTGACAAAACTATTAATAGGTCCCGAGATGTTGATAATACTGTCATGACCTCACAAATACTATAGCAGTAAGAGTTCTCTTGGGATACCTCTGTTCCCATTTTTAACTGTTGTTCCTGAAAGAGAAATGGAGATTAAATTGAATTCATGTGCTGTGATTAGACTGATTGTATTTTTTAAATTGCACACCATTAAAAGGACTGCGTTCTGAAGTTCTGGTAGAGACAGTATATCATGGTAGTTAGATGTATGTGCTCAGAGCCAAGCTTGTGCTTGTATCTCAGCTCTGTTACTTACTAGCTGTGTGACCTTGGGCAAATAACTTAAACCTTCCCAGTCTCAGTTTCTTCATCTGTAAGATGGGAATAGTTATAGTGATCTACCTCTCAGGGTTGCTCTGAGGATTAAATGAATCAATGCATGAAAAACATTTAAAGCAGTGCTTTGCACACATATTAACAGTAAACATAATGTAAGTGTTAGCTATTAATATTGCTGATGCTTTTGTTGTTGTTCAACTGTAGCTCTCATTTTCATGAATACCGATTAGCCATGGTAAATGTATCTTCTGCAGCCCTTCTCACCACCAAATTCACTTCTGAGTCATCACATTGAGGTCAGATCAGATTGTTGAATTATTTTGCAGAAATTATGTGGTTTTATTGTCTGCTAGGTGTAATTCTAAGTTTTCTTTCTTGTGTTTGCTTGGCATTTTGAAATCAAGTTCTCACGCTCTGAGGGTATTTAAGTCATTTAAAGATTACCAGGCTAAAGAATCAAGATCCTTTGAATTTCAGTGAATGTACTTTTTTATCCCATGAAATATTTTTTTTGAAAAATATTAACAAAAATATTCTAAGAAAAACTTTTAGTAGAGTCTTTTAGTCATCTTTATAGTTGTAGTTAACTTGGAAAAGGAAAAAATGAAATGCAAAGGATTCTGACAGATTGAAGTCACTGCTGCCTGGAATTAATTCTTTCCATTAGCCTTAATATTAACCCCTTTAAAATGATGAAAGGTTTTGGTTAATCCTAGAATTCTTAATCCCCACCTTTTGGAGAAGCAGAAAAAAATACTGAAGTGATTTTTGTTGGGGGAGTGCTTATGCTAAGTGAGGCAGTTTGTCAGATTTTACTTTTATGAGTTGACTGTCAAGCATTTGAGAAGGGAGGGTGTTTTTTAGAAGGCTGTGCTGCAGCAGATTCCTCAGCTAAGTGCACATCCTGTGATATTTCCCCCACTCTTCCCTGATCAGTGAAATTGCAATTAAATAACTAATATCAACTGCTCCATTTCCATGATCCTCAGAGCCTATGGAATTAGAATATACATATTTAAGGAGGAGAAAATTTTCCACTTGATGTCTAGGATAATGAAGAGTGATGGAGAGTGGGGTTATGAGGAGTCAGGAGATATATATATATATATATATTAGTCAGAATGTCAGCAGGAAATAGTTGATACATGAAAATTGGGTAATTTTCAGAGTTAAAATAAAACTAAATTTATAAAGGTGTGGGCTGGGTATAGGAAAAGTACAAAGGGTAGTGCAATATTCTTAGGCTAGTAAGGTGAGGGCAGTGTCTTTCCATCCCTGGGTCTGAACTGGCAAGACAGATGGGCAAGCAATAACTGTATTCCAGGAGGGAGGGAGGGAGGGTGGAAGAGAGAAGAGAGAGAGAGAATGTTGAGAACTAGCTGTGTGGGGAGGGCCCCTGATGACAGCTGTGACCTCTGGTCTAAGTCAAAGTATGTTGGCAAACTAGAGCAAGCCTGCAGGGAGGGGAAGGGATAAATGTCCTAACCTCACTCTTCTCTTTTCCTAATCTCAAGCCAGTGGTCCTGTATGAACCCAATCAGAAGCCAGAGGGCAGAGGGCAGAGCTTGCAGCAAATGCCATTCTGGGATCATTTTGTACCATACTTTATTCATATTCTCCTTCCCTGGATGCCTCCAACTCTCACCCAAGTGCTTCCATTTATGTACCTTCCTCTTCTTCCTGCTTCTGCATGCTCCATACTGGCTGACACCTAGAGCAGATCATTTTAAATACCCCTCCCCTTGCTTGTACAGGACAAAATTATTTTCAATAATGATGTCATAATGATTGTTTTTTTGACTCATTCTTAAATTTCACAACAAATATAATTGACAATTTTAAAAGACTAAATTACAATGTTGACATTATTCAAATTTGGTAAAATATTTCATGTATAATCTCAAATTTTCATTTACCAAACAAAAATATTTCAGATTTCAGTTTGCAGTTCATTCTCTGTTTCATTATGATATGGTTTGATTGTGTCCCCACCCAAAATCTCATCTTGAATTATAATCCCCAAATCCCCACGTGTCAATGGTGGGACCAGGTGGATGTAATTGAATCATGGGGGCAGTTTCCCCCATACTGTTCTTGTGATAGTGAGTTCTCATGAGATCTGATGGTTTTATAACCATCTAGCTTTTCCCCTGCTAGCACCCATTCTCTCTCCTGCCACCCTGTGAAGAGGTGCCTTCTGCCATGATTGCAATATTTCCTGAGGCCTCCCCAGTCATGCAGAACTGTGATGAGATTACCCGGTCTCCTGTATTTCTTCATAGCAGTGTGAGAATTGACTAATACACACTCTTTTAAATTTTAAACATAAATTAAAAATTCCAAGTGTCCATGAAGAATGACAGAATTGATATAACTCAAGTTTCAGTTCTTCCTTTTGAAAATCAGTTTCTAATCTACTGTTTAAACAAGGAATAGGTAGCACTCTGGAGGCCAGAGGTAGGAACTGCTCCTGCAGCAAACTTGAATGGTTCTAGACCCTTAGAATGTATCCTGGGAAGGAGTGTAGCTGGCTTTAAGTGTGTCAGGACTGATAGTGTAACGAAAGCTCTCTGAATTAGCTTCCATGTAGAATAGAATACAATTTTTTGTTTGTTTGTTTGTTTTGAGACAGAGTCTTGCTCTGTTGCCCAGGTGGGAGGGAGTGCAGTGGTGTGATCTTGGCTCACTGTAACCTCTGCCTCCTGGGTTCAAGCGATTCTCCTGCCTCAGCCTCCCGAGTAGCTGGGATTACAGGCATGTGCCACTATGCCCAGCTAATTTTTGTATTTTTAGTAGAGACGGGGTTTCCCTATGTTGGCCAGGCTGGTCTTGGGCTCCTGACCTCGTGATCTGCCCACCTTGGCCTCTCAAAGTCCTGGGATTACAGACATGAGCCACTGGGCCTGGGGAATACAATGTTTTTATAAAGAAAATTTTAAAAAGAGAGAGAATTGGAGGCTTATATGTTGTTAAAATTGCAGTAATTCTTAGTTTAAGAATGTTAGCCCTGGTGTTAATAAAAAGCAAGTTGACTTTTGGTCAGTTTATTATTGTTTTACAATTCTCCACAAACAATTCAGTCCCTTATTGTCTATACCCTGGGCACAGCAAAGTAAAGTAGAAAAGAAAGAGAGTGAATCTAGGGGCCGCAGGAAGGCAGCTTACCCAGGACATTAAGTTATAAATTGAGAACTTTCCAAGTCATTCCTTATCTGTTTTCATGAAATTGTCAAGCCCATTAGTGTCTTATCCTTACAGATTTTTGTGACAGCCATGTACTTGTGGTGAGTGCTTGAGTGGGGATGATTATAACAAAATGGAAGAAAGATCTATAATTCTACATAACAAATGAAAACCTTGGAAGTTCTCTTTTTGCCGTAAGACTGCTTCCTAGAGCTTGTGGCAAGTGCCATTCTGGATCATTTTATACCATACTTTATTCATATTCTCCTTCCCTGGATGCCTCCAACTCTCACCCAAGTGCCTCCATTTATGTGCCTTCCTCATCTTCCTACGTCCACATGTCACAGGACAGGCTGGTTCCTTTTTCCATCTTGGCTTTCCTTTCCCATCCCCTTCTTGGCTACCCCTGTTTCCTTCTTCTTTCTTCACTGGACCAGACATGAATTTGTTCTGGGAACTTTTACTAATCTATGGAAAAGGTTGTTAATAGGCTTCATGTCAGATGTTCAGTTGCTTAGTAACCCAAAGGACCTCCTGCCAAGTTTATGTTCAGAGAATTAGACAAACCATCCAGTCCCCACTGTTCTCAGGCCTGGGCTGCATCAGCTCTCCAGCTCGGCTATGTGTGAGGAGATCCCCACACAGGCTCAGAAAGGAGCCTCAGCCTCCACAGAGCAATGAGTGTGAGGGCAGAGTCTGAGCCTACCTGGCCCAGTCTGAAGAGGAATCTGGGGAGGCTGACCTGAACAGATGTGCAGGCATGTTTTCAGAGCTCCTAAAACTGATATTTACTGCATGTTAGTGAGGTGGTTTGAATTTTTCAGTTTCTCTGCTTCTTCCTTTGTTCCGCTTCCTGATCTATCTCTCCTTCTCATTTCAGTTCCTAGTGTTTTTCAGGAAACCCATGGTTTTAGACTTACAGGCTCTCTATCAAATGGTACCATGTAGACTTAGAGCAGTGGAGTAGTACTCATCTCTTGTTGCCAACCTCCACAAACACACAGAAACCATACAAAATCCCCACGGATTCTGGATTAGGATGTATCAACGTGGAGGAGAAGGGTTTCTACACTGGTAGGAGGAATGAATCTGGGTAAAATAATTGCTTTTAATGACCGCTAGGAGTTTAGAAACATCCTACGGCACAGCAAAGAGTTTCCTTGCTGAACTGCAGATGGTGTTTATTGCCAGATGATGTGCAGAAAAGTGCCAGATGATTAGGCTCTTTCTAGGGGATGTCAGAATCTTCCATAACCCATGCAAATAATTGGCTTTCTAACACCCCCAGACTGTAACACAAGGGAGGTAGGAAAACTTCTAAGAAGGTAGTTATCATGGCATGAGTAAAAATTTCTGTTTGCCACACCATGGCTAGCAGCGGGGAGTGGGTGGTTGAACAAGAACTCCTCCAAGACTCTGGCTGGCTGGGAGCCAGGATTCTTCAACTGGAAATGAACAGGGAAGGAGGGGAAAAGAACAAAAATCTGCTGAGGGATAATAAAAATTTTAATGATTCTTCAAATGTTGCATTGTCTTGTAAACGTAGTTGTAAATTTAACTTTAAAATGACTTTTACTCAATTGGGTCAGAGACGTAAAAATGATTAAAAGAAAGGAATAGGTCTCAGATTAGCAATAATATTTGTACAAAAAGGTTTTCAGTGTTCAGAGTAATTGACGGACTGGTTTTGGGTGATGGTTTTAATTACTGGGAGCTTATATATAATTATACAATTTATAATATATAATATATAATTTATAAAATTATATAATTTTCAATGAGCAACCACTCTAAACATAAGGATGAGAGCTCAGGTATCAGCTGTGGAGTTTTTCTTAAGAATACAAGTAAATTGAGTGTGACCTGACCTTAGTCTGTTATTGTAACCAGAGTTACTATTCTTTGCTCTAGTCTAGAAATATCTCCAAGTAGGAGATATGTGTAGGGAAGGTAGATGATCTTTGTGCCTTCACTCTAATGGTCTTGGAGTAGGAATGTAGATCATGGTTTGATGGAGGGATATTGGTGATGGGTGGGGCTTTCTTATCCATGGCAAGGAAAATGCTGGTGAAAGGCTTCATGTGTGGCATGATTAGTTGATATAACCCAATAAGATTAGTTTATATAGGCAGGGTGTGGTGGCTCACCCCTATATCGCCTGTAATCCCAGCACTTTGGGAGGCCGATGCAGGTGGATCACCTGAGGTCAGGAGTTTGATACCAGCCTGGCCAACATGGTGAAACCCTGTCTCTACTAAAAATACAAAAATTAGCCAGGCATGGTGGCATACGCTTGTAATCCCAGCCACTCAGGAGGCTGAGGCAGGAGAATCACTTGAACCTGGCAGGTGGAGGTTGCAGTGAGCCAAGATTGCACCACTGCACTCCAGCCTGGGCCACAGAGCAAGACTCCGTCTCAAAAACCAAAACAAAACAAAAAAGATTAGCATATGAACTAATTCATACAAGATGCCCTTCACTTTGAAAATGCCAGCTACCTAGATGACTAGGATGTTTGAAGGGAGTTAGATACAGGCTTAGACATATCTTAGGGACTACAGAACTACACAGATGACAAAGGAGCCCAGAATTCTTGAACTGAAACAGATGAGTTAGAGAGAAAAACAGTTTTTTTCCCCTTTAAAGGCTAGACTAGTGTATAAAAGTTATAAAAGCAGACTTGGGCACCTTTCTAGGTGATTCACAACTGAACCATCTTCTTCAAAAAACAGTAGCCCCTTATCCTTGAACATGTTCCAGGACTCTTGAAGTGGTGATTCCTTCCTTGGGCAGGAGGTTGACAGATGGCTTCTGAGGTTCCTTTCTATCTGAAATTGTGTGGTTCTCATTAAAAAGTTTTTCCTTATATTCAAAATGTATTTCACATAGTAATATGGCCTAATAACAAAGATTTTCTTCCTCTTCTAATTTGAAACTGACAATAAAACTTGTAAACAATGTGAAAGGTAATAAAATTCTACATGTTCCAACTGATGTCAGATGCTCATCTCTTAAAGACCAGAACCTCAGAGGCATTCCAGGAGAGTCCACTTGGTTTACTCACTTCTCTTGATTATGTATGAGGACTAAACTCTGGCCTTTTTTTTCTTATTTTGCCCAAATCCTACCTAAGGAACCTAGGGAGTCATGCCCTGCAAACCATAAAGTCTCATCAGAGGGGTTTTATTTAACCCTGTGTAACGTGGCCTGCTTTCCAACTTGACTCTGGCATAACATCACATAACAAATAAGGAAGGAAATCAAAATGTTTTTACCCCAAATATATTTCCTTGTCATATCTTGAAACTGCCCTGCAAAGTCACCTCTTCTGGGAAAAATCGACATTCTGTAGAGAATCCCCTTCCCCTCCTTTTTTTTTCTTTGCAGATCCAGGAGATAATCAACTAAGAGTCAGGCACCCTTTTAAGTCCAATAAGAAATATTTTATAACCTATTCTCTCTGAAGTCTGCTGTCTGAAGGTTTCCTCTGCACAATAAAACTTGGTCTCCATACCCCTTTATCTTAACCCAAACATTTCCTTTCTGTTGATCCCAGGTCTTTAGATAAACTTAACCCATTGTCAACCAGAAAAAATTTAAATTTACCTATATCCTGGAAGCTCCCCACTTTGAGTTGTCCTGCCTTTCCAAACCAATGTACATCTTAAATGTATTTGTTTGATGTCTCATGTCTCCCCAAAATGTATAAAACCAGGCTGTGCCGTAACCACCTCAGGCACATGTTCTCAGGTCCTCCGGAGGGCTGTGTCACAGGCCATGGTCACTCACGTTTGGCTCAAAATAAATCTCTTCAAATATTTTATAGAGTTTGACTCTTTTCATTGACATGTATAATGAGACTTTTTTTTAAAGATTATTATTAAGATAACAAATGTTCCTTGAGTGAGAAAGAGCAAACTATTTAGATATTTATGGGGTAAAGTAAATCTCGATTTATTGCCCATAGGTAGACCATATTAATAGGTTTTTTGTTTTTGTTTTTTACTTTTTAATTATTTTGGGATACTCTTAACTTTAGATGATGTTGTTAGAAAGATTTTTTAAAAATTTAGATTTCATAAAATAATCTTAGTTGAAAACAGCTAAATCACACTATGCTTTTTAAATTGTTAATTCAAGCATAAATTGTAAGTGCATCTGTGCTCAACCATGCATAACTTGAACTAGTATCCATTAATATCTAAGAAGCTGATTTGAAACTCTGAGTATATGAGAGGGAATTGTCAGCTATGAGCCTCACTATAAAGCAGTGATTTTCAACCAGGAGTGATTTTGCTCCTTATAGGACATTTGGCAATATTTAGAGACATTTCTGTTTGTCATGACTGGAGAGGTCGTGGCATCTAATGAGTAGAGGCCACAGGTACTACTACTAGACATTCTACAATGCACAGGACAGCTCTCCACAACAAAGAATTTTCTGGTCCCAAATGTCGAAAGTGCCAAGATTGAGAAATCCTGCTATATAGGTTGATATGGGCTGTTTATTGATGGAACATCCTTCCACCAATATCTTTAGATATTTCCTTTAGATTTGATGAGATTCCCACCTGCTGATTGCACTCTGGGAATTGAATGGAGGAAGAAGACAGGATTTAAACATTTAATAAGCATATGTTGACCTAATTTCCCAGTTTAGGGTAAGGTGTCCCTGCCTTCAACATTGGTATCCTTTAATCTAGAGACCCTCTATTTTATTCTCTGCATAGAGAGGCAGACTCCCAAGAGAGGGAATCTGGGGTTTTAGCTGGTTCTTAAATTGGCTTCCAGGTGATTATCTTAGGTTTAGGCCCACTTTCACCCTTCTTCCAGGGGAACAAGATGTCATCAGTTTTTGGGCATTTGGGGGCTCTACCTATAAATTTGATTGACTCTCAGTTTCCCCACTGCCAGTTTAGGATTTAGCTTTCTTAGATCTGCTAAATCAATTATTTCTTGCCCATTTATTTTCTGGTTTCCAAAATCCTCTTGTTGTTACCATCTCTCTTACTCTTTTTTTTTTTTTTAATTCTTTAGTGATATTTTTATGGGTTTTGGGAGGGAGCAGAGGCTAATGAGAACATTTGATCTTCTGTCTTTACCAGAAGTAGAAAATTAGTTTTTCTTCTCTAATATGTTTTCCGTAATGATAGCTGCTTCATTTACAAGCTAATACCAGGAAATGGCTTTAAAAAAAACACATTGGTAAGTAGAATGGATTTGTCAGGATCTTGGTTTTTGTGAGGCAGAGTCCAGATTGAATGCTACCTCAAAAGTTCCTTTATTACATAAAACAAGCAAACAAAAAAACATTTTCCAGTAGTTACTTTCAGCTTTTCTGGATTTTCTTTTCTCTTTAACTATTTCACACCCTCTTATTTAGTAGGTAGCATACAATTGTCTACCAGCTGATTTATATAAAGACTTTATTGAATTTTTATTTCTTCACTAATTGAATCATTCATGCATTCAGTGTCTCACTCACTCCTTGACACATTTACATATTCAGTACAAGCATATCACATGCCTGCTATGCAGAAGAGTCTGAGTGAGACACCATGTAGGATGCAAAATTGTGTCACACAATCCTTGCTTTTAAGGAGTTATAATCTTTTTTGTATCTTTTGGAAATAAATTACATGACATGTTTCCATGATAATTGGACATACGTCATAATTTTGGTACATAATATTGACACAATACTTACTACTCTCCCCTTTTGTAGCATTAACTTTGAAGAGCATCTTTTGGCAAGGCTATGTATACAAAAATAATGCAGGCATTATGCATTCTATGAAGGGACTCTATTTTATCAGATGCCATAGCCAAAAGAAATTTACTGTTCACTTTCGTTATGGCTCTGTTGAGTTCTTAGGAAGTGAAGCTACAAGTTCATTGCTGTGTACTTCAAAGGAGCTTCTAATAGTTACACTCTTCAAGTCTCCAGGAAATGATTCCCCTAAAACAAATCAGCATATGCAATGTGCCCATATGCATAGTAGATCAATAACACACACCACGGATGATGTTATCAGCAACCTGCCTTGGTCTAGACCTATATTTCTTAACAAATACAAATGCCTTTGGTTAAAGAAAAAAGATGGTATGGTGGGCTGAGAGTAGGTATAGACATTGCACTTTTTTCTCAATCTTGAAATTGGGGATTTTCACTGTAAACAAGATAATCAATCTCACCATGTGCCATTTTATATACAGTGTCTTCTAGATTTCTACTCTAGAGGCTATCCAGAGGTCCTTAAGAGTGGAGATACTGTTTTAAAAATGCCTTTCTTTTTAACAGTATGTTATCTTTATCACCAAAAGATGTTATGTAAGAATAGCATCAGAAAGGTCAGGGATGGTCTTAGGGACAAAAAGAAAGTATTTATTGAAATTTTTTTTTTTTTTTTTTTTTTTTTAGATGGGGTCTTGCTTTGTTGCCCAGGCTGGAGTTCAGTGGTGGGATCATGATTCACTGCAGCCTTGACCTCTCAAGATCCAAGTGATCCTCCCACCTCAGCCTCCTGAGTAGCTGGGACCACAAGCATGTGCCACCACACCTGGCTATTTTTTAAAATTGTTTGTAGCAATGGGTCTCATTCTGTTGCCCAGGCTGCTCTCAAACTCCTGGGCTCAAGTGATCTCCTGCCTTTGTCTTCCAAAGCGCTGGGGTTATAGGCACGAGCCACTGTGCCTTGCCAAAAACCATTCTTAAATCCTTGTGATATACAGCCATAGAAGGAGGAACCTCACAGTTACTGAATCACAAATTTCTCCCTTGCTTCCTGGGCCAATTCCTCCCCAAAACCTAACTCAAAATAAAGTGCCCTGCCATTGTGATTTCTGCTAAATTCTCCATAGCTCTTAGCATAATGTCTTGAGGACAGAAGGAGCTCTTTGAGCATTTCTTCATTGATTGATGGATGAATCCAAGTTGCAAGAAACATCATTGGATGTCTCTGTCTCTATGGAGCATATCCTCCTTGTCACAGTTTGAAGTTTGCCTTTATTAATTTTATCACAGGCAGGAGGGAGGATGAGCCCAAAGCAGAGACAGACTTAAATTGTCAGGCTTCTGTACAGGATCAAAGGTAAAAGCTATACACTGAGTACAAAAGAGTCCAGTGTCAGAAGGTAGTCAGGAATTTGGCTAGCCAGAATCTAGAATGCCAGAAATAGAATCCCAGCCTGAAACTTAGAGAATGTTGAAAGGGACATAAGCTTATTAAAAACAGAATGGGAGATTGAGTTGAAATTAGATGGTAAATAAAATGAGAAACCAGCACAACCTTCAGTATTTTCTCCTTTACATACTGGTAGCTTGAGGTCGAGTAAGCCTGGCCATGAAGTGGGGACTGCTGAGGTCAAAGGTTTCAGAGACAGTATAAGAAAGGCCTCTTGCTTTTGATTTCATAAGGTCTAGAATCACACTGTATTTGAATACAATGAATACTTGAAGTTTTTTAGAGCAGTGTTCCCCAAAGTGTATACCAGGGAGTGCTGGTTCTGTTAATAAAGAAATGTATGTTTGGAAAAGACTGAATTACAGAAAAATGACAAGTTTCTGAAGACTCCTTGGAACTAATGTGAGCTGCATATCTCTCTTAAGGGCTGTGTAAGCAGGATTTCCTGGATGTATCAACCTCCAAACATTTTCTTAAAGTACTTTGCAGAACCGGTATTACATGACCCATGTTTCAGGAAATGATGCTCTGAATATTATTTATATTTATGTCAGAATTGTGTTAGGATATACTGTTCCCGCTGGTCATCGGAGCTCACCTTATGAAATTTTACAGCTGAATGAATTGGTCTTTTTGTTTGCATTTGAATGGGAAACAGCTGACTTGAAGTAGCTCTACTCGAATGGGTATTTTCATTTTGAACATATATGTATATAATTAACATTTTTTTGTCCTTATGTAGGCAGTGTTTATTAAGATGACACAAAGCATTGAGGAAAAATTTGAAGCCCTTTCACTTTATAGCCAAGTTTAAAAGAGAATGATCAAACCTAAACTTTTGGGCAATTCAGCCTCTATTTAGCTTTGCCCTAGCCACTGAATGACCTTGAATAACTCACCAGGCTAATGCACTCACTGAATTTAGCTTGCCTTTGTTCCAATAACTAAATTTGGATGCCTGTTTCGCTTTAAGCACAAGTAATTACATTATGTATTTTTAACCCACCAATTAGTTTTGCATAGAGCTAATGGATCTGATTATAACCTAAGAAAGAGATTTTGGCTATTTTTCTCCTTAAATATTTCATGGACAGAGACATAACTGGCAATACTGATGGAAAAGAAGTAGAAGACAAGAAGAGTGGGCTAAATCAGCACGATTTACAAATTCTTTGGGAGATATTGCATTACACTGGTACATAAGTCTCTCTTTAAGCCAATGGATGATGTCATCCTACAGTGCTATTGTAAGCAGTCACACGTGTGTCTTAAGGTTTGTATATGTGTGCCTACACCAGTGCCTTAACTGAGCAGATACTCAATCAGTATTTGGGAATTATCTTTGTTATCTTAAGACTTTCATTACTTTTATTTTTAGGTTGTATCCGGAATTGTTTTTTAATTAAAATTAATTCATGTATTAACTTGAGACTTTAAGTTAACTTAGTTTATATGTTTTAGATCTACAGATACTTTTATCTATCCATACTTACATTGCTAACAACATTTCTTTTCTATTTCTCAGTGCTTTTCTCTTCTACTTTTAAAAAATTGTGGTAAAATGCATATAACATAAAATTTATTACCTTAGCCATGTTGAAGTGTACAGTTCAAAGGTATTAACTACATTCATCGTATCGTGCAGCCATCACCACCATTTATCTTCATGGCTTGTTTCATCTTATAAAACTGAAAGTCTATACCATTAAACAATAACTCCCCATTTCATTCTTCCCTTAGCCCCTGGAAACCACAATTTTACTGTCTGTCTCTATGATTTAGACTACTCTAAGTACCTCATATCAGTGGAATCATATAGTATTTATCTTTTTGTGACCATCTTATTTAATTTAGCATAATGTCCTCAAGGTTCATCCATGTTATAGACTATATCAGATTTTCCTTCCTTTTTAAGGCTGAATAATATTCTGTCGTATGTATATACCAGATTTTGCTTATCTGTTTTGCCATTCATCTGTTGATGGATACTTGGGTTGCTTTCATTTTTTTAGCTATTGTGAATAATGCTGCTTATGAAGATGGGGGTACAAATATCTCTTTAAGACCCTGCTTTCAATCAATTTGGGCATATACCCAAAGGGGAATTGCTAGCCCATATGGTAATTGTATTTTTAATTGTTTGAGGAACTGCCATACTGTTTTCTAAAGTAGCTGTACCATTTTACATTCCCACCAACAATGCACAAAGGTTCCAATTTCTCCACATTCTTATCAACACTAATTATTTTCTGTTTGTGTGTTTTTGATAGTACCCATACCAGTCAGTATGAGGCAATACCTTGTAGTTTTGATTTTCATTCTTCCCTAATAAGTGATGTTGAGCATCTTTTTATGTGCTTATTGGGCATTTGTACATCTTCTTTGAAGAAATGTTTATTTGCCCATTTTTGAATTGGGCCTTTTGTTGTTATTGAGTGTTGGGAGTTTTTGATATATTCTTGATATTCATCCCTTATCAGATATATGCAAATATTCTTTCCCATTCTACAGGCTGTCTTTTTATTTTGTTGATATGGTCTTTTGATGCACAAAATTTTAAAACTTTCATAAAGTCCAATTTGTCTATTTATTCTTTTTCCTTTTTTGAGATGGAATCTCTTTTCTGTCGCCCAGGCTGGAGTGCAGTGATGCAATCTTGGCTCACTGCAACCTCTGCCTCCCGGGTTCAAGTGATTCTCCTGCCTCAGCCTCTCGAGTAGCTGAGATTACAGGTGCCCACCACCATGCCTGGCTAATTTTTGTATTTTTAGTAGAGATGGGGTTTCACCATGTTGGCCAGGCTGGACTCCAACTCCTGACCTCAAATGATCTGCCCGCCTCAGTCTCACAAAGTGTATTTTTTCTTGATTACTTCTTTCTGTTTTGTTTTAAGACAGAGTCTTGCTGTCACCCAGGCTGGTGTTCTGGACTGTGGTGTGATCTTGGCTCACTGCAACTTCCGCCTCCTGGGTTCAACCGACTCTCATGCCTCAGCATCTCGAGTAACTGGGATTAAAGGCATGTGCCACTGCAACCAGATAATTTTTTGTATTTTTAGTAGAGGTGGAGTTTGACTGTGTTTGCTAGGCTGGTCTCGAGCTCCTGTTTTCAAATGATCTGCCCGCCTCACCTCCCAAAGTGCTGGGATTACCTTGATTACTTTTTGAATAATAAAAAACGATATTATTTAGTTCAAGTGACTGCTTCACAGTCTGAATCCAAGATGCTATTTTTAAAAGTTCTGTCCTCATAAAGAGAAATATTCTAAATCTTGTAGTAACCTTGCCTGAACACAGAGATCCTGTTATAAGCCTTGTTATATTTAAATATATATAAATCTTGTCATATTTTAACAGGGTTAAATATAAATCTTGTTATGCGATCCCTATGAAACGATAGGCAGATACTTTAAAAAAATATACATATAGACTGAGAATCTCAGTTTAAAAGTACAGAGACTTCTTTGGGTTCAAGATCAGTTTTTCTCCACGTATTTCTCTGTAAAATTCAGTTGAGGAGTAAATACACAAGGAAGCTGCCAGTTCTTTCTTTCCTGGACTTGAAATTTCTGGAGGGTGGAGGGACAAAAAATGTTGACTTGCTTGTTAGCCAGAGCTCAGCAAGGGAGTACTAAACAAAGTGAGAGGCTCAATAAATACCTTTTATTCTGCTTAACTGTAGTGTAAAAACTGTCAGGCCGATATACTCCTCTGCCTTCTTATAAATCTAAGTTTTTCTTTAAAATTTTTATGTTATTTTGCACATTTGACACAGAGAAAAGTCATATTCTTCAGGCTTTTTTTTGTATTTTAAAAAATTAAAAGAATAAATAAAACTCTTACCTTATAGACTCCAGTTTAATTGAATGCAATCCCAACTGCTCTTATTTAAAACTGGTCAGCTGAATGTTAATGAAATATTCTAGATTATTCATTTTCAGGCATGTGAAGTATCATTTCTTGTTTAGGAAACTCAGTCAGAGGACCTCGAGTATCCAAATCAGTGTCTGAATCATACGGAACTATTAACAATGATAAGATTAGGCCAAAGAGCACAATGAATAGAGTTATGACAAGCAGAATTTGTCTGAGATTCATTTGCGTTTGGCTGCAAATGACTAAGTAAGACCAACAGTAGCAATGTCATGAGATGATTGTGAAGCATTAACTGGAAAATTATAAATAGATGATTTCTAGAGGCTATTGAAAAGGACCAGTTGTTTCTGAGTGTCATGTCAATTATGAGAAACTATTGCTAACAAAGAGAAAGAATGAAAAATTAAAAAGCATAGGGGACAATTACCTTCCAAACGTCTGAATCACTCTTGGATGGCAGCCAGCTGCTCAAGTGCTGGGATGTTAAAGTTTTATCCAAGAGGGCAAAGGAGGGCAAAAAGTGAAAGGCTCAGAAATCATGACCCTGCTTAGAAACTGCTGCTTCCTTCCTAACACATCACAGCTAGACTTTGGTTAGTGGTAAGTAATAAAAGCAAATGGCTGATGGGTCTTTGCTTTATCTTAGGCCTTAGCACTCTCATGGCAGAGGGGAGAGAATATGGGTTGACCTATTATAATGTTCAGCATTCCGTCCCTTATATTCCTGTGACTTAGAGACACACCTAAATTTTAAAAAAAATCTTGTTTCTGTCTTTGCTGGATGGAAGAGTTGGCAAAGTATCTGGTAATATTTAATCTATAACTAATTTTCTAGGGTTGATGAAGGACCTACTGGATTCTTTTTAGAGGCATTTCAGTCATTAGCTCTTACTCAGCGGTTCTCATTGTTGCTATTTATTTCATTGAGCAAGATAATAAATAATTATTTAAAAAGAGACAAATTGATTGAAGGTGAATTTGTATTGAGCTGGTTTGTGTCCCATGCTTTTATTATCTACCAGCTTAAACAGAACAAAAATATTTATAAGCTCGTACTGTCTAGTTTCCACTAGAAAATACGCATTTTATGTAACAAATTATTTATCTATGATATGTAACTTAAATTACTTGTTCTAGGGATTATTTTTCAAAATACCAATTCATCTTGAAGCAATTCATACTTTATCAAGCATTCACCTTCAATTTAGGTGGCTAATTAAGCTGAAATGCTTGACTGTAATGAAATTGATGCATTTTAAGCAAAACCATTAGAAAATATTTGAAATAATAGGTTCTACCTTGCTGAAATTGTTTCTTTGAAAAGCCGACATAGTAGAAGACCTTTATTATTCTTTCTGTAATAAAGAATATTCAGAGGGAGGATCTCTGATCACATCAAATCTCTGGATATTAACAGCCCTTGCTATCTCTTGTTAGTATTTTAAAATCTGACATCAGAGTCTTCTAAGGCAAACTCTTTTTACATGTCTGGGAGTCTATAGTGAGTAGGAAATAATAGTGAATAGGAATAATGCTTTTGAAAATCGTGCTCTTTATGAAAGTTCATCACCCATGAAATGTCTTCTGTTTATGAAAGAACAGCAGTGTGAGTAGTTATTTGATGTGTTCTCATGTTGCAGTATGAACAGCAAAAACAAATGTAATATTAGCTGACAGATGTGGCTTAACGTATTATTTGATATCTCAGCCTGATTCAATTGTCTTAAAAAATAAAAGTTATTCACTCCACAATATATCTACTCATGGGGCAGATACTGAAATAACCTTACTTTCAACTTGATCACTTAATCACCTGTGGTTTTCATCCTGAGATCAGGCTTATTTCACAGGAAGCAGTTCTTTCTTGAAGGGATTGAATGAAGCAAATGCAACCTCATTATTGATTTGAGTCACAGTGAGCATTTTGTATTAAAAAAAAATACAATGTTTTAGGAGTGGATAGACACAATTTTGAAATTTTAGCATTTTAAATTTAATATCAACCAAGTTGTACCCCACCCAGTCTTATGACATTCTCTACAAAAACAAAAACAAAAACAAAAACAAAAGAAAAAAAACAAAAAATAATGATTTTCATAGTAAAGTAGATTTTGGAACTAATGCACTCTATCTCCTTATCCTCCATTTGGAAATGCTCAATGTACCTGAGAGTGTTAAAACCCTGTCCTGTAATAAAGAAGTTCTTTCATTTTTTAATCTAGGTATTTTTTAAGCTTTATGTTTGCATACAAATAGTTAAATCATATAATTCTGAGGTTTCTTAACATACACAACAGTCTCCAGCCTCTCTTCTTTTCCATTTCCCATTCTCCAGAGGCAACACTTTTCATCTTTTAGCTGATACTTTTGGTAACTACCTCTATCTTGAAACAATAGGATGGTATGGCTACTCCCTGAGTATTTTTTTTCCTTAGCTTTATCTATTTACCTCTCACTGTAAAAGATGAGAATTTATGTAGCTCATTCCCCTACCCTGTCTCTCTCTTTCTCTCACTTTCTCATAGGTATGCACTTGCACATGCACACAATTCCCATCCCTCCTTTCTTCCTATAAAACTATGTCATGATTTTGGGTTATTGCAGCATTTAGTGTTTAAATTATTAACACTATTTAAGTGCAGTTGGTAGCTATATCACAAAGAGGAATATGATTTTTGTTCTATTTTTCCAACAACTTTTGGTTTCTCTCTGGAATTTATAATTATTATTGTGTGCTTAGTTTTCTATGTGTTTATCTCCAGTTCAACCCCCAATTCTCTACTAGTTGGGTAAATCTCTTCTGAGTATGTTCATTTACATCAGATTTTCTCTCAACATCATCTGTTTGAAGCAGTCTTGACAGGAGCCTTCTGACCTGTTGTAGTCTGGACTGGAAGCCCTTCTTGCCTAGTATACCGCCGCCCTTTTGGGATTTCCCTTCCTCTTCACTCTGGGGAGGTGGGCCTCCTGTTGCTTCATCCTGTGCCTACTTCTTTCTTGCTTTACTCCTTTGTTTTGGCAGAGCATAGCCTCTGGTATCTTTTAAGAAAAGTGTGCAGGAGATTGATTTGTGTGTGTGTGTGTGTGTGTGTGTGTTTGTGTGTCTGAAAATACCTTTATTCTACCCTCTCATTGATTATTAGTCTATATTATTCTTGGTATGAAATTCTAGGTTAGAATTATTTTTCTTTCTTATGTAAAACAAATTGTCTTCTGGCTTTTAATGTTGCTGTTGAGAAATCCAAATCAATCTGATTTATCATCCTTTGTATATGCCTCTACTTCCACCCCAAAGCTTACTTCCCTGCATCTTCTGAGGTTTCAAATAATGTGACTTTGGTGTGTGTCTATTTTTAGTGCACTAGGCAGGTCTTTTAAATTTGGCAACTCATGTCCTTCATTTTCTTGAAAGATTTCATTGACGATTCCTCCTTTCTCTTTCCTCTTGCCTTCAGGAACTCCTTTCCTCTAGAAGTTGGACCTCCTGCAATAGTCACTAATTATCTCTCCTAATTTATATCTATTTACCTTTTTACTTTACATTCTGTGAGATTTCCTCAACTTTATTTTTAGCTATTATATTGTGATTTTCATTTTTGCTATTATACATACTTTTATTTTCCCAGAGTCCTTTTTTTGTTCCGCAAATATTTCTTTTGAAATATAGCATCTTTTTCTTATTTTATGGATATAATATCTTATCTCTGATAATCTTTCTTTTTTACCGAAATCATATTTTCCATGGATGGTGTGTTTCCTCCAGGTTGAGATTTTTGTTGCTTGCTGTGACTCTGTTATACAAATTGGAGCTTTCCCTAAATCTCTGCTAATCCTTGACTGCCCGCTCATATTTAGGAGTAAAAGACTAGAAAGCTGATTGGATGCTCTGAATGTGTAGGTGGGCCTGTTGACTGAATGTCACTGTAGGGTAATCTGGATGTGCCAATTTCAGTATCTTGTCTTCTTGGACTGATCAGATCTCCTAGAGAGGGAACCTCTAGTCTCTCGACTGGAGGGTTAAGGAATTGCTCCCAGTGTATGAGGAGCCAAATCAGGGAAGAGGGCTGGGGATCTCAACATTCAGAATGTCTGCATTAATTGAATCCTCCTGTTTTCAGAATACTCCTCAACTATGCATGGCATCTGCCAGTCCAGAGACCCTGTGATTCATTCTTTCTAGGTAATAAACCTCCAGTCTTCTGTCTGAACTGGGGGTGGAAGCAACTACCCAGCAACACAGAGTAAGGAGAGACCTATAGTTCTAGCTGATTTTTAAACATTTTTAAAAATCAAGATTAATCTTCTTAACATATGATTGTCTCTTTATCTGGAGTTAGGCCAAGCTTGAGGTTAAGGGCACAGACCTCCAAGACTAACAGTTCTGCCCAAGATTTCTGATGCCAGTTGCAAATTTGGGGGTCCCCAGGGCCATCCTCACTTCAGACCAACTGGCTATAAAGTTGAGAGTTCACACAGACTCTCTCAGATTTGATAATACACTAGAACAACTCATAGAACTCAGGAAAGTGCTATTACTTATCATTACAGTTTTATTGTAGCAAAAGGATACAAATAAGAGCCAGCCACAGGAAGGAACATGTAGGGAAGAATCTGGGGCTGGGAGAAATCTTCCAGGCCCTCAGGGATGTATTACCCTTCTGTTGTTGATGTGTGACAATGCACATGGAATACCACCAATTTGGGAAGCTTGTCTAAGCTTCAATGTCCATAGTTTTTATTGGGGCTTCATTACATAGGCATGATTGATTGAATCACCACCCACATGGTTGCCCAAAGCCTCAACCCTTTGACCACATGGTTGGTCCTTCTGTCTGGCCAGCCCTCATTCTGAGTCACCTTATTAGCATACACTTATCAGGTATAGTCTAAGGGGCCCATCATAATTAACTCAGATATTCCTAACACTTGGGAAATGCCAGCTCCTGGGAGCTGGGGCAAAGGCCCAACTTTTCTTTAGATAAAGGTAATTCTTCCCTACACACCCCTCCATCTCTACTTCCAGAGGTACCTGGTTCCATCAATTTCAAAATACTTTAAGGATTCTGAAGTAAAAATCAGGTTGGTTCTTTGTTCTCTGTACTGCTGTCTTAAGATTTAGTTTTTGTGAGTTGGTTAAGTCATTTATCATTTATTCATCTAATTTCTGGCTTCCAAAATACTGTTTTTCTTCCTATTCTTGAGTGGTTATATTTAACAAAAAACTTTTTTCAGTAGTGTTAGTAGGGTTTCTGGAAGGAGAAAAATTAGGTCTGTGTATTCAGTTGGCCATCTTTAATCAGAAATTGCCCAGGCCTCTCCCAATTAATTTTTTGTGTGTTTGTTTTTTGAGATAGGGTCTCACTTTGTCACCCAGGCTGGAATACAGTGGTGAGATCACAGTTCACTGCAGCCTTGACCTCTTGGGATCAGATGATCCTCCCACCTCAGCCTCCCTGGTATCTGGGACTACGGGTACATGCCACCACGCCTGGCTAAGTTTTTGTATTTTTGTGTGTGTGTGTGGAGATGGGGTTTTATTATGTTTTCCAGGCTGGTCTTGAACTCCTGGGCTTAATTGATCCCCCACCTTCATCTCCTGAAGTGCTGGGATTACAGGCATGAGCCACCATGCCTAGCCATAACTTATTTTTATTAACAACTTTTTTGTAGAATACTTATTAACACCTGGTAAATGCTAAATTAGCAAATACTTCTATATTGCTGAATTGTAATACAGGTAACTAATTCAGACTTCAGAATCTTTCAAGATGACCCTTCTCTTAGGGCTGATTTTCTTCCTACTTTACATATTGAGGTCACAACATATAAATAGCTACTTATCGCTTGTTGACTGTGGGGAATGTGGGGCTAAAGAGGGATCTTTTATCTTCAATCTTGCCTATTTTTACAACGTTTTAACTAATATTTATATATTACTCTTTAATTAATTTAGAAATAATTTTAGAACAAGAAAAAAAGTAGAAACATTGCATGAAATGATCCTTAAAATTTTTCCACTTCAAATCTATAATGCTAAGATTGTGAGTAGGGTTAATGGATAACTAAAAATGGAGAATTCTTTTTATATTTAATGGAGTAGGTAGGACAGAGTGCAGAACTCTTTTAATCATTTTGATCCAAAAGTCAAACTTGTATTCATTCTCTTTCTCTATCTTTTCTTTCTGGGCTAGGAAGAGGTTTTTAAGGTTACACTTTGTGTTAATAAAGTCTTTGCTTGGAAAAGTGGATGTTGATCCTCTCATAATGCTGATTTCTTATTTCATTTTCTTGGTAAGTAAGAGTGCATGTATTGACTTTCCTGTACCATTCTAGGATACAACTGTAATTGAATTATTCTTTTTTGACAATCTTTTTAGAATTCTTGCTCCCTGAAAGATTTATTCCAAACTCCATAACATGGCATTCTCATCCCTCTTATAATATGGCAGCAACTTACCTTGTAGCTTAATCTGTTTCTTGGCCCCATCAAGCTTCCTGTTCCCTTCAACACTCAATTATCTGCTGATTCTCCCAGCTTCTTGGTGTTGACGTATCTTTATCCATGCAGTTTCCCCAGCCTAGAATTCCTTCACCTCCCTTCCATCTCTGCTTATTTAAATAAGACCCTTTTTCTCTTTAAAAAAAAATTTGTTTTGTTTATTTTTAACTTTTATTTTAAGTTCAGGGGTACAAGTGCAGGTCTGTTATATAGGAAAATTTGTGTCATTGGGGTTTGTTGTACAGATTATTTCATCACCCATGTATTAAGCCTAGTATCCATTAGTTATTTTTCCTGATACTCTCCCTCCCCCTACTCTCTACCCTCTGAAAGGCCCCAGTGTATATTGTTCATCTCAGTGTGTCCATGTGTCCTCATCATTTAGCTCCCACTTATAAGTGAGAACATGCAGTATTTGGTTTTCTGTTCATGTGTTAATTTGTTAAGGATAATGACCTCCAGCTCCATCCACGTCCCTGCAAAGGACATGATCTTATTCTTTTCTATGGCTGCATAGTACTCCATGGTATATATGTACCTCATTTTCTTTATCCAGTCTATCATTGATGGGCATTTAGGTTGATTCCATGTCTTTGCTATTGTGAATAGTGCTGCAATGAACATATGCATGTATGTGTCTTTATAATAGAATGAATTATATTCTTTTGGGTATAGGATTGCTGGGTCAAATAGTATTTCTGTCATTAGGTCTTTGAGGAATCACCACATTGACTTCCTCTATGGCTGAAGTAATTTACACTCCCACCAACAGTGTATAAGTGTTCCTTTTTCTCCACAACCTCACCAGCATCTGTTATTTTTTTTGACGTTTTAATAATAGCCATTCTGACTGGTGTCAGATGGTGTCTCATTTTGTTTTTGATTTGCATTTCTCTAATGATCAGTGATGTTGAGCTTTTTTTCATATGATTGTTGGCCACATGTATACCTTCTTTTGAAAAGTGTCTGTTCATTGGCTGGATGCGGTGGCTTGTGCCTATAATTCCAGCACTTTGGGAAGTCAAGGTGGGCCAATAGCTAGGAGTTTGAGACCAGCCTGGGCAACATGGTGACACCCTGTCTCTCCAAAAATCACAAAAATTAGACAGGTGTGGTGGTGTGTGCCTGTGGTCATAGCTACTTGAGAGGCTGAGGTGGGAGGATCATGTGAACCCAGGAGGAAGAGGTGCAGTGAGCTGAGATTGTGCCACTGCATCCCAGCCAGGGCAACAGAGGAAAGAAAGAAAGAGAGAAAGAGAAAGGAGGGAAGGAGGGAAGGAAGGAAGGAGAGGAATGAAGGAGAGGAAGGAAGGAAGGAAGGAAGCTGTTCATATCCTTTGCTCATTTTTAATGGGGTTGTTTTTCTCTTGTAAGTTTGTTTAAGTTTCTTATAGATGCTGGATAGTAGACCTTTGTTAGATGCATAGTTTGCAAAAATTTTCTCCCATTCAGTAGGCTGTCCATTTACTCTGTTAATAGTTTCTTTTGCTGTGCAGATGTTGTTCAGTTTAATTGGATCCCATTTGTCAATTTTTGCTATTGTTGCAATTGCTTTTGGTGTCTTCATCATGAAATCTTTGCCCATGCCTATGTCCTGAATAGTATTGCCTAGGTTGTCTCCAGGGTTTTTATAGTTTTAGGTTTTACATTTAAGTCTTTAATTCATCTTGAGTTAATTTTTGAATATGGTGTTAGGAAGGGTCCAGTTTTGATCTTCTGCATATGGCTAGCCAGTTATCCCAGCACCATTTATTAAGTAGGGAATCCCAGACCCATTTTTATAAGCCATCTGAAATGTTACCTTCTCTAGTAAAGGTTCGCACTTATCTTTCCTTTACTCAGGATTAATGACACCCCTGGGGCCTTACTGGGCTTTTGTTTGTTTGTTTTTGCCCTTCATGTATTTGAGCATAGCCTGTTGGTGCAGTAGGTGTGAGTATGTGTTTGGGTTAGGGAGAGAGGGGGAGAGGAGAGACAGAGGTGTGAGAAAGAGATTGTTTCTATAAAGTTATAATTTCCTTGAGGGTGAATATGAAGAGTCACATATACATAGAATACCTTTTATATAGTTGATTTTCAGTAATGTCCGTTGATTTAAATTCTAACCACTAAATGTCAGTTGATTTGAAATGAATCTTGTTTCATTTCCTTTACCTTAATAGCATTGACAAAGGCAACAACTGTACAAATTATATATTAAAGTTTTACAAATCCAGTCTCTGTCATGACAATTTCTTGAACAATAGAAAGGTGACTGCCTAATGCTTAAAGGTGATTTTTAGCAACTTGGGATGAGGGTGAGAAGTATGAATGCTCATTAGTGTTCACTGAGTCCAGGTCCACATATTGATGACCGTGGGTGCCACTGCGGCTGCCTGCCTGAAGCAGTCAAATGAATCTCTCTGTGACAGGAAATGACTGCTGTAGAGGAGGAAAGAAAATACAGGAGGCATGATGACTATCTGAGTCAATCTGGATATCCCTGCCATGGGAAGATCTGAATAATTGGGGAGAGGGGTAGGAGGAAGGTTTGAGGGGAGAAGATGATTGATTAAGTGTGTTATGGTTGACAGCAGACTGTGTTCTGGGCAAGGGAGTTAGCGGGTATTTGAGGAAAGACCCAGGAGATGGTGCGTGGTCTCTAAGTGATTAGCAGAATGTAATCACCCATCTGCCGAGGGGCACAGCTGTACAAAAGGAAATATTCAAGAGGGGAAAGGAGAGAGAGAAACACCAGTGATAACACCGAGATCTTTTAAATTATGGAAATCTGTTTGGGCTCCCCTATTGACGTGCTGTTTCCCCCCTGGGGCACTTGCAGTCCTTCTCCTCACTGACATCCACTTGTAGGCTGGCCTGTTATTGCAAGAGGATTAGAAAGTGAGATTAATCTGGGGCTACTGCAGTGATCTCACTAAACAGTGTTACTCTGCGTGAGTGCTGGAGGGCATTGGGGTGGGCAGGGAAAGAGAGCAAAGGAGGAGAAGGCATCAGGCAGCAATTATGGACATTTCCTTAGGAGCATCTTACAGAAGCCACTTTAACTTTTTCCCTAAGTACAGATTTAACTTAATACTTGGCAGCAACTCTTTGCCTCTTCTATTTAAGAGCTGAAAGCCATTTAAAGTTTCCCAGCTCTTGACCCAACAAAAGGCCTGGGAGGTAGGCAGGCAGCAAGATTTAAAACTAAGTGACGAACTAGATCCTCATTCATCTGGCTAGGCAGTGGCATTTAATTAACCAATTTATTAAATTTGTTTTTGTGTTTTCTTTGCAAAGCCCAATCTGGTATCCTGGAATCATATACAGGGTACACCTCTGGAGTTTCTTTCTCCTTAATGCAATCAAATCATGAGAGCTAACCTTAGACAAAAATTGAAACAGGCCAGAGGATTTTTTTATTTCTAAATTCAGTGTCCATATGAATAGGTTCTATGAAGAGTGGTTATAAAAATGTAAGAGAAGAAATGAAGTGGGAGAAAAAGGAAACTTATGTGATGCTTAATATAATTTTTTCTACCTCTGTTCTGTAATAAGTGCTATGTAGCAAGCACATCTGTTAATTTGACTAGAATTATGCTTTAATCACTTGCTTATATTTTCAGGATAAGCAGGGCACAGAAAGACTGAGAATAAGAATTTAGGCTTAGAGTTGATTTACATGATGAAAAGACTGCCTCTCAAACTGTACTCATGATAATGCTCTTACATGGAAAGAACAGTTTCTTGCTGAGACAGAGCAGGAATCTATTTGGCTGAAGTTGGCTTTGTCAGCTAGTCATGTTAACACAGTACTATTAATTTATCCTGCTTTAAGATTGCTGGGGTTTTTGAGAGTAAAGTCTTGATTCTTCTGAACCATGACTGGAAGCGCTCTGTCCACCCAAAGACTCTTTTCCATAGTGATCCTTGTTTTGGCAACTGTCTCCTTTTTCTCGGTCCACTCATCACTGCTTGTTTGCAAAAGGTCTGCCTATGACTGCACAATCCTGGAGCTTATACATTAGCTTCCAAATAGGGACTGCATAGCAGCCCTCTCTGCACAAGAGATTTAGGCCACCAAGAGAGTATGAAGCTGGTACTCTATACTGGCACCAGTGTCCTGCCAGCATGGTGCAGCCCCGACACTGGCCTTCATATTGTTTGGCCACAAGAAGAGAAACACCGGGGAGAGGAGGAGCCAAATGATTAATCCTGAAGGGCCGTTAGGGAAAAAACCATTTACAGTGAGTACAATAGGCAAGATACCCGGCTTTTCTGTTCTTTTATTTAAGAGAGAAAATTGTAAAAGAAAGGAGAGAGAGGTGGGAAGCTTTGATGGCGATGTAGCTGAACTTTTTTGTCTCCTGATTTGGTCGAATGAACTTTTCTGATTTAAATGTGTTTGTTTATTCAAGTTGAATGCATTCTGCTAGCGTCAAGCTCCAACCCAAAACTTGTGGACATGAGATCGCAGAAACAGTCCTTGTTAGTAAGCCATCCATGGCATGTTTCTATAGGATGATAAATAGAATAAGGTGGAAAAACCCTTTTATAATTTAAAAAAAAGCCTTAAAATCATTACTGCTTTCAGCTATTGCACTTTAATTATTGCCTCTTCTTTGGATTTGTGTAAAGGAAGGGATTTGATGGATGTTATTTTTAACAGCAGCTGGGATAAAGGTGGTATTATCGCTAATGCTGGAAAGGTGGCCGCAGACAAGCATTTGATTAGGGGGAGGGAGATGAGAGGTCACTGGGTTCCAAAAAGCTGTCTGATCACTCCTTTCACACCGTCTTGGAGCCAGAGTTGTAACTCGGTAGGCACCTGTGTGCACTTGATCAAATTTTTTTATTTTCACCATCAGAACTTGTAGTCTAAGCTTTTAAAAAAATGTCTCTGTGACTAGAAAGGAATCTTATCTCAAGATGACTTGTAAACAAGAATTCAAATCTTATATTATTTACAGATATAGACTCATGCTCAATTTCCTGCTTTCTGTTTGCATTCAAATGGAGTAATTAGTTTGATGGGAAAGAAACTTGAATAGTCCTGATAAGAACAAGAAAAATATTCACAAAGACTGTTACTATACGTTTCTACAATTTGAAGCATTTTTAAAAAATTATAATTTATCTTTAAAATCAGATGTGATTTTGTTAAAATCAGAAAAAGAGTATGACCATCCATATATGCTACATTTAAATGTGAACTACTAAAAATTGAAAAATGTTTGTAGTAATTGCTTTTCATGAAAATGGGCAATTAATCCATTTTATGCTACTACCCAGGCTTGCTGTGCTTAATGACACATATACCATTCTTTTCCTAGTGGCAAAGGTATATGTGAAGGAAAGTAAATAGAAGTTGAAATGAAACTTGAGTAAAGCACGCTTTGTTTTATCTCTATGGGTTATAGAAATTCTCTTGTGTGTAGTCTGATCAGTTGAATGTGGAAACATAGCATCTAGTTAGAAGTTTTATAGTTACAGGAAAATTTTGCTTTGGCAGCTTGAATGTAAGATTTCTTTGTACTTGACTCATATAGGATGCACATCTTCTCCTCTCCAGCTATGCTTTTGTTTCATATTTTTATTTTATTCTGGTTTGTCTTCTACATATATAACCACATCTGTTTTGTCAGTCTTAAGTGGCAAACTTCTAGAGGGGAGAATCTCCCATGTTTGTTCCTCTGGGAAGAATTAACAACACAAAACGTGTAAATAATGACTTACAAAACGCTGTTTTCATGATAGTAATTTATTCCTTTTCATTAAGTAGGACACATCTATCAATAATACTTGTAGGCTTTGACAAAATGGAGAACCATCATTTAGTAGCTACACAGCTCTCAAGATAGGCAGGAAACTTCCAACAGCTTTGAAATCTCTGGATAAATAACCCTAGGCAATCACAGATTCTTAGGGCAAATGGGATCCTATTGACTATCTAGTTCCGTTTTGTCATTTTACAGATGAAGAAACTGAGGCCAAGAAATGTATGGAGGATTTTGCCCCAAATCATATAAAACTGCAGTGTGCTTAGTGCGTGGACTGATGGTATATATGGAAATGTTGCAGGTTGGGACATAAGCTAATTCTTTAGTGTGTTTTTTAGTTTACGGTAGGATGTGTATTCCCAAGAAGGCCCTGCCTTGACTTAGGAGTTTCAGAGAAAACACGGTGACTAAGCACTGTTTTTTCAGTTGTGCAGGGCTTTGGGGCAGGGTTTTGCGGTGAGTGTGTATGTGTCAGTGTAGCTTAAACAGTTCATTGTATGCTGCCCTGGCTCAGCATTCAGTTTTCTAGTTTCAGTGACTCTGGCTTCTTAGAAGAGGGAACCACTGTGACACCAGTGTCTTCATTTATAACCAGTTCTAAGTTCTTGACCTAGAAACCTTATTAACCTTTATGTATCAGATTCCTTCTATAGCATTGTGATTCTAAACTTACCCCCAGAGGGCAGTGGGTCGATTAATAATTTTTTTTAAATATTAAAAATTTGGGGCTGGGTGCGGTGGCTCATGCCTGTAATCCCAGCACTTTGGGAGGCCGAGGTGGGCGGATCACGAGGTCAGGAGATGGAGACCATCCTGGATAACACAGTGAAACCCTGTCTCTACTAAAAAAAGTACAATTAGCCAGGCATAGTGGCAGGCACCTGTAGACCCAGCTACCTGGGGGGTTGAGGCAGGAGAATGGCGTGAACCCGGGAGGCAGAGCTTGCAGTGAGCTGAGATGGCACCACTGCACTCCAGCCTGGGCAACAGAGTGAGACTCCATCTCAAAAAAAAAAAAATTGGAGAAATTGGAATCAGCCTGAGGCTGGGGTATGGTTTATGAAGAAGTGGTATGGTAGCTCACTCTTCCTGGAGTTTTATCCCTCTCAGTGAAATTTTGTTATCTTCTGATTGTTTTTTGTTTTAATAGCTGGGTCTAGTATTATTATTACTTGTAAAACTGAATGCAAGCATGGTTAAAAATATGGGGTATCTGCCTTATATTCATGGGAAAGAAAAAAAGTGTGGGGTATGGATTTCTGCCTTTTGCATTCAGGTGGCGAAGGCTGTTGAATTGAAGCCTGAAGCCATTCTCTAAGGCAGGTATCAAAGTGATAAACCTACTTTATAACATATATTTTGCTTTTTGCAAATAACTTTGTTTTAAAAATTTATCTGTAATTCTCTTTTTTATTTTTTATTTTTTGAGACGTAGTTTCACTCTTGTTGCCCAGGCTAGAGTGCAATGGTGCAATCTCGGCTCAGCTCACTGCAACCTCCCCCTCCCGGGTTCAAGCCATTCTTCTGTCTCAGCCTCCTGAGTAGCTGGGATTACAGGTGCCTGCCACTACACCCGGCTAATTTTTGGTATTTTTAGTAGAGACAGGGTTTCACCATGTTGGCTAGGCAGGCCTCGAACTCCTGACCTCAGGTGATCTGCCTGCCTCGGCCTCCCAAAGTGTTGGGATTACAGGCGTGAGCCACCACGTCTGGCCTTCTCCTCACCATTGAATTCAAAAGTTAGATGCCTGAGAAATTAGGGAAAAGGATTACACTGCAGTATTGGAAAGATTCTGAAAAAATATGTCATAGGAGTAACTTAGTCTTAAGGCTTTTGTCAACTCAACAAGTCTTTTTTATTTCCACTCCTCATTCCTGTATGGAAAGATACATGTTTCTAGTCAAATTGGAAGCATTTTAAAAAGTTTCCCCTCTATTTTGGTATGTAAAAATAATTTTGCTTTTCTTTTTTTTTGCTGAATATTTGTTACTGTACAAATATGAACCACTTTTTGACAATCACATTTAATTTCTGATCTTTAGGTCAGTCACCTTTCATCTTTGGGGAAATAACAATATAAACTAACTTGAATTTGTAGAACCCGAAAAAAAAGTATAAAAGAAAAATAAATTCATTGCCTTGAGTAGAAGAAGCTGCTCTTGAGACTAAAAATAGTGCTTATTTATTTTAAAGTATAAGAGCCTAAAAGTTGATATTTTATACTAGACTCGTTCCAGAAGAAAGATAAATTTAATAGCTGGATAATTAAACTAATTAAATTCATCTTAAAATGCCACCTTACTTTTTGATGAATTACACTTATGTTATTTTAACTTATTTGGTTAATATTTTACTGTTTATGTATTTCAGACCAATTTATTACCCCTAAAATTCCAGAAGCCTCTAAAAATTCCATATAACCAAATATTAATGTAATTTAGATTGAGAGTTAATTAGATCTATTCAGTACAATCCATGATTTATACTTTCTAGGAAAGTAAAGATTTGGGATTGTCACAGGTTATTATTTAACTAACAAATCATAGAAAGGAGCAACATCTCCTGAATTCAGCTCAGTGTTTTTTGTGATTAGAACATCTTCCCACGTAGCTGTCCCACGTATTGAATATGTTGATTTTATAGTCAAAATGATGTTTGAATATTTCTAGTAGAAAAGCCCAAAATAATCCTGGCTTGAACAAGATAGAAGTTTGGTTTTTTCTCACATAAAAGAAGTACAGAGCAGCAATCAGACCTGGTACGGTAGCTCCTCCGGTATCAAGTGGAACCCGTGTTTCTACCCTCATGCTCCACCGTCCTCTACCCGTCATACGCAAAGGCCTCTCTGGGTCTGAGTTGCCAGCTGCTCTAGCCATCAAGTCCACATTACAGCCTGGAAGAAGGGGAGGAAAGTAGAAGGGCATAAAGGGAGCCCCTCCTAATTGAGTCAGCTCCCTGTAAGCAGCTCTCCCAGAATTTCAACACAACAATTCCACTCATTGGCCAGAACATGGCCACACCTAGCTGCAAGGGAGATAGGGAATGTAGTTTTAAATTCTGTGCAGGAATATGAACAGCTAAAAACCAGGATTTTGTTACTAAGAAATAAGGGAAGAATAGATGGGGGCGGTGGGGGGAGAGTAGTCAATATCACAGTGGTTTTATGTTCATATTATTTCCTGGCTCTTGGGGCTACCATGTAGAAAATCAAAACACCTCTTTCTGTTTTTGTTATGAGCTATGGTTTCTTAATTTAGAAATCTGGCTTAATTTAGAAATCCTGTTTCTTCTGTGAAGTATCATTTCTTTATTTGGCAATCTTGACTGACTCTTGCTTTCTTCTTTCCTCTTGCCTTTCAGCTGTTTTGGAAAGAAGTGAGGTTTAGACTTCTCCATGTTAACCATGAGCGTGACACTTTCCCCCCTGAGGTCACAGGACCTGGATCCCATGGCTACTGATGCTTCACCCATGGCCATCAACATGACACCCACTGTGGAGCAGGGTGAGGGAGAAGAGGCAATGAAGGACATGGACTCTGACCAGCAGTATGAAAAGCCACCCCCACTACACACAGGGGCTGACTGGAAGATTGTCCTCCACTTACCTGAAATTGAGACCTGGCTCCGGATGACCTCAGAGAGGGTCCGAGACCTAACCTATTCAGTCCAGCAGGATTCGGACAGCAAGCATGTGGATGTACATCTAGTTCAACTAAAGGTAAGGCAAGGTCTGTGATCCTCTCAGGATAGAAGTTTTCAAAAGGCTGTGGCACCTAGAGACTGTGTTCTGTAATTTCCAGTGAGGAATTGTCCAGGAAGAAAAGCACAGTACCAGGTTTCAAACCATTATCTTTAGAGATAAACATGGAAATAATTAATTCTTCTCTGATTTTACTACATGTGCTGATTATCTAGAATACAACTGGCCTTTGGTGATAGTGCAGAGAAATGGGGAAAGGGAGGGGTATTTTTGTGCAGTGTTATCAAAATAAGTTACACAGAATAAAAGTATTTAAAAACTCTTACAAAGGGTTTAATAAAAGACTCTTATAGGTAAAATATCAAATGCAGCTGTGATTGTGAGTATTTGTATGTGACTGTTATCTTCAGTTGAAGCTGATGCTGCCTTTGTGGCAAACAATGAATTCTGACATAGTAGGGAAGGGCAATGTTCTTTTACAATGAGTTGTTTCATCCAGGCACAATGCTTCATGTAGAACAAAGGTGATTTTATGACAACTCATCTAAAGTTCAGACATTTAAAAAAAAAGTCTGTGGACTCAGAAGCCCTTTAAAAGCCTGACTGTTGGTGATAATGAAATGGAGTTGCTAGTAAAGAGTACTACTAATAGCGTTTTTGGCCTAGGGACTTCAAGATAAGGTGAACCTCGCCCTGCCATAGTCACTCCTCTCTCCCAGGTCCTTGAGGGAAATACACACTCAGGTCAGTGACCTGCAGAGCAAGACAGGTTTATAACCAATCAGGGCACTGGCCACAAACCCCATGGTAAATTTCTAGTCAATTAGAAGTAACACTAAGGAAACTTCCTTTACCTAAACTGGTTCATCCTAAATAATCTGAAATGAAAGGTCAAACATTCTTGGATCTTAACACTTAAATGGTTTACAGGATGCAGCCATCAGCCTGAGTGGGAAAGATGAGCACTTAAAATGAAGCATAGAGCCTAGAGCAGAGCAGGCTCAGCCTTCTCAGGCTGGTTCAGCAGATCCAGAGCCCAGCTGCCCCATTACAGAAAGTGTTCAAATGAGTGTGGTCGGGGGAGAGAACAAAAGAGCCAGAATCTTAAAGGTGACTGGGCTTCTCCCAGGTTGAGCAGGTCTAGTGTCTGATTTCTACAGGTTATTAGGGAAAAAAGTACAAAAAGGCAACAGAGAGATGGCTAGGAATTAGCTTCAACAGAATGCAAACCCCAGCCATCTTTCTGCTGTTGCAGCAGGGAGTGATTTGACTCAGTCTGTGAAACATGGTTTGTATAATCAGAATAGCAGGTCTCCAACTCCTTGAGGTTAAAGTGAAATAGAAATTTGGAGGCTCTGCTTTGCCCCCTTCCCTTCTCTGTCCCCTCCAAGGCTACCCTTACATGTAGCTCCCATAAGTAGATAGGGGGTTAGGTTTATAAGGAAAGTCAACTACTGCTTTCTGGAATCTTTCAGACTTACATAGAAAAGGTGGGGACAATAAAGGGAAATATCTTTAGAAGTCTCAGTAAAAAAAATGTGTTGTTAAGGGCTATTAAAAACATTAATGAGTCAATTAACTTTATTGAATTACATTAACAACTTGGAAGTGAAAATTTAAATTTTAGTTCCAAATAAGAATGTAAAGTTTTTGTACAATTAACATAGGGTTATATTTAGTGTTTGAGAAACCAACTCTAGGGTTGTATGTATTTTTCTCATTGGAACTGCCTATCACGTTCTTACCTTGGTCAAAAGGTATTTCACACCCACCTCCATCAGCTCCATCCCTTAGTGTGGTCTGTCTCCCCTGCTGAGAAAGGAGCCCCAGGAGGGCATGAAGTCAACACAGTAATTACATAGTAGTTACTCAGTCAATAACTATTAAGGGGATAAATATAAATTGTCCTATGTTCATTTTATCCTAGGATGTCTATCATGACTTTTCGGGGTACTAGTTTCATTAGGTTACTTAACCAATAGAGCCTTTCCACATTGAGTTCAAAGTCAAGGAGCTCTGGTTACTGCATGTGGCCTCAAAAAAGGTCTACACAAGTGTTTGGTTATATCGCTTAATCTACTTAGTTAAGTTTCTCTTTTATTCGTATAATATTTCTTTATTCCACCAAATAAGCACTGTCATGCATTTTTTCAAAAATATTTTAAATAAATATCACTTTTTCTGATTTCCACGTTGATCATAAGAATAAACGGGAACTTGGGCACAGAGTTTTATATGTGGAAACACAACAAAACAACCTTGTAGAAGCAGCTCTCAACTGAGGCCTTTGGCAAAGCAGATGGGCAGGCCCAGACTGGGGATGGCCAGCTGTGATGGGGCATCTTAACTTGGCTCCTACTACCTTGATAAGTTACCCAATTTATTAATTTACAGTGAAAAATAACCATCTCAAGGCTGGGAATGCCCATGGCTTTGAAGATCATCTAGGCACAGATAATTGCCTAATTTATATGTTCATCTCAGTGTTTTCCCAGGAGCCCCAGCTGCCTAACTTAATCTCCACTTGTGTCTCTAGTGGGCATCTCAAGCCCATCAAAGAGCTGTTAATCCTCTCCCAATCTTACCAGTTTCAGTAAACGTCACTACTCTGTTAAGCCAAAGCATGACTCTCCACTCCACATACATGTCTATCAACAAGTCCTGGGAATCCATCTCCAAAATATGCCCTAAAGTTACTCTCTTCTCTCCAACACTACTGCTGCCATCCTAGTCAAGCCACATCACTGCTTGCCTAGGCTACTTTTAGAACTTTCTAACTAATCTTGCTGCTTCTTTTACCTTTAGCCTTGCAGTTTATTCTCCACCCAGTAGCCAATGGGATCTTTTAAATACGTAAACAAGCATGGTGACTCAAGACTATGATCCTAGCACTTTGGGAGGCAGAGATGGGCAGATTGCTTGAGCCCAGGAGTTTGAGACCAGACTGGGCAGCATGGTGAAACCCTGTCTCTACTAAAAATACAAAAATTAGTAGGCATGGTGGTGTGCACCTGTAATCCCAGCTTCTCTGGAGGCTGAGATGAGAGAATCACCTGAGCCTGGGAAATTGAGGCTGCTGATGCTCCACTGCACTACATCCTGGGTGACAAAGTGAGACTCTGTCTCAAAAAACTAAAGTAATAAATATGTAAATGAGGTCATGTCACTTCCTTGCTTCCTATTGGACTTACAATAAAACTAAAGCTTTTTCCTGTGACTCTGCTCTTGGCTGTTCCTCTGATCCTGGCTCCTGTACTTTTCTCCTTGTTCATAAAGCTCCAGATTCACTGTAAGTTCCAAAGAAGCATTGGGTTTGTTCTTGTCTGACAGCTTTTCCTGTTCCTTCTGCGGAGAAGCTCTCTTTCCCCATTGTTACATGGCAGATTCTGGATCCTCACCAAGCTATCAGCCAGAGGGACAGTCATGTTTAATATCTGGAGATGCAAGCCTGGGAGAGGGTTGGGCAGGGATTGGCAGTGAGGAAGTAGGGTCTGTGCTGTGTTTGATGAGGGGCAAGCACAAAAAAAGAAGCTACTCATTACCTAACTTGTCTACACACTTCATACTCCCTTTCACACTGCTGGTTCTAAGTCTTTTCATCATGCTCTTCTCTACCATCATGTCAATACATAACTTTTTAAAAAACGTAGTTGGAAAATGCTTTTGAAAAATGCTTAGGGTAGGCTCTGTCTCAGCTCTTTAATTAAATGTCCTTTTTTCAAATAAGCCATTCCTGATCCCTCTTCTTAAAACCCCTGCCACCCAGCCATTATCTAGTCCATCACCTAGCTTTATTATTATTATTATCATTATTTGAGACAGGGTCTCACTCCGTCACCCAGACTGGAGTGCAGTGGCGCAATCTGGGCTCACTGCAACCTTTGACCCTCAGGCTCAAGAGATGCTCCTGCCTCAGCCTCCCAAGTAGCTGAGACTACAAGTGCATGCCACTATGCCCAGCTAATGTTTGTATTTTGTGTAGTAGAGATGGGATTTCACCATGTTGCCCAGGCTGGTCTTGAACTCTTGGGCTCAAGCGATCTTCTAGCCTCTGCCTTCCAAAGTGCTGGCATTACAGGCGTGGCCTTTATTATTTTTTTAATGGTTCTTATCACTAGCTGCAGTTATTTATTTATTTGCTTGTTTGTGTTTTCCCTAAGGACCTGAGCTGTCAAGTTTTCTATTGTATGTCTGTTGTCTAGGACAGGGCCAGGCACTTAGGACTCAATTCACACCTGTTGTTGTATAGGTGAGTCCAAGCCTATGTGGTCAGTGCCTTCTTTCCCCATAGACAGGCTTGCACAGCAAGTCACATAAGGAAGGCTGCTCAATGAGGATTGAATTAGGACAAAGGCATTGGATGAATCAAGGCCCAATATGTTTGGGGCATTGCTCTCCCACTAGGAAGGGTCTGTGAGTGGTTCAGAAATCTGGGGGATCTTGTCTGGGGAGTCTGCCCAGGAAAGTCTGTTCTTCTTCTGTAAATGGTTGTGCCTGGCCCCTCTCACATCCCCCTTTTTGTTGTACTCCTTCTTTGGTAATGATTTCGGTTAATAAGCATACTCTCAGGTCTTCTAAACCCAGAGACACTCTTTTTCTTTAAAAGTGATTTTATCTTCTGGTCATTGTGTTGATCCTAAAGTCTGTTTCCCAGAGACCACTCTTATCTCCCTTATTTCCAAGTTCTTAGGGGAAATTTTACCTCCAGAATGAACTACAGACAACTGTTATAAAGTTCCCATGGGGGAGTGATTATTCTTGAGAGTGAATAAAAGCAGAGATTGAAAATTGGAAACAATGAAATATATTATACTGAGTACTTTTTTGCATCATTTTTAAAACTGAAAATGAAACCTACATATTTTGCTTCTTAGCTTCCAGATATTCTTCAGTAAGAAGTATGAGAAACCAGCTGAACCAAATTTAGAATCTCTCCGCCTTCTTTGGATTCAGAAGCTGTGCTGTACAGGAAAACCAGATCAAGAACCTTTAAAGGTTTTGATTTTAACTGAGACCTCTGGTTTGGGTGAATGTATTTGGTTGCTAAAAAGGCAAAGTAGGTATCTCTGCTTCCTGATTAACAGTCTTCTCAGGGAGAATATTATTTGTTTTCCTGGAAACGTGATAGCAGGAAAGAGGCAAGGTGTAGGCTAGCTAGCATAGGCTAAATGATATGGCTGGATAACAGACAGAAGCCTTGAAGTGGCTTTCTGGAATCAGCTCCCCCAAAACCCACATTAGGTAGATTCTGTCCTAAGCCACCTCCACATGAGATTTGGGTCTGTATCTTTGATTGATTGTGACATGACTCTCAAAGTTAGAGTAGTCAACAGAGACTCTGTTTACAAGATGTTCTGACTGGGCTGTACCCAGACTGAGATGTCTGGGACATCTGAAGTTAATGCACATACCCAGTGATCACATGGGGTCTGGAGGGCCTACTGGGAAAAAGGATTGAATCCTCTCCACAGCTGGGATTTGGCACCATCAGATGGACCTTATGGACAGAAGATGTTGGAAGTCCAAGGATAATGGGGCTCCTAGGAGAGGATTCTCTGTCACCATGGGACAAGGAGTCTGCCCCAGTGTGGGGAGGAAAGGGGATGGTGAGTTGTGGTACAGTATGTTCCCAGGCCTGGAACCTGGGCTGGCACCAGGGCAGTGTGGATAACTAATGAGGGGAAAGGGCTATGGTTGTGACTTGGAGGACCTCCCCAGTGGCTGAAGCCAACTTTCCCCTTGTTCAGCAGGTGCAAAAGGGAAGGATTATTCTCTTTCTCCCACTACTGGAGCATAACTAGTAAGGCTACCTCAGATGGCAGTGGTGCCACCAAGGTGACAACTGTGGTGTCTAGGGTCCATAGTCGTGACAGTGAGCAACAGCCAGGGTTGATTCATGGGCATATCTAAAACATGCCCTTGGATTCTCATAAATTCTTGATAAGGGGAAGGAACTCTGAGTGGAACTAAACTTCTGACATTAAAAGTTACTGGCTCGGTGGATTCTGATCTTAATGTTAACTTGACTGTGTGTTAAAGCCCGAAGCATTCAATTTATACCATCTTTGAGTGGTTTCCAGCACATCTTAAATATAATAAGCCCTGGTTTAAGATTGAAGACAAAATATCTTTCTTTTCTGCGAAGAGTAGTTATTTTCATTTTTGCCCTTTAGATCACTATTTTTCAACAAATAGATCTTAACCCATTTAGCAGGTTGTGAAATCAGTTTAGTGAAATAAAGAGCTAAACAATGAATTAGAAAAGGATTTCATGAATAATGATAAGTGCTATGTTGTAAAATTTGGTTTTCTGTCCTTGCGATAGTTTGCTCAGAATGACGGTTTCCAGCTTCATCCATGTCCCTACAAAGGACATGAATTCATCCTTTTTTATGGCTGCATAGTATTCCATGGTGTATATGTGCCACATTTTCTTAATCCAGTCTATTATTGATGGACTCATAGGTGGGAACTGAACAATGAGAACACTTGGACACAGGGTGGGGAACATCACACACTGGGGCCTGTCATGGGGTGGGGGGAGTGGGGAGGGATAGCATTAGGAGATATACCTAGTGTAAATGACCAGTTAACGGGTGCAGCACACCAACATGGCGAACATATACATATGTAACAAACCTGCACATTGTGCACATGTACCCTAGAACTTAAAGTATTAAAAAAAAAAACTTGATTTAATTAAAACCAAGTTCTTGGTCATGGTGTAAAAATGTATTTTTTTGAATCAACGCCATAACAGTTTGATAGTGACTGCTTTAGGCCATTCCCAACTTTCTTCAAGATCTTTGATATATACTTTAATTTTGGAACATATTATGCAAGGAAATGTAATCTGGTGCTGTTTGTGTAACATTATTGTTTTAATTCTTATATGGGATTAAAATTTACACGAAATACCCATCAAATCAGCAACCCCAAAAGCATATCCCAAATCTCTGAAAATTGGAAGATGAGGTTGATGTATTTGTTGATGGGTATGAGGATGGTAACATTTATTATTTTCCCAAAGCCCAGATTTATGGCTGTAATCCTTTTTTTGGTGGATGGGTGCTATGATCTCAAAATTCGTATGTTGAAACTTAATTGCCAATGTGATAGTATTAAGAGGTGGGGTCTTTAGGATCTGATTAAATAATAAGGGCTCTACCCTCATGAATGAAATTAGTGACCTCATAAAGAAAGGTTACAGGGAGCTACGGCAGCAACAAGGTGCCATATTGGAAGCAGAGAGTAAGCTCTCACCAGACACAGAATCTGCTGGTGCTTTGATCCTAGACTTTCCAGCCTCCAAACCATGAGAAATAAATTTCTAGTGTTTATAAATTACCCAGTCTAAGGTGTTTTGTTATAGTAGTCTGAATGACTGACTGTACATTTTCCTTAGGGTGTCTTCTTAGGGAAGTTGGATACTAGTGGTCAAGTGTATAGAGAGTGTGGTTTCATTATGGTGGTTATTAGTGGAAATGCTTTTTCTACAATTAGTGCTAAGATTGTGTAAGACTATTTGGTATCATCAACTAATAAAAATGGTTGAAATAAGAAGGATGTCTGATGTTTGAATGGCTAATTTTAGATATTTAGAAGACCCAATTATGTGGGAAAAAGTCTATCTCAATTAATTGTTGAATAATTATCTCTCTCTCTCTTCCCCATCCAATGCTGGAAAACAGGCTAAGTGCTAAATAAATCCTTTTTTGATTGTTGAATGATTGATGTATTTTCATCATGATTTGGGGAGATGATATAAGCCTCAGACCTAGCACCTGTTTTGGACTACTTATGAACACTCTTGATTAAGATATAGAAAAATTAATGTTGGTGGTTCCTGGCACATTATCGCAGAAGATCTTTGGCTATACATGAACCTTAGCCACATGCACTAATGTATTTAGAGCTCAGAATGAGAGCATTATTTGTCAAGGTGGCTCAGTCTAACAGATTGTATAGCTGTGTAATTTTTCATTAGCAAAAGTAGCATGGAAACTGAAGATTAATACAGGTTTTACAATTTGAAAGAAATAATGAAAACAGTTTAGAGAAAGTAATACATTTCATAAAAGGATTTTGAGAAAAATCTAAAGAAACTGGCATTACTTTGATTAGAGAAGTGTTATTGGGGTTTTTTAAAGATGTTTGTTTAATAATGTCACCATGAGCTCTCACTGAACAACAATAGCTATCTGTTTTTGTGGTCTCACAGGATTAGATATTTTTAGGGGCATCCACCAGAGGTAGGATATGAGTTAACTCTTTCCTTGCCTTGAGAGTTTTCATTTCAATTGCATTCATAGAGTATCTAATATATACTAGGAGTCTTACTTATAGTATCTTATTTAATCCTCACAATCACCCTCTGTTAGAAATGAGGAGACTGAGTCTCAAAAGGTTAAGTGATCAACTTGGGAGTCAAACCATGTATTTTGAGCCTCAAGTCTAATATTCTTTCTATTTTGGTGCACTGGCTTCATACCCTTGTACAGATGTGAGAAATTTGAGTGGCTATAAAGCATAATAGTTCCGGCTAGGTACAGAGGCATGTGCCTGTAGTACCAGCTACTGGGGAGGCTGAGGCAGGAGGATTGCTTGAGTCCAGGAGTCCTGGGCAGTAGTGCTCTCTGCCAATCTGATGTCCACACCAAGTTTGGCATCAATATGGTGACCTCCTGGAAGCAGAAGACCATCTGGTTGCCTAAGAAGGGGTGAACTGAACCAGGCTGGAAATGGAGCAGGTCAAAACTCCCATGCTGATCAGTAGTGGGATCACGCCTGTGAATAGCCCCTGCACTCCAGCCTGAGCAACATAGCAAGATCCCGTCTCTTAAAAAAAAAAAAAAATTCTGGTTTTCTTACATTAGACAGTTAAGAGGAACGGATATGAGGGTGGGGGGCTTATTTTATTAAGAAGATCCAACCTGTGTGTATTTTAATTCATCATAAGTAGGAATGTGAGTGATTTGAAATGGGGACATAGATGAAGTCCTGGGGTCCCTTTGAGTAGGGTTGTCATAGCTACCTTGAATAAGGTACCTATGCTGCTACCTTGCCCACTCTGCTGTCTTCAAAATTTTACATCTCAAAAGAGGGGAAACGTAATAGAATTAAAGTGAAAAGGAAGTAAGATGTGAATGACTAGTATCCTAACATGGAGGTGAGTGGAACAAGAAATGAACATCTTTAATGATAAATGTTAACAAATCAATTGATTTCAAGCTATGGCATGTGTTAGAGACCATGGTTCTCACCCTTGGCTGCACAGTAGAATCTCCTGGGAAGCTTTAAAAAACCCATTGTCCGGCCAGGCGTGGTGTCTCACGCCTGTAATCCCAGTACTTTGGGCGGCCGAGGCAGGTGGATCACAAAGTCAGGAGTTCAAGACCAGCCTGGCCAAGATGGTGAAATCCTGTTTCTACTAAAAATACAAAAATTTGCTGGGCGTGGTGGTGGGCGCCTATAATCCCAGCTACTCAGGAGGCTGAGGCAGAGAATTGCTTGAACTTGAGAGATGGAGGTTGCAGTGAGCTGAGATCACACCACTGCACTCCAGCCTGGGCAGCAGAGTAAGACTCCATCTCAAAACAAAACAAAACAAAAAAAAAACAAAAAAACAAAAAAACCCCACACAACTCATTGCCCAGGCCATGTTCCAGAGCAGTCATGTCAGAATCTGGGTTTGGACCCAGACATCAGTCTTTTAAAGACTCCCCAGGTGATTCCATTGCATAGCCAAAGCTGACAACACCTGGAAGGAGATGCTTCAGAGCAGAGGGCTTTTGGATACATCTTGCTTGTTCCATTCATTCTCCCTTTCCTTCCAAACAGACAGCCAAGGATTTAAATACACTTTTTTTTCCCCTCAGGAGCGAGGGCTTCCACATGATTTGTTTGAACTTCTTCAGTTTTTCAAGTAACTTCATAAAGTCAGTATACGCAAAGGGAAGGAAGGGAGTAAGTACATGCCAGATACTTGCCTATATACTTTAAATGTACTATCTTATGCTGCCCATCTATGGTTTTTCGGGTTACATATGAAAGACACCTGTTGAAGTTGTCAGTGTACCACCTGCAGGGCCTTATGTGGCTATTTTACATCGTCATGAGAGACACAAACATCTTTGTATAGGCAAAGGTGTTTTGGATATGAAAGACAGAATGGTTCTTTTCTTGTCTGGAGCCAAGGCATGATGGGAGGTATATACATATTATTGAGCCTGGTGGAAACACATTATGAAAGACCACAAAAATTTAAAATGGCTCAGAGAAGTCTGGTCTTGATTAAGGTAGTCATAAAGACACCCACAAATAAAGCAATAATGTGGTAAAAAAACAAAACTGTGTCTTAGGGTGATTTTGCAAGTGTGTTCAGGTTAGTCTGGAAAGGGGAGAGATGTGAGACAGTTATGAGGCTGTTGAGTAAGTGATGCAGAGTAGCTGGGCTTGGGTGGTGGAAGTGGGAAGCAAGAAAAAGTTCATCAGACCAGAGAGCAAGCAGAGGAGTTAGAGGCAATTGGTTTTCTTAGTTTAATTTGCTCTCGTCACGCTCAAACTGAACTTATATGTCTCTTGTCACTTGGTATTAGGGCTGAGGGTTGTTTTTTCTTTGTATAAATGTGAATAGAATAAAAAGGAACTGAATAGAAATCTCTTCTCTGTCCACTTTAACAATGTGGCTGTTATCAGTTGGCTTTCTGGTATAAGCTGCTTCTATTGTTCTGTGATACTTTAATGCACCATTTTTCTTCATTATTTGAATAAGGAAGATTTGCCAAATATATCATTAAATGGAGAAGGAATATGTGAAATTCAATATGGGAAGTGATCTGCTGTTCTCTCAAGAAAGAGGGAATAATTATAAGGTCTACTGGAGAATGAGTTCAGAAGTCTGACAAACTGGCCTTTGGCAAATTATGAAGAAGGTCTTCAGTGTGCTTCTTGCATTTTTTCCTCTTTTCCAAAAATGTAATTTCTATTAAAAGCCTCTATAAAGTAATTCAAGCAGTAGTATTAACAACAGCTGCATCTTCAACATTTACCTCTGCAAAGGGAAAATGGAATCTATTTCTGTAATAGTGAGAGTCAGGCATGATGAGGAGAGAGATTGTCACTAAGGGTGATTCTTGAGTCCTTCGAGTAATACCACATAGGAGACTACCTCTTATGTATGTATCTATGCTCCTATCTTGGAAGTAACTAGGAATAAAATGCTGTTTCATAATACATTTAAGTGCAGTGTTTACTTCTGTTAGCTTCTATCTGTCCTCCCACAGTCCAAATGCTTGGGCATGGCCTCTAAGTTCCTTGAAAATCTAGACCAGCTGGCCTGTTGTTCCTTCTCTCGACATTTTCCTTCCTGCATCTGTAACAAGCCATGCTCATTCAGAAATTCATACCTTGGAATATGGTTTCTTCTCTGTCTGGGAAATTACCTTATTCTTTACCCCAAACTTCTCTGCCTGGAAAAATTGCTGTACGTACTCTGAATGATAGCTAAAATGTCATCTGCTTGGTTAAACCATCTTGCCAGCTAAGCTGGTTAATCCTTTTGTGGGTTTCCGGTTCTTTTCTCTTTTTTTGAGATGGAGTCTCACTCTGTTGCCCAGGCTGGAGTGCAATGATGCAATCTTGGCTCACTGCAACCTCTGCCTCCCTGGTTCTACCAATTCTCCTGCCTCAGCCTCCTGAGTAGCTGGGACTACAGGCATGTGACACCATGCCCAGCTAATTTTTTTTTGTATTTTTAGTAGAGACGGGGTTTTGCCATGTTGGCCAGGCTGGTCTTGAACCCCTGACCTCAAGTGATCTGCCTGCTTTGGCCTCCCAAAATGCTAGGATTACAGGCGTGAGCCACTGTGCCCTGCCAGTTCTCCCCTTATTTTCATATGGTGTCTGTCATAACATAATCATAGACACAGCATTCAATTTGAGATATTACTACTCCAGCTGTTTTTTTTTCTATTCCATAAGTACCTATTTTTGTTGATACATTTGTATGACTTTGAAATCCAGAGACAATTAGCATACAATTTGTTTCCTTTATTTTGTTGATTAAATACATACAAACTAACAGACTTTAAATAATTGGCAGATCTTCCTTAGGGAAAGCTAGCTCTCATACCTATACTGGAAATCTGAGGGTGTGAATCAGATTCCTGGGCGTGCTGGACATTTTGTATTTAGGAATGATTTGAGGGAGAAAGCCTCACCTCAAAAGTTCTATTGGCAATTTTATATATAATGCATCAAAGAATATTTAAAGGTAAATTATGTTGGTTGATAACTTGATGTCATTACCATAAGAAGAGATTCAAAGATGGTGTATTTTAGCTTATTTGAATTTTCTGTGCAATATTTTGTATAGACAAATGTAGGATTTGTATAAGTGGGTACACAGTTACCTCATTATAATGGCAAAAACTATTTGTTAAATACCATATGGACTTGATGTGCTCAATTCTATATAAATGTGTTAATTCTGGTAGTTATCCCATAATCTGTTGGATTATGCTCTTTTATAATGAGTAACGAGCTAGGTAAATAAAAATGAATCTAAACTTTGTATGGATTAATACAGAAGATGTCATTTTGTATATGTAGGATACAAGGTTTCCTTTTCATTTTTCTCCTTTCTGCTTCTTGTGATCTGCATGTATCTCTTCTTAGTAGTTATAAACCTGAGATATCTGTATTTCAAAAAAAAATTTATTTTTACTATCATAGATTAAGTTATAGACATGTAAGAATAGATTGTTAGAAAATGATAAGTTTTCTTAGAGCTAGTAGACATCTGTTTTTTTTTTTAATTTTCAAGATTATTAGGCTTAGATTTCCTATAGATCTACAAGCAACTATTTTTTTTGTCTGTTACGGGATCAAAAGTATAAATATTTTATAACTGTTTAATGTAGTTACTTTAAAATTCAGTACATCTTTAAAAATGCAATTCCATGAATGTGTTGCAGGTTTCCAGAACAAGTTTATTGACACTTAAAGCACAAGGCTTTATAAAGACAATGTATTTATTTGATAGAATTTTATGGTTTCTACTTTTATTTTAAAAAGCAAATGTGGTATTTTTTTACTCATCACACTTAAATTATTTGTTTGTGGTCTTTTATTGATTTTTTATAGATTTGTTACCCAAAGATAGCAAAAAATTCTTATTCTGAAATGAAACTATTTAAGATAATTATGTTTTCCTCTCCTCATGTTATGACCCCAGCTAGGCATCACAGTATGAATTCCATATTTACAACTATTCTCAGCCATATTTGACTTAAAACCAGTGATTCAAGGCCTAGCAAACAACTCGTCTCTCTACTTAAAAAACTTCATGCACACTCAGCCTGCACTGCTCTGAGAGCACCTTGTCTCTTGATACATAATTTAGCACCAGTGTTTACTACCTTGCATTCTCATTTGCTTTTTTCATATGTTGTTTTCTAGTTTCCTCAAACAAAGCTAAGAGCTTTTTAAGGGCAGTTTCTCCTACTTTTTTGTATAAAATTGCAAATTCTATTTTGGTCAACTAATTGACTGAATCCTCGTGTTATGATTTTAAATTTTCCTTCTGTTCTTTCTAAGTGGCATTGGCGTACTAAAAATAACCATAACTTCCCAAGGACATTTCATTCACAAGTATTTAAAAATTAGTGTAATTGTTCATAGAAGCTTTGGAGTTAGGACTCGGCCAAAAAAGCAGAATTTTCCTGGAATTAACCCAGAGCAAAATTTGACATTTTTAAACAATAAGAATGAGATGTTGGGTAACCTTAATTAAGTTTCTTCAAAGATAGCAGACTCTAGTTAATACGACCTAAAGTTTGGGTCAAGTTAAATTTTGAAACCCTTTGAAAGTCTTTTATTAATTCAACTCTTCAAAATTATCAGTGTATCACATAATCATGTTTGAGAGAAAGTAGAATTATGCATCTCCCTCCATCTTGGACTAGTTGGCAACTTAATCATTCATTTACATCCATTATCTGTCCAAATGAGAGGATGTGCTCACTCATGGCCTTCTCTCTAACAGCTCCTACAGTGGGAGTCTTGGTTTCAAAGGTTAAAACAAGTACACCGACATATTTAAATCAGTTACAAATCTACCCATGCACATTGCTTTTTCTGTGGTAAGGACAGCAAATGGGAAGAACTAGAAATGAAATGCACTGGACATTTTGATTAATGATGCCCCGGACCAAAGGTCCTTTTTCAGGGAAGGAAAAACATCTATAAATGAGGTAAAGTTGAGTGATTTTCATTTGTAGTTGGATAACAATACTTCAGTGGCAGCTTCTCTTTGTTCTCAATTGCCTGGACTAGAACCAAAATCTGGCATCCACATCTTATTACTAACTTTATAACGTGGCAATGCCTCCCTTTCCTGGGTCTCAGCTTCATCACTGTAAGCGGAGGGAACTACAGAGTACCTTCTAACCCTAACATTTCGTGACAATAACCAAGTACACCCTAAGCAAACTGTAAATTTGTTGCCAAGTTTGTGGCCTTGATCCCCAATCTATTCTTTCTGCATCTGGGTGAGGACCCTTTCTTCCTCTTAAAATTTCTCAAGTCCTTTACTCTTCTAGTAATAATTCGAGTGAGCTACCTATCCTTTATGCTTTGTTTTCCTCAAAGCACATGAATTATCTCAGTTAATCTTTAAAATAATATCTGGCCCTCTAGTGTGGGACCTGAGGTACAAAGAGGGTAATTTACTTGCCTAAAATCACACAACTACAAAGTGGTAGAGCTAGGAATAAAAACTAGGTCTTTCTAATCCTAAAGTGTGTGTTAACCTTTTTAGATTGGTAATTTTTTGAGAATATGATGAAAACTATAAACTGTCTTCTCAAGACATTGCACACATGTGCCAGTAATATTTTGCATACTATATCAAGAGACCCTTTGAAACCCATTCATGGGGGACTCCAAGTTAATACCTGTAGTATACTATATCATATTGCTTTTTCAGTTTACTTTTTTCCTGATTTCAAAATGGAAAGATCCTGAGAGAGTAAGGGAGATATTAGCAATGCATACTTAATTCTACAATCTTGATTCTACAAGGGAGATATTATTCTAAAGGGAGATATTAGCAATGCATACTTGATTCTACAATCTTGATTCTACAATGTTTAGTAAAAGATAGATACCTGGATTCTTGTTTGCATTAGGTTTCCTCACATACATGAGCATCAGCAACTTTGGGGAAGCTCTCATTCCCAGGTAGAAGATGAGATTGCAGGAGAGATCATCACCCTGACAAATTAACTCTCCAGTCTGCTCTACAATGTCCGAATTTCCTTTACCCTCTACAAAGGCTTTCTATAATTAGAAGTTAGGCATTAAAAATTAATGTCATTGGGAGAAGTAATGCATTCACTTCCATTTACATCAAGAATAAATACCAGGCTGGTGCAGTGACTCATGCCTGTAACCCCAGCACTTTGGGAGGCCGAGGTGAGTGTATTACTTGAGATCAGGAGTTTGAGACCAGCCTTGCCAATGTGGTAAAATCCTGTCTTTTCTAAAAATACAAAACAAACAAACAAAAAATTAGGCAGGCATGGAGGTGCACGCCTCTAATCCCAGCCACTCAGGAGGCTGAGGCAGGAGAATCGCTTGAACCCAGGAGGCAGAGGTTGCAGTGAGCCAAGATAGTGCCACTGCACTCCAGCCTGGGCAATGGAGCTAGACTCCATCTCAAAAAAAAAAAAAAAAAAAAGAAAAAGGAAAAGAATAAATACTTTCTTAGAAAAGATTTTTTGATGGAGAAGACAGCTCTGGTCCCATAAAGAGGGAAGGGAAATGCTTCAGAAAGAGGCCCTGCCAATCAACTGCCAGTTTTTACTTTGAGTCATATGGCCTGAGGACTGATAATCTAATTTAAGTAGAACAAATTAGATTCCAAGCAAGTAGGTAGTAACTGCTAAAATAGTGGAAGGTATTCTTGAAACTAGATTGGGGCTGTCTTCCAGAATTTATAGGGCATATTGAGATGTCCTGGCCCCTTTTCTTGATAGTGGTTAATTTAGTTCAAACTGCCTCAGAGATTTCAGAAGCACACTGAGAGCAATAAAAGCTTGATGCCTCTTTAGTGTCAGCCAGCTTTTAATGGCTGGAATGGGAGTTCTTCAAATTAGTGATAGTCAGTTGTCATGCCTACCCTCGTGCCTCCTTCTTGCCTGCTGGCTGGTTCCAGGAGTGAGGCAGAGTGGAAAGCCCCCAGGATTTGGAGATGGCAGGCCTAGTTCTGCTCCTGTTTCTGCTACTTACTAGAAGTTGGACACCAGGCAATTTAGTAATTTCTATGAACCTGAATTTCCTTAGCTGTAAATATTCACCTCTGAAGATTGTTGTAAAAATCAAGATCATTCTTTAGAAGAATTTTGAAATTTCTGATGCTACATGAAATGTTAGTAGTTCTGATTATGATTCTATCCCAATCCAAATACTGCTTGCTGATTTTGTGACTGTGGTAGGGTGAGCTGGGATGTGTGTGTGTGTGAGAGAGAGAGAGAGAGAGGGAGAGGGAGAGGGATTGATTTGTGGCAACTTATATATGCTACCAATCAAAATACACTCTTCTATAATTTGGTTTTGGTCATTAAAACACAATGAAATATAGGAAATATAGCCTCACTTAACAAGGCCTGCAAGGGGCAGGGCATATTTTGTTTGAAATTTTTAGTTAACACAATGAGATAAAAATAAGTTTGACTCTCCATTGTACTATATTTTTATTGTGTATTAGTATACTTTCTCTTTCAAAAATCAAGTGCATAGTACTGAACATACCTAAAGCTTTCTCAGGATTAATGATACTGAAGTTTTTGAAGTCATCAGTTATAATATCATTTTCACGTAAGAGTAACAGATTTGGATGTATTAAGAGATTTATACTGCAAGTTTGCTCCTTGCTTCAATATCTTTTCTTGAGGTTTCTTTTTTTCCTTCTAAAAAGTAGAAGGAGGGAGGAATCGAATTAATTGAGGGCCTTGGTTAGTTATAGTTTTACTGTTAAGAATGCTACAATTTGGGCCAATTTGGTCTTTAAGAAAGCTTCTTTAAATCCCAATATAGAAAAAATCCCTTCTATGTGAATATGTTTACTATATCATTTATAATAGTAAAATGTTGAAAATAACAAAACGAGGAAAGTGGCTTTATTATTATGTTTTATCTATCTAATATCTGGTAGTGGAAAAAATTAGTTTACTCTATTGCTTTATATTTGCAAGTGGATTGGAATTTGGAAATACTTATGAACAAACAAACATGTCTCCTACTTTGTGCAGGTCTGAAAGTCAGATTAGCCTTTAGCTAGTTTGCATGATTCATCAAGACTAAATTTTATACTGGCTGGTATACAAGAAAATAAGATATTTTGTTGCTTCAGTAATTTTGATATAATCAAAACTCATAAGAAGAAAACATGAGCTTCCTAATTACTACATATTCACTTAGTGAGTTGAATAATTTATTATCCTTTTTTAAAAAACCTGATCCTACTTTCAATGTTCCAGTTCCCATTTTCTGCTTCCTTCCATTTATTTTTCTTTCTGGCCTGTTCTGCAGAGTTTGCACAAAAGATATAGCTTTATTTGTATACAGCTATTTATTTCCTAGTATGTGGACTAGTATCTAGGAAACTTGCCAAATTAGCATAGTTATGCCAAAGTACAGAAACTATGTGTATAAAATGTGCACTTGGGCCTAATATTGCAGGCATTGCAGCTTTTTAGATAAAGCTGTCGTTGACTAATTTATTTCTGTATCTTCTAGTTGTCTCCTAGACACAAGTTGGTTGTTTTTGTTGTTGTTTAAACAAAACATTTAATATTTTTTATTATAAAATAACACATAAAATATCTATGTTGACTGCATTGCCCAATATGGTAGCCACTAGTTACATGTGGCTATTTAAATTTAAATAAATTATAATGAAATAAAACTGAAAAAAATGCAATTTCTTAGTCACACTAGCCACCTTTTAATAGTAGTTAGTGGCAACTGTACTGGACAGCAAAGATTTCCAAATTGTATAGAATTCTATTGGATAGTGCTGATTGATGTCTTAACCCTACTTCCTCCACCCCTTTTCTCCAAATCAAAGGTAAGTTGTGGCCATATTTCTACTTTACCAACTATAACTCTATGCTATCATTTTTCTTTTTCTTTTTCTTTTCTTTACATTTTTTTTTTTTTTTTTTTTTTTTTTTTGAGACATGGTATTGCTCTGTTGCCCAGGCTGGAGTCCAGTGGTGCAATCACGGCTCACTGCAGCCTTCACCTCTGGGGCTCCAGCAATCCTCCCACCTCAGCTTCCTAGCTGGGACTACAAGCATGCACCACCACACCCAGGTCACCATGCTTGGCTAATTTTTCTATATGTTTTGTAGAGATGGGCTTTTGCCTTGTTGCCCAGGCTGGTCTCAAACTCCTGAGCTCAAGCAATCTGCCGACCTTGGCCTCCTAAAGTGCTGGGATTACAGGTGTGGGCCACCATGCCCAGCCTATGCTATAATTTTTAACGCTGCATATTAATCCACTGCCTGGCTGTGTTTTAATATATTTTCCTAGTCTCCTATTCATGGATATATAGGTTGCTTCTGTTTTTTCCCTATTATAAAAAGTGTGGTGATTATTTTCTTTGAGAATACATCTTTGTATACTTGTCTAAAATATTTAAAATTGGAATTGCTTAGTCAGACTGGGCACAGAGGCTTATACCTGTAATTCCAGCACTTGGGGAGGCTGGTGAGGGAGAATTGCTTGAGGCCAGGAGTTTGTGACCAGCCTGGGCAAAATAGGGAGACCCTGTTTCTACAGAAAAAAAAAGAAGGAAAAGGAATTGCTTGGTCAAAGGCTATGCATGTTTTACATTTTAGTACATGTTGTTGAACTGTGCTCCAGAGACCATATTAATAAACAATTCCTTGGTTGATTGTGAATATTCTTATGTACTGGGGCAAGTGACTGAAATTCTCTAAGTCTCATTTAATTTTTCTGTTCAAAATAGGAATAATAGTATCTACCATTTACCTTACTAGGTAGCTGTGAGATACAAATTAAATAATACATGTAAATACTTTTAAAAAATGAAAGTGCTACTGTCACGTATAGTATTCATACTATGAAGCCATCCGTTGTTGGAAGGATGAAAGTCAGAGACCCTGAATCCTCTGTGATCTTAGTTTAACACTCAAAATAAGGAATGGTGGTAACATGAGCTTTAAAGACTTCCTCATGGGAAAGAGAATCCTAGCTTCAGAAACATAATTTATTATTGTAGACATAAGCACACCAATATGAATGTAGGATTTTCCATTCAAGGACATTTAGAGAAGTGGGATAATTTTTGTTTTAATCTGAGAATTGGGTAACATATCATCCAGCTCCACTCCTCATTCTACAGATGAGAAAGCAGAGGCCCCGAGAAGTTGAATTCTCATGTTCAAACTGCTGACATGTGGCAGAATCTAGGTTAGACCTCAGCCCTCTGACCCTCTATCCAGCGTCCTTTCCTCTATATCCCACAGCTCTAATGATATAGTCACGAGGTGGCGGGATTTTTTCTCTATCCCTCAGATGAAAATTAAGCCAGTGTTGTAATCTAGTTTGATAACTATTAGTTATCTAGAAGTGTATTCTTAAAATCAATGCCTGTATAGGCTTACTGGGCTATTTGAAAGTCAGGCTACTAAATTCTTATTAGCCACTTGAAATTCCTGTGGAGATAATAGAATTTTTCTTTTCTTTTTTTTTTTTTTTTTTTTTTTTTTTTTTTTTTTTTTTGAGACGGAGTCTCGTTCTGTCGCCCAGGCGGGAGTGCAGTGGCGCGATCTCCGCTCACTGCAAGCTCCGCCTCCCGGGTTCACGCCATTCTCCTGCCTCAGCCTCCCGAGTAGCTGGGACTACAGGCGCCCGCCACTGCGCCCGGCTAATTTTTTTGTATTTTTAGTAGAGACGGGGTTTCACCGTGGTCTCGATCTCCTGACCTCATGATCCGCCCGCCTCGGCCTCCCAAAGTGCTGGGATTACAGGCGTGAGCCACTGCGCCCGGCCGAATTTTTCAAACTGACTCTTTAAGCCAAATTAGAAATAAAATCTTTTTCTCATGAATGGCATCCAAGTTAGACAGCATTCCTTAGAAGTGAATTATTTGGTAAAGCTCTCAGAGTCTGTCTGTCTTTGGCTCATCTCTGAACTTTAGTTCATTTCATTTTATGACTTTACATGAAGAAACCATGAGTACGGATGGCCTCAAGTTATGCAGGAGATTTCAGTCAGCCTGCAAAACAAACCAGATGGCCAAGTCCTCTCAGAACTGTCTGAACATGTCTCAAAGTCCATTCCCTGAATCTATCCCCAGGTACCTTCCTCAGGATCTCTCTTTTCACTGGCATTTTAAAAAATATATCTGATAGAAGCTAGCAATAAATAACTAAGAGAAATTGAGATTGATGGCCCTTTTATTTCTTTGCATCTAGGTCTTGTATGAAGCAGCAGAGCTTTTATATTTAGAAAGGGAACACCCCCTTCAGCGAGTCATGTGCTAGAACACAACCGATGAGAATGCTTGTCCTTCTATAGCAAGGCTCGCAAGGTTTCTGGGCAGAGCTCAGCTTCTCATGTGGCCATGCCTGACTCCCGTGCCACAAGGCTTTACATGCAAAGCAGTAGTTGGTCTTGCACTTGCTAATGTTTTCAACTATGAAACAGTAGAAAATGAGGTCACATGAGGCAAGGACTAATGCTGGAGCAGACCAGCAGGAAGATAAATTACAGTGAAAACTTGACCTTCCTTCCTTCCTTCCCTCCCTCCCTCCTTCCCTCTCTCCTTCCCTCCTTCCCTCCTTCCCTCCTTCCCTCCCTCCCTCCCTCCCTCCTTCCCTCCTTCTCTCCTTCCCTCCTTCCCTCCCTCCCTCCTTCCCTCCCTCCCTCCCTCCTTCCCTCCTTCCCTCCCTCCCTCCTTCCCTCCCTCCCTCCCTCCCTCCCTCCTTCCCTCCTTCTCTCCTTCCCTCCCTCCCTCCTTCCCTCCCTCCCTCCCTCCCTCCCTCCTTCCCTCCCTCCTTCCCTCCTTCTCTCCTTCCCTCCTTCTCTCCTTCCCTGCTTTCTCTCTTCCTCTCTTCCTCTGTTTCTCCCTTTCTCCCTTTCTTCCTTTCATTCTGGGTCTTGCTTTTTCACCCAGACCAGAATGTGGTAGCATGACCATGGCTCATTGCAGCTTCAACCTCCTGGGCTCAAGCTATCCTCCCACCTCAGCCTCCTGAGTAGCTGGGACTACAGGTGTGGGCCACCACACCCAGCTATTTTTGTTTCAATTAAAAAACAATTTTTTTTTTTAGAGATGGGCCTCACTATGTTGCCCAGGCTGGTCTCAAGCAATCCTTCCACCTTGGCCTCCCAAAGTGCTGGGATTACAAGTGTGAGCCACCATGCCTGGCCAAAAACTTGATTTGTATGTGATATGAAAATATGCAGATAATACACATATTTAGGTCTTTAAAGAGTTTTGCTTTTTAAATTTCAGATTTCTCTTTTGCTATATATAAATAGGCATATAATTTTAGATTTGAAATGAGTAAGATTATTTTCCCCAATGTAAGTGCTTCTTTATGTTAAATTGTTTTCTTTCTTTTATTCATTTAAAAATTGGGTTGTCTATTTTTCTTGAACATGCAGCAATTAGATAGTGTGATGATTTGGATGTGAGAATTATCCATTGGAATACTGTCTCAGTGTATTTGCCAAATTGTCATCAAGCATAATTTACTCAAAATCCTGAGATTCTTCCTTGAAAATTAATTTGAAAATAAATTTGCTTGCCCTCTCCTCTTTTGAAGCAAAATTGGTTCACTTTAAAATTTTCTTTTGTGATGTTGTTGCTAGGGGAACAATATGGTAAACCTTGTAATCTCTGTCCTCTTTATTTTCTTTAGATCTACTCTGATCTGTTTTTATCAGTTCTGTCCTATTTTAAAATTATATAACACTTGTAACCTGCCCCCAACCTACTTTGGAAGTACTGAAGTATAAATCCTAAACAAATGACTGAATTTACTGACTATGCATCTGCCTAGATAAATGGGTTGGGGGTAAAGGTGATTCACCAAAGAAGGACATTCTGGAGTGGCTGCTTTGATTAGAAGAAGGGATTTTATTGTAATCTTAACCTGGTGATTTTTTTAAGAGCTGAAGATTTTATTTGTTTCTGTTTTTTTTCGGTGGTAGAGGAGCATATGTAGTAAAGGACAGATATATATGCATTTCAAAAATTTAGAAATGGCTAGACTTAATAAATACATGAGTATAGTTGATTATAAAGCAGAAACAGTAATAGTGCTAATACCGATGGGATCCATGGAAATTGGCCTAAATGTTTTCACGGTGTCTTATATGAAAAGCAACATTCACCATGGTTTAATTTTAATGCTGAGCAGTCTTATACTACTTTCAATGTCATTAGTGCCATCTTACTTAATTTGTCAAATCTTTCAAAATGAAGAAAAAATAGAAATATTGTCTTTAGGCCACAGAAATATAGTTTAATTTTGACTTCAAAAAAACCAAAGAGATCAAAATCTTTTTACAAAAACCAAAATACAAGCACAAAGCTATAATACTATTTAAACAAATCACCAAATACAACTGTTTTCAGAAGTAAACATGCAAAATTTTTTGTTTTATTATCAAATAACAAAAATATTTAGCTGATGACAAGTCTTTTAAAGTGAATTATGCTATCAAATTGAAATTTTTGTGGATGTGTAATCTAAGTCAATCAAGTACATGTTATCATTCGATAATGGTTTGTCAAATGGCTGGGTCAAAATATCTGTCTCAAAATAGGTACCTTAAATTATCATGTATCTGTGGTTGGCAGGTAGGACTGGTCGTGACCAGAGTCAGAGAAGAGGATCTTGTCCAAGGACCCCAAATATAACTCTTAATGGACGTGCTGTTTCTTTTGTGCTAATAATTTTATGCATTTTTAATCAAAGGAAGATACTAACTTACCCAAGAGGAGGGAATTACATGCATTAGGAGAAATAATTTATATGAAAAAATCAATGATCTTCAACTTATGATGTTGAAATAAATGGTAGTCTTCAAAATACTTTTAAAACTTCAAAATATGGGATGGAAATTATAAATTTAGCCAAGATGTAACTTCATAGACAGACTTTTTTTATTGCCCTCTGTCTGAAATTATATCAAATCCACAAGGTAGCTAGCATCTCTTATATCATATTAGTCAGGGAACTCTGAGCAGCAGTTAAATGTGTCACTGATTAAATGGAAAAAAACAAATCATTTCTGAATAAATTTAATTTGTTGAACAGGCACAATAGACGTTTCTTGGTGAAGACAAGGCTGGACTACTACTGAGTGGTATCTACTGAGTAGGGCCTGAGGAAATCCAATATAGAAAAGGTAGATATTGATCAAGTGGGAAAGGGGGAAAGGCTGAAGCTCCCTTGGCAATGGACATTTTTAGCAGTATCAGGTAAGGTCTTGAGGATTCTGAACCCTATTACATCTTCTTCACTGTTTGGCTTCAAATGGCCCTGGTGTGGAATAGAGGTAACTCAGAATTAGAAACTTGCCTTGGGTAACTGAGAGTTCTTAATATAACAAATATGGTGAGAGTATTCCCTCTCCCATCATACCCAGTAATGTGCTAGGGGAGGCTGAACTAAAAAAAAATCTTAACCTTCTTGTTAATTAAAGGGTCAACTTTAGAACTTCAACACAGTACTAGATGAGAGAGCAAAACCAAACAGAATGATGACCACGCTGGAAATTCCTCCCTGTGTGCTGCTGGCGCTGACATCCTGATAGAGTTCAGGCGCCTGGTGAAGCTACACAGACGGTGCCTGGTCTCCAGACCACATGCTTTTCATCTACGTCATAAACATGAAATTTCTGAATTGTTCCATTGGCATTTTCATCTCTGTTTAGATAGAGATGTTATAAACTTTAGTTATATAATTGGGACCCATATCATGCCAAAGTAAAAAATTTAAACATTTCCATTCACTTGCCTGAGACCTCCTTCTCCTAATTTTGCAAAGCTGACTTGGTCATTTCAGTAACTCACAATTATTTACTCTGACATTTTGGGATTACATCAGACATTCTATGGTACAGTTATTTTCCAATGACCAAAGTCATATCTTATTCTATCTGCCTACTTGATAGCAAGTTAGTGTGAGTGAAAAGCCTTGGCAAATACATATAAGTATATAAAAGAAAGTTAATTTGTTTAGGATGGAAATTCTTTTACCACCCTAGAACTGCATTAGCATCATAATTATTTCAAATTTGCTTTCATTTTTAAGAAGGGTGCCCAAAGTAAAGTCTACTTAGAAAAAACAATTTTTTAGATTAAGATAATGATCATTTTTCTAATTATGTACATCTTTAATATATGCTCCAATAACTATGAGCTGAGAGTTGTAATGTTGTCTCCCTATAAACTTGAAGAAGCTTTTAACTTCTGGTATGTTGTTTTTTTCTTCAGTAAAGTAAGGATAAATACTGACTTCAAAAAATTCATGAGTGGTAATGATGTTACCTAATTTTTGCAGATGACAGAAGCTGTATAATTATATATGTTGCTGATGCTATACTTAGTTTTATATATTCTTAGGAAGTTTTCCTATATTATTTGTAATTGTAAATGTCGCTGAAAGTATTATTAGTAGTCACAATAGGAATGAAGAAAATGAACAACATAAAGAGTTGATTACCATACAAAGTTATTATTTTTTACAAAAGAGGTTAAGGAGCAGAATAACATCTTTGCAGACAATAAAAGCATGCCAGAAATAAATGCCCACAAAATAAATGAAAATGATACCTAATATTTCCAACTGAGCCAAAAACAATTGAGAAAATGATAGAAGCTATGAAATAAAAACATGAATCAGAATTTTAAAAACTCAGAAATATGATAATTGAAGAGAAGGAAGATTTTAACAGAGAGGTAAAGTCAGGAAAGAATTAGAAATAAAAGGAAAAAAGAATTTCAGGAATGAAGACTATGCTAGAAGGAAGGAATGCAAGGACAAAATAATGCAACAGATATTAGTTTAAGAAAAACAAAGTATGGGTGGGAGGAAAGACATTCGTAATAGCCCCAAACTAGAAACAACCCAGATATCCATCGATTGGTGAAAAGATAGAGAAAATGTTATTAATAAAGGAACACTACTTGGCAATAAAAATAATTGAACTACTTATACATACAACAATATTAATCTCAAAAGCATTATGCTACATGAAATAAGTCGGATATAAGAAAGACTATGTGCTGTGGAGTTCAATTAGATGACATTCTAAAAGATGGCAAAACATAGGAACAAAATACAGATCAGTGGTTGCTAGAGATTGAATTATGTATATGTGGGTAAGGGGGAGGCAATTGACTGCAAAGGGGCATGAGATAACTTTTTGGGGCAATGAAAATGTTCTAGAGTTTGGTCATACAGCTGTTTATGAATATTTGCCAAACTATACTTATAAATGATGAACTCTATTGTATGTTTACTACAATTCAGTAAAAAAATAAATAATAAAGGGATAAGGTTTTGAGAAAAAGTGATAGATACAGACAGATTGCTAAGAGTATTCAACACATACATAATAGAAATCTCAAAGAAAGAAAACAAAAACAGTGGAATAGAACCAATATTAACATCTTCACTTCCCTGAAATAAGATTTAAATGATTTAAAATTTCTTATTGGAAAGGCATACATATAAGAAAAAAAATCTACCTAGAAAAGTAAAAATCACTGGATTACAAAAAGGAAAAAAAAAAAAAGAAGAAAAAATTCAGTGGTCATCCAGTCTTAACAGCCAAGTCATTAATAAGAAAAAAGAATATCAAATTGTCACCGAAATTTGTCAACTGATTTTTTTTTTTCAGAAGACAGTGGAGTAACGTATTTAGGATACTCAGGGATGGAAAATGGGAGCTAAGGGTTTAGCCACATAGAACTTCAGGTATAAAGGCCACAGACAAACTTGCAAGAAATAAGGACATATTTTTCCCATAAATAGTTACTGCGGAATCTCCTGGAGAATATATGTTAGGTAATCAGAATGATGGGAGAAATATCCATGTAAGGACTGCTGGCAGTGATTGGCTGCTCAAAAAACATAAAAATAAAGACAACCATACAACTCTTGACAAAACCATACAACACCATCAATAAATTAGTCTTGCCAAAAAAGAAAGGAAAAATACAACTTAATATAATCAAGCCTTTAGATCTAACTGTCAATTTCCAGGAGAATTGGACAGAGAGAGAGGGGAATGTGAATTAGTGAATTAGATAAATAATATCATGGGGCTGCAATCAGCAAACCCCAGGCTGTGTGAAACTCTACAGGACAAACAACCCTGTTTCTTCAACAAAATTTCCAGGATAGAGAGGGAGACAGAGAGAGAGGAAAGGTACAGATTAAAAGAGATATAAGAGATATATTAACTGGCCAAGATGGCTGAATAGCAACAGAAAGCAGGTGATTTCTCCATTTCCAACTGAGTTACCCATTTGATCTCACTGGGGCTGGTTAGGTAGTGGGTCCAACCCACAGAGGGTGAGCAGAAGCAGGGTGGGGCGTTGCTTCACCCGGGAAGTGCAAGGAGATGTGGGGACCTCCCTCCCCCAGCCAAGAGAAGCCTTGAGGGACTGTGCTACCTGTCCAGTTACTATGCTTTTCCCACGGTGTTTGTAATCTGCAGATCAGGAGATTCCCTCGAGTGCCCACATCACCAGGGCCCTGGGTTTCAAGCACAAAACTGGGCAGCTGTTTGGGCAGACACCAAGCTAGCTGCAGGAGTTTTTTTCATACCCCATGGGTGCCTGGAATGCCTGAGAGACAGAACAGCTCACTCCCCTGGAAAGGGGGTTGAAGCCAAGGAGCCAAGTGGTCTTGCTCAGCGGGCCCCACTCCCATGGAGCCCAGCAAGCTAAGAACCACTGGCTTGAAATTCTTGCTGCCAGCACAGCAGTCTGAGGTCAGTCTGGGACTACCAAGCTTAGTGTGGGGAGGGGCATCCACCATTACTGAGGCTTTAGTAGGCAGTTTTCCCCTGACAGTGCTAAGGAGGCTGGGAGGTCTGGACTGGGCGGAACTCACCACAGTGCAGCAAAGTAGCTGTGGCCAGACCTTTTCTCTAAATTCCTCCTCACTGGGCAGGGCATCTCTGAAGGTAACAGCCCCAGTCACGGGCTTACAGACAAAACCTCCATGTCCCTGGGACAGAGCACCTGGGGGAAGGGGCAGCTGTGGTTGCTGCTTCAGCAGGTTTAGTTGTTCCTGCCTGTTCTCTGAAATGAGCAGCTGATCCTGACAAGAGGGATTCTCCCAGCACAGCCCACCATCTCTGCTAAGGGACAGACTGCCTCCTCATGTTGGTCCCTGACCCCCGTGCCTCCTGATGGGGAGACACCTCCCAACAGGGGTCAAAGACACCTCATTCAGGAGAGCTCGGGCTAACATCAGGCCAGTGCCCCTCTGGGACGAAGCTTCCAGAGGAAGGAGCAGGCAGCAATCTTTGCTGTTCTGCAGTCTCCACTGTGATACACAGGTACACAGGGTCTGGAGTGGACCTCTAGCAAACTGTAGCAGACCTGCAGAAGAGGAGCCTGGCTGTTAGAAGAAAAACTAACAAACAGAAAGCAACAACAACATCAACATCAACATAAAGGACCCCCACACAAAAACTCCATCTAAAGGCCATCAGCCTCAAAGATCAAAGGTAGATAAATCCACAGAGATCAGGAAAAACCAGTGCAAAAACCCTGAAAATTCCAAAAACCAGAATGCCTCTTCTCCTCCAAATGATTGCAACTCCTCTTGAGCAAGGGCACAAAACTAAATGGAGAATGAGATTGACAAATTGACAGAAGTAGGCTTCAGAAGGTGGGTAATAATGAACTCCTCTGAGCTAAAGGAGGATGTTATAATGCAATGCAAGGAAGCTAAGAACCTTGAATAGAGGTTATATAAACTGCTAACTAGAATAACTACTTTAGAGAGGAACATAAATGACTTGATGGAGCTGAAAACACAGCATGAGAACTTCGTGAAGCATACACAAGTATCAATAGCCAAATCAATCAAGCAGAAGAAAGGATATCAGAGATTGAAGATCAACTTACTGAATAAGGTGTGAAGACAAGATTAGAGGAAAAAGAATGAAAAGGAATGAACAAAGCCTTCAAGAAATATGGGACTATGTGAAAAGACCAAACCTATGATTGATTGGTGTACCTGAAAGTGGCAGGGAGAATGGAACCAAGTTGGAAAACACACTTCAGGATATTATCCAGGAGAGCTTCCCCACCCTAGCAAGACAGGCCCACATTCAAATTCAGGAAATACAGAGAATACCACTAAGATACTCCTTGAGAAGAGCAACCCCAAGACACATAATCGTCAGATTTTCCAAGGTTGTAATGAAGGAAAAAATATTAAGGGTAGCCAGAGAGAAAGGTCAGGTTACCTACAAAGGGAAGCTCATCAGACTAACAGCAGATCCCTCTGCAGAAACCCTGTGAGCCAGAAGAGAGTGGGGGCCAATATTCAACATTCATAAAGAAAATTTTCAACCTAGAATTTCACACCCAGCCAAATTAAGCTTCATAAGCAAAGGAGAAATAAAATTCTTTATAGACAGCAAATGTGGAGGGATTTTGTCACCACAAGGCCTGCCTTATAAGAGCTCCTCAAGGAAGCACTGAATATGGAAAGGAAAAACCAGTACCAGCCACTGCAAAAACACACCAAAATATAAAGACCAATTACACTACGAAGAAACTGCATCAACTAATATGCAAAATAACCAGCTAGCGTCATGATGACAGGATCAAATTCACACATAACAATATTTACCTTAAATGTAAATGGGCTAAATGCCCCAATTAAAAGACACAGACTAACCAATTGGATAGAGCCAAGACCTATTGGTGTGCTGCATTCAAGAGACCCATCTCACGTGCAAAAACACACATAGGCTCAAAATAAAGGTATGGAGGAATATTTACCAAGCAAATGGAAAGCAAAAAAAAAAAAAAAAAAAAAAAAACCCGGGGTTGCAATCCTAATCTCTGATAAAACAGTCTTTAAGCCAACAAAGATTAAAAAAAAAAAAAAAGACAAAGAAAGGCATTACATAATGGTAAAGGGATCAATGCAAGAAGAAGAGGTAACTATGCTAAACATATATGCACCCAATACAGCAGCACCCAGATTTATAAAACAAGTTTTTAGAGACTGACAAAGAGACTTAGACTCCCACACAGTAATAGTGGGAGAGTTTAACACCTCACTGTCGATATTAAATGATCACCAAGACAGAAAATTAATAAGGATATTCAGGGCTTGAACTCAGCTCTGGACTAAGCAGACCTAACAGACATCCACAGAACTCTCCACCCCAAATCAACAGAATATACATTCTTCTCAGTGCCACATAGCACTTATTCTAAAATCAACCGCATAACTGGAAGTAAAACACTCCTCACCAAATGCAAAATAATGGAAATCATAACAAACAGTCTCTCAGACCACAGTGAAATCAAATTAGAGCTCAGGATTAAGAATCTCACTCAAAACTGCACAACTACGTCGAAACTGAACAACCTGCTCCTGAATGTTTACGGGGTAAAGAGTGAAATTAAGGCAGAAATAAATAAGTTCTTTGAAACCAATGAGAACAAAGAGACAGTGTACCAGAATCTCTGGGCCACATCTAAAGCAGTGTTTAGAGGGAAATTTATAGCACTAAATGCCCACAGGATAAGGCAGGAAAGATCTAAAATCAACACCCTAACATCACAATAAAAGAACTAGAGAAGCAAGAACAAATTCCAAACCTAGAAGAAGACAAGAAATAACTAAATCAGAGCAGAACTGAAGGAGATAGAGACACAAAAACCCTTCAAAAAATCGATGAACCCAGGAGCTGGTTTTTTGAAAACATTAACAAAATACATAGACTGCTAGCAAGACTAATAAAGAAGGAAACAGAGAAGAATCAAATAGACACAATAAAAAATGATAAAGGGGATATAACCACTGATCCCACAGAAATACAAACTACCATCAGAGAATACTATAAACACCTCAACACAAATGAACTAGAAGATCTAGAAGAAATGGATAAATTCCTGTACACATTCATCCTCTCAAGACTAAACGAGGAAGAAGTCAAATCCCTGAATAGACCAATAACAAGTTCTGAAATTGAGACAGTAATTAATAGCCTACCAACCAAAAAAAGCCCAGGACCAGATGGATACACAGCCGAATTCTACCAGCAGTACAAAGAGGAGCTGGTATCATTCCTTCTGAAACTATTCCAAACAATAGAAAAAGAGGGAATCCTCGCTAACTCATTTTATGAGGCCAGCATCATCCTGATACCAAAGCCTGGCAGGGACACAACAAAAAAAGAGAATTTCAGGCCAATAACCCTGATGAACATTGACGTGAAAATCCTCAATAAAAATACTGGCAAACTGAATCCAGTAGCACATCAAAAAGCTTATCCACCACAATCAAGTTGGCTTCATCCCTGGGATGCAAGGCTTGTTCAACATATGCAAATCAATAAATGTAATCCATCACATAAACAGATCCAATGACAAAAACCACATGATTATCTCAATAGATGCAGAAAAGGCCTTTGATAAAATTCAACATCCCTTCATGCTAAAAACTCTCAATAAACTAGGTATTGATGGAACATATCTCAAAATAATAAGAGCTATTTATGACAAACCCGTAACCAACATCATACTGAATGGGCAAAAGCTGGAAACATCCCATTTGAAAACCGGCACAAGACAAGGATGCCCTTTCTCACCACTCCTATTCAACATAGCACTGGAAGTTCTGGTCAGGGCAATCAGGCAAGAGAAAGAAATAAAGGGTATTCAATTAGGAAATGAGGAAGTCAAATTGTCTCTATTTGCAAATGACATGATTGTATATTTAGAAAACCCCATTGTCTCAGCGCAGAAACTCCTTAAGCTGTTAAGTAACTTCAGCAGACTCAGGATACAAAATCAATGTGCAAAATCACAAGCATTCCTATACATCAACAATAGACAAACAGTCAAATCACGAGTGAACTCCCATTCACAACTGCTACAAAGAGAATAAAATACCAAGAAATAAAACTTACAAGGGATGCGAAGGACCTCTTCAAGGAGAACTACAAACCACTGCTCAAGGAAACAAGATAGGACACAAACAAATGGAAAAACTTTCCATGCTCACGGATAGGAAGAATCAATATCATGAAAATGGCCATACTGCCCAAAGTAATTTAAATATTCAGTGCTATTCCCATCAAGCTACCATGTCTTTCTTTGCAGAATTAGAAAAAACTACTTTAAATTTCATAGGGAACCAAAAAAGAGCCCGCACAGCCAAGACAATTCCAAGCAAAAAGAACAAAGCTGTAGGCATGATGCTACCTGACTTCAAACTATACTACAAGGGTACAGTAACCAAAACAGCGTGGTACTGGTACCAAAACAGATATATAGACCAATGGAACAGAACAGAGACCTCAGAAATAACACCACACATCTACAACCAACTGATCTTCGACAAACCTGACAAAAACAAGCAATGGGGCAAGGATTCCCTATTTAATAAATAATGTTGGGAAAACTGGCTAGCCATATGTAGAAACCTGACACTGGACCCCTTCCTTACACCTCATACAAAAATTAACTCAAGATGGATTAAGATATAAATGTAAGACCTAAAACCATAAAAACCCTAGAAGAAAACCTAGGCATTCAGAACATAGGCTTGGGCAAAGACTTCATGACTAAAACACAAAAAGCAATTGCAACAAAAGCCAAAATTGACAAATGGGATCTAATCAAACTAAAGAGCTTCTGCACGCAAAAGAAATTATCATCAGCATGAACAGGCGACCTAAGAATGGGAGAAAATTTTTGCAATCTATCCATCTGACAAAGGGTTGATATCCAGAATCTACAGGGAACTTAAACAAATTTACAAGAAAAAAACAACCTCATCAAAATGTGGGAGAAGGATATGAACAGACACTTCTCAAAAGAAGACATTTATGCAGCCAACAAACATATGAAAAAAGCTCATCATCATTGGTCATTACAGAAATGCAAATCAAAACCGTAATGAGATACCACCTCACACCAGTTAGAATGGCGATCATTAAAAAGTCAGGAAACAACAGATGCTGGCGAGGCTGTGGAGAAATAGGAATGCTTTTATCCTGTTGGTGGGAGTGTAAATTATTTCAGCCATTGTGGAAGACAGTGTGGGGATTCCTCAAGGATCTAGAACCAGAAATACTATTTGACCCAACAGTCCCATTACTGGGTAAATACCCAAAGGATTATAAATCATTCTTGTATAGAGATGCATGCACATGTATGTTTACTGCAGCACTATTTACAATAGCAAAGACTTGGAACCAACCCAAATGCTCATCAGTGATAGGCTGGATAAAGAATATGTGGCACATGTACACCATGGAATACTATGCAGCCATAAAAAAGAATGAGTTCATGTCCTTTGCAGGGACATGGATGAAGCTGGAAGCCATCATTCTCAGCAAACTAACGCAGGAACAGAAAACCAAACACTGCATGTTCTCACACATAAGTGGGAGTTGAACAGTGAGAAACATGGACACAGGGAGGGAAACGTCACACACCAGAGCCTGTTGGGGGGTGGGGGACAAAGGGAGGGAGAGCATTAGGACCAATACCTAATGCATGCGGGGCTTAAAACCTAGATGACGGGTTGATACATGCAGCAAACCACCATGGCCCATGTATACCTATGTAACAAACCTGCACGTTCTGCACATGTATCCTAGAACTTAAAGTTCAAAAAAAAAAAAAAAGAGATATATTAACCAATCGATGTGTAGACCCTTTTTGGATCCTGATTCAAAATATAAGCTGTAAAAACAAGATTATATATATATATATATATTTTCTTTCTTAGCAAGACTAATTCATTAATATATATGTATATATATAAAAACAAAACAATTGAGGAAATATATACATATATTGGACATTTGATAATATAAAGGTATTAATTTTTATGGAAGTATAATAATGGTATTGTGGTTGTATTTGAAAAGAGTATACATGGACACAGATGAAAACAATAGACACCAGAGCCTACTTGAGGTGAAGAGTGGGAGGAGGGTACGGATGGAAAAACTACCTGTTGGTTACTCTGATCATTACCTCGGTGACGAGACAATTTTTTCACCAAACTCCTGTGACACACAATTTACCCATGTAACAAAACTGCACATGAACCCCCGAACCTAAAATAAAAGTTGGAAGGAAAAAAAAACAAAAACAAAAAGAAGAGTTCTTATCTTTTAGCAATATGTACTGAAATATTATTTAAACAGAATGTTAGGATGCTTAGGATTTGCTTCAAATTAATTTGAGGTTGGGGGAGTGGGTAGGAACAAACAAGATTGGACAACAGTTAATACCTGTTATTGCTGGGTGTTGGGTACATGGGAGTTCATTATCCTCTTCTTTCTGTTTTTGTATGTTTTAAAATTTCCATAATAAAAAGTTTTAAAAATGGAATGACTACCATTTATATAAAGATTTTCACAAACCTGTAGTGAAGCATTATTACTCTCTTGGACAAGAAACAGAATCTTAGAGAGGTGATGATTTGCCCCAGGACATGGAACTAAATTGTCAGAATCAGGAATCCAGTCTGGATCCTCGGACACTATCTTGTCTCTGCTTGTCTATAAACCATGCTGTCTTAAAAAGCAGGATGGTTCTTTTCTTTGGTTGTTTGGATAACTCTTCCCTGTCCTCTGATCTTCAGTGTGGAAGAGGTCAGAATCCCAAGAAGTTGGTCTGTAATTCCTGCAATATCACACATTTTACTTTTCAATGAGACCCCCAATATTTCCCTCAGCTTCCATTCAGGATGCACCTCTCTGTTTCTTTTCTTTTGCCATTACATGTTAAATTTTCTTGGTTTTATTTGCTTTTAGTTTCTATTTTCTTCTTTTTTCACCTTTCATCCCCTTCTTCTATATTCCCTTTTCTCCCTAGTCTTTGTCATCAAGGGACTTTTCAATTGCTGGTTACAGCCCTTCTGTTCTTGTATGTGTTATAGATATTGTTGCTTCTCTCTCATTTTCACCCTAATTGTCATCTCCCTTTCAAAGAGTCTGATAAACTAAACCAGCAAAGGGAGCTGTCACAAGGCAGCCCTAGGATAGGAGCCCAGACAGCAGCATTCAGAATCTAGAAAAACTTGTGATTTTTCTACTGAAAATGATTAAGAGAAACACTGGCACCTTGAACACAGTAGGTACTCTGTTAATATTTACTGATGACATTAATGAAGAGAAAATTAAATGACATATTCAGAAGAGCTAGTTCTTGCCAAAAATATTTCCTACTCTGTGCCTTTTGAGTTGTGGGACTTAGTTTTCATCCCTGGATGACTTGCTTTCTATATCTGTGAAGTGAATAGACCAAAGTCCTGTGAGACAATGCCTTGCTCTTTCATGTAGTAAAGGTTAGCCCACCTCTGTAAGTATAGCAGAGAAACACTAGATTGGGAGCTTCTTGAGGGCAGGGACTTTGTTGATTCAAGTTTAGATCTCTGTCTTTAGACATCCTGTAATCACAGGATGTTGCAGGATGTTACCTTTCTTGCATAGATCAAGTGTTACAAAGAGCCTGGCAATTTACACATCTGTGCTACCATGACTTAAGACAAAAGCGCAAATCAGGATTTTTGTTTTTGTTATGTTTTATTGTCCTCCCTCCTCCCATCTTTGTCCCTCCATTCTTTCTCCCAGGTACTCCATATCCTTATGTTGTTTTCGTCTCATCAAAGCCCTGACAGAAACACAACCACTTCCAAAGACTTGCCATTCCTCAAATGTCCTGCGTTCTAATTGGACTTGCCCCCCTTTGCTCTAACAATCTTATTCCACCTTCATCAAAATTATTATTTCTAGGATACTGATTTTAGAGCATCTGTTTTAAGTGATTATTAATAATATATGAATAATAGGTAGGTTTAGTCCAAATTAATCTCTGCCTAGTGGAATGTGTGAAAAACTGTCCTAAACTCTACAGTAATGAATGCTATTGGAAGAGGTATTAACTAGGCATTCCACTAGAAAATTTGCTGATCCCTCGTCTGTTTTGTCATACCTCCCTGACTCATGGGGTGTACTGTGAGAACTGTTGCAACTCTGGGGAAGTGTTTTCCTGTCCTGCCACTAGACTTTGTGCCAGGAAATAATTTCTAGGCATTGCCTGGTAAAGTTCATCAACTTGCTTTGAAGAAGTCCTGTGAAAGCAATAGAGGGTTTTGTGTTGCTTTTCAACAGTCTCCAACGGAGGAGATTTTCACAACCTCCTTGGTATGCCAGTGTATAACAAACTATGATCACTAGCATTCCCCCAAGTAATTTAAGAAGAATTAAAAACAAGATAGGCACACAAAAGTTTATACATTTAAAAAAAGTTAGATTATTTGACATATTAAACTACCAGTAGATTCCTAGCGTTTCTTGGTAGTAGAAAACTTTTGAAAACATGTCCAATAATCTGTATAATAAAGTCAAGACAGTTTTGATCTTGATCTGTAAGAAAGTGTAATAATAACTAAATCATTATTTGAATGCTGACAAGAAAAGTACTTGCTGTACATTTACTGTTTACTTGTATTGTAGCACCACCTACTGTTGATAAAGAAACAAGCTTTTATAGCTTTCCCATTTTTCTTTGCCTCGCTAGTTAAAAGAATGTCTTTTTTTTTTTGAGATCTGATATTTTTAATGTCACAAATTTTTTTTTTTTATTATTATACTTGTCTTGGCTCGTCAGCCAGACATGCTGCTCGGAGATGTTTCTAAAGTTATGATACAGAGATTGCATTATGTCTGTTTCCAAAATGAAAGATTATGCCTTCAGTTACCTAAAGATCAGAACTGATGCTTGACATGCATATATGACATATTTTATCGCTTTTCAAATCAGATGTTTATCTTTTTATTTTCTAATAAAATAGGCTGTAGATGTTGGGAAATTACTGATTTGCTTTAAGTTCAGTTGCTCTTCCAATGAACAAATATTAAGTGGTAAAACATCAAGTCTTCTGAATATAATTACTAATATAAAATGATGTCATATTAGATCCAGGGTTAGCACTTACATACCATCACTCCCTTTCCTCCACCCTCAACAGAATCTTCATCACTAAAAAACCCACAAAACATCAACTAGGCTATTTGATATTTAGAGCTTTACTACTCAAAGTGTGGTCTGTGGACTGGACGCTTGGGCCACACCTGGGAACTGTTAGAAATGCAGGATTCTTGTCTCCCTGCATTTTAACAAGATCCCCAGGTGATTCAGATGCACATTAAGATTTGAGAAGCAATGTTTCAGGCATTTCTTGTATCCCACCCTACCCATCCCTGCCAGAAGACTGAACAGCAGTCAAACCAAGAGTAAGGTCTTTCATTACAAGTTTGAATTTACAGTATCTTATTCTCATAAAAAGTTAGATGATATTCTCTGACTCATGGCTTATTGAATGTAAATTGTATCACTGCTGTCGTTAGGGCTCACATCAGCAACTGAACAAAGAAGGCACAGTCCTTTCCCACTGGATCTGTCAGCTTCATCTCTGGGGAAAGTAATCAGGGAGCCATTTAAAGCAGCTGAGAGGAAAACTGCCAGCTCTGAAATTTTAGGGCATGCAAATGCCAACAAAATATTTAAGTTCGGTATGATAGAATCGTAGTTTGAACAGACAATAGAGGTAGGCTTAAATAATTCCTGACAATTGAAGTAGAAAGCAATACTTAGAGCTAGAATTATGAATAAATTGGAAAATTTAAAGCTTGATTTTTCTTAAGTCTAAATTTTCTTTTACCCATCTCTTTCTTCTATTTAAAAATCTAGTTAGTTTACTACAAGAGCAGTAACAGCCATTTGATTTTTGGTTAATGTTGAATTAGTTCATAAGTTTAACAAATGAATGTCATTCACAAATTTAGTTAATTTTCCTAAGACCTTTAATCCATCTAATAATCTCAAATACTTTAGATACATGAGGATAGACTTAGAAACCTAACTAGGCCAAATCTTTCAGTGAACTTAGGCCAGTTTTGAAAATGTAATAAACCAAATTTATAACTATGATAAACTAGGTTCTTTCATATTACAAAATTAATCAAATTCTTACCTTTATTAAAATCATGGCCGATATCCATTCAACATTTCAAATTAAAACTTCAAGGCAGTTTTGTATTTTGGATTCTTTAAAAACGTTTCAATAATTTTAAATAATAAACACCAAGATTGTCTCCATAATCATAAAATGTACTGCCAAAGTTAGCACTAAGTACCATGGGTTAGGCTTATGTCATTATCTCTGTATTTCTACATTTTCCTAGTGTTTCATAGTCACACAGCTAAAGATAGTAGAAGTCATCTGATCCATGACCAGTTCTGTAATGCGTTTATGGACGGTGGTAGTAATAAGAAATTGTGGACCAAAAGCAAGATCATAGTGCTACTTCCTAAACTGTGAATTAGCAGGCTGAACCTTTTAATAGTTTAAGTCTTTCTTGTCAGTGGGGGAATCCAAGTCCATGGCGAGAGCTGAGACTTAGTTTCATAGGCCATTGTCTTTTCTCCTAAGTGTATTATACATTTACTCAATTTTCATTGTAAACCCTTTCAACATTCTCTCACCCAATTTGGGTAGGTGGAATCCTGTACCCCCCACCAGGGCTATAGCTAATATCTTCATTGCACAGTTATTGTTCATTGAGACATGTACCTCCATCCATGGTATAAACTGTTTTTATTATCTGTCTCACCTCCATTTTAACAGTAATTCTGTTGACATTGCTTCTAGACTGGAGTTTGGCTAATAAGACACTGGACACTGTGTTATCTGTGCTAAGGAAGCACAGATAACGCAGCGTGTTAAGCATTCTGGGTCAGGATTTTTGTGCTGGCACAATTGTGAGTAAACCAAGAAAAATAGTCCCTATGAGATTTCTTTCAGACTTCAGCACACAGAAACCTAGTGGATTGTTCCTTAAGATAAAAGAGAGGTTTGAGAATTTACTTTTTGTCATAGTTTGGGTTCCCAGGAATCGGATTCTGAGGCTCTGAGATCTACATGCTGGAGGTTTATTGGGGTGAGTTCTTGGGAAAAGCACCTCTGAGAGGTGAGGGAAGTAAATCAACCAGAGAGAGGAGTTGAACTGCAGCTGTGACAGAGATGGCAGTATTCCTACCCAGAACTCTAAAGTGGCTCCCCTTTTCCCCCAGGCTTTATACCTCCTCCCATTTAGCAGACATGGGATGTGGAAAGCTCCCAGGGAAGGGCATGACCTTGGGTGAGGCAGCTGAGGGCAAGTCCCAGGGAGGGTCTCAGCTGAGAGCAATAAGCAGTCAACACTGCTTAGCAGGTGGGGTAAATAAGTGTCTTGATCATAAGGTGGGGTAGGAGGAGGGCAAGTATAAATGCTGTCCACCGCATTCAATAGAAGTGTTTTCTCTATTATTACTAAAGAATGGCTTGACCCAGAAAAGATCATGGTCTTTAGCCACAGAACTTAATTCTAGGAGAGGCGATATTACAGCAGACTGATCCCTGTAATGCAAATGGCAATGCCCCTCTTTGCTGAGAGGCATTGTGGAGAATGCATGAAAACATGGCAGTGATGTTGGCAGGGAGATGGCAACGAGGTTCTCTGCACCAACTGTCTCCTGCAGCTGGGAAAAGACACACAGCCTGGCTGCCAACTGTTGGGCTCATTGTGCTCTGGCTGAATTTAGTTCCCTCTTATGTCAGCTTGCAATTCTATGTTGAAGAAAATCGGTCTGGTCTGCCACCATCACCATCTCTTAGCAACTAAGAGAGATTGAAACAACAGCTGGGTAATTTGATATTGGGAACTTAAAGGTCGTGAAAATAGAATATAATGGCTGTTTGTATTAAAGGAAAAAAAAAGAGAAAATGATGTAATCCTAATGCTTAGAAATGTTTGGAATGCCACATGGGTTACAAAGAGTGAAAATCTAGTTTAAACTGGTTGGATTCTTTCTCTCTCAGAATGATTAAAGTTGAGCCCAGAAGCTCACCCAAACACACATATTTGCCTAAATATAAATCCCTGTGGAATGTTGGAGCTATAATGTGAAAAACAGTTTCTGTGTTTTTGTATTTTCTCTAAGACTGACCTACAGCTTTCTTATCACAAGTTTTGAAGCAATACTTATAACATAGATGATAATTTAGAGTTATTTTTTACTTTGCTTTTTGTGGGCAATGGGGATGGGGACTGCAGTGAAGATGGGAGAGAATGAGGTGTGGCCCTCAGACATAGTGCTGTGCAGGAAGCCTACTACTTCAGAGGCTGCCCACAGCCTCACATACAACAGGTAATAATAGAATTACATGTTTGAAAACTAGAAAATGAGAAGTAGAAGCCAGATGAAATTGTTAAAACAAGTTTTTCTTTTTTCCCTAGGGCCAGTGAGGAGACCATCTGTTTTTCAAATTAGAAAAGCCAGAAAATATAATGTTTGCTCTCAGAATGAGTCAAATGTCATACTCTAATGAAAATTCCAAAGCAGAAAGAGAGAAAGGAAGAAGAGCTTGAAATGCCAAATTAGTGGGGTGAGGTGCTTGCTGCTTGCATTCCTGCAGATCCAAGCATTTTGCAACTCTAGTAAACCTGCCAGGACAAGGTTCATTTGAAGGGGTGTGGATTACCGGGAGGTGCGGGGGGACTGACATTCTAGTGCTTTAGATGGTAGGTAACTGCCTGGTCTTGTTTCTCAGAATAACTTGTTCATCCACCACATATGTGGCTTTCATCCCAGCACATTGGGCAGGACACCACTGTTTTCTTCGTTTGGTTAATAGTTACACTTCCTTGACACCTCATACAGCTGGGTCATGGATCTGCTGCTGTTCTCAATGTGAGCATCACTGTCTTTTTTTCTTTTTCTTTTTCTTTTTTTGGGACAGGATCTCTGTCACCCAGGCTGGAGTGCGGTGGCACGATCTCAGCTCACTGCAGCCTCCACCTCCTGGGTTCAAGCGATTCTCCTGCCTCAGCCTCTCAAGTAGCTGGGATTACAGGCATGCACCACCGTGCCTGGCTAATTTTTGTATTTTTGGTAGAAACGGGGTTTCACTATGTTGGCCAGGCTGGTCTCAAACTCCTGATCTCAGGTGATCCACCCGCCTCGGCCTCCCAAAGTGCTGGGATTACAGGTGTGAGCCACGGTGCCCAGCCCACTGTCTTTTTTCATCAATGCTAAGAGAATTTAATTCTTTCCACATGAAGCGATTCTACTTCCTCAACACGTGTTTCGTTTTGTGACACAACAACTTGGAGGAGGTGAAATTCATTAACAAGGAATAAATATCTTCTCTTTATGGAGCCACTTCCTTAACCCCTCAAATCTTCCTAGACCACTTCCATCCAACGTAGAATAAGTGAACCATATGAAATTGCTGTTTTTGTGGGTCAAAGGCAATTGAATGGTAGTCTCACATGGTTCAACATCTGTATACAAGCAAGTTCTCTGATGAAAAAGCTGAGTGACTGCGAGTACCATTCTTAGAATTCTTTAGGAGAGAAGAAAGATTTCAAGGTAAACAATCTGACAAACTTATTTGTAATCAAACTAAATTCCAGGTGGGGCTGGCTTATAGTTCACACACATTAAAGAAATAGGGATTGAATCTTGCAGGAAACTAGCACTTTTCCCCAAGGGGGATGAGGATTTAAGTTTCCTTCATGGAATATGTTTCCAGTTCATTTGGTCCTGCATTTATTTTAGAAATTGTTTGATATTTGCACTTCACTCATTTTCCAAAATTTGTTCTGATTCCAGATTTCTCTGTTAAATTTCTATAAATTTGTTTATTTGCTATTTGCTTTGGAGAATAGGAATTATATGAATTTCTTGGCAAAACGGATGAAAATTCTAACCTACCATTCATTTGGGAGAGGTGTACATATGTTCACTTCCACAGCTGTAGCACATTTGTTCTCAGTTTTGTACTTTTGAGACACAGGAAGTATATTTCTTTAAATGTTCTCTCTGGAAATACATACGTAGAGCTACAGCCTGATGAACATTCCTTATACAAAGGAATGTACATCTCAGTGTAGTACTCGTCTATAATTTACTTTCAATGGTTTATGGATGTATAATAATCACAGTGAACCTTTGTTCAGCGCTTACTATATGTCAGATACTTTGCATGCACTATCATGTTTTGTCCTTATCCTGTGATGTGGGTCCTAGTCCTGACACACAACACAGGAAACTGAGGCACAGAGGTTAAGCTTCTCTTCCAAAGACCCACAGTTGTTATTATAATAATAATGCTAAGGCTGATGTTCAGGGCATCTCTAAAGCCTTCTGCTCTCTTATTTACAACACCATTCTACCTTCACATTGGCTACAGCTGATTCAGGCATCCCCTCCATTAATCCTTTTTAGTGAATGTTAGTTTTTGTTGTGGGTTCTTATTTTAAAGGTGATATTTTGGGCAAGATGTCTTGAAGGACTGATGGCAGGTGCATATTGACAATTCTATGCAGAGCAAAGCTTCCAAAAAGGCATGCTATGAATTCTGTCAATGTGGAAGATCGAGCAAAACCAGCTTCTCTTTGCAGCACTGGCATGCAACCAACCTGCTCACCTGCATCCTTACATCTTAATCTGATGAGCAGAGTCTGCAGACAGAAATCATTTTCAGCTCTTTTTTTTTTTTTTTTTTGAGACGGAGTCTCGCTGTGTCACCCAGGCTGGAGTGCAGTGGCTTATCTCTGCTCACTGCAAGCTCCGTCTCCTGGGTTCATGCCATTCTCCTGCCACAGCCTCCCAAGTAGCTGGGACTACAGGCGCCCGCCACCACGCCCGGCTAATTTTTTTGTATTTTTTTTTTAGTAGAGAAGGGGTTTCACCATGTTAGCCAGGATGGTCTCGATCTCCTGACCTCATGATCCGCCCGCCTCGGCCTCCCAAAGTGCTGGGATTACAGGCGTGAGCCACTGCGCCTGGCCTTCAGCTCTTTTAACTACTCATAAAAATGTTTTAAGTACATTTTTAACTAGCAGTACTTGTATAATATTATAATTATTATCTATTTGGTACCTTTAAATTTTCATGTTTATATGCAGAAATAAACAATATATTGTTCTTAAACATATTTTTGTGATATATTTTCTAGGACCTTATATTTATCAATTCAACAAATATTTAATGCCTACCATATGTCAAACTATTCTTGGCATAGCAGTAAACACAAGTGACAAAAATTCTGACCTCATGCTCTTAAAGTTTTTATAATGATTAGTTTTAAAAATCTTTATCCATAGAAGGCTAGGCAAGGAGGATGGATCTATATAGAAGCACTTCCTTACTGAGTTGAGAGGCTTGGGGAGAAATGCATAGTGCCTCCTTATTTGGAAGCCCCCAAAGTCATCTCAGACCCTACTTGGACATAAGTAAACAGCGAAGTAGGATCTGGAAGAGGTTTAAGTTGAACTTTCCTTGTGTGCATTATCCTCAAAGATATATTGCAATAAGATTTTTGTATAGAATGCAAGTCTCCTACTGGATTTTAGCCCTGTTTCCCATCGAATTTTATCTAGTCATATTTGACTTGTGTCAGATAAAGATTAAAACCTTCAGACACCGGGCCGCAAGTTGAAGATCTTTCTGAATCACAGTGCTAAAATAATAGGGAGGGATTTTCCGTAAGTGTTACCAAACTAAACTGGGATCCCCTTGCCTGGTGTAGCAAAGCCAAATACTGACATAGGGATTGCTGCAAGAGAAAGTGAAGCATTTATAGCAGGATGCCAAGCAAGGAGAATCAGCAGCTCACACTTAAGACCCAGCCTCCACAGTGGCTTACAAGTAAGGCCTTTTAAAGGTGAGGAGGCAGAGGTTATAGGCAAAGTCATCAATCAATACACAGAGGTTATACATTGGTTTGGCCTAAAGAGGTGGGATATCTTAAAGCGGGGTCTTACAAGTCATAGATAGATTCAAAGGTTTCCTGATTTGCAATTGGTTAAGGAGATGAAGCTTTATCTAAAAATTTGTGATCAGCAGAAAAGAAAGTTAGCTCTGGCTCATGGGTATGACCTCTTCCAGGCTCCTCAGGAAGAAATTTAGAACAAAGAACAGCAGTCAGAGTTCAGTCCTCAGTTCCCTTTTATCTGAGGTCTACATGCCAGTGGATCCATTTGGAAGGGGTCTGGGTTTCTGAAAAACAACTCACATTAAGATGTTATCTTTAATTTCTACAGGGAACATCTCATGACCCTAACTTCCTTGGCTATTGTTTTAAGCTACTGCTACCTTCTTGCTTACCAAGTTGCTCATTTACTTCTCAGGGCTAGCTAGGTGCCTGGAATTTCCATTGAAGGAGCTCCAGATCTTCCTTTATTTCCATGCCTGGCGGTGTTGAAGGGGTGTGGGAGAGAGGATAGCAGGCCCTTAAGAGGGGTCCTGGGTCCATCTTATACATAGAAGCAACTGAAGAGGAAAGCTGAGATTGGGGTTCGCAGTTCTCCCAAGCAGTGGCTGAGGCTGGCAGGTTGGAGCTCAACTCTTAGGCAACTTGGCTGTTATATGTATGTGAATGTCTGTCCTAACAAATGAATTTAGTGCTGCAATTTCAAGACGGTGTTGTATCACCGACTTGCAAAAATGCCTTCTGGCATATTTATTACTTTGGTTCCAAAAATCATATTTAGCCAGATCTTTTCAGTAATGAAGCATTTTTCTTTATAGCAATCTTGCTACAGCTGAGAGGCAATTTAGAATGGAGGTTAAGAGAGTTGATTCTTGGGGCCCAACTGTCTGGGTTCAGATTCCAGCTCCATTTCTTACAGGGTTACATAAAGCAGCTCACTGTGCCTCATTTTCTTCTTCTGTAAAATGATGGTCATGATAATAGCATCTACCTCATGGAGGTGCAATGAGCCTTAAGTTAGATAGTATTTGTGAAATTGCTTAAAATGATGCCTGGCCATAGTGAGCACTTTATAAATATAGCTAGAATGATGAGAGAGTCTTAGATTCTCCTGTCAACAGGCATTGCATGGCTGGGGTTGAGCCTCCCTAGTGAATCTTTCACATAGCTTGACAGACATAGTGGGCATCAGCCCTAAATGCCAAAAGCAAACTTGAAGATTCAGAGCAAAGGCATGTGCTGAGCATTTGCCTTGTATGGAGTTTTGGGTGCTCTTATTCAGTGATTAAGAGCCAACATTAGTGAATGTTGTTGCCAAGAAGTCACACACACACACACGTACGTGTGCCCACAAGCCAAGTCCCTGTGTGATTGCCATCAGATGTGTCAGGAAGACATCATGCCCAGATCTGTGAAACTATGGAATAGATGTCAGGGAAATGCGGGTCCATCTGCTAAACAGATGACTGAATGATTAAGTGAATAGTGAAAAGGAGAATTCCAAGCTCCAACTGGAGTCAAGATGTGAAGCAGCAGCAGTAACACTAACAGCCTGTGGGTGACAAGGATCAAAGATGGGCTAAATGTCTTCCGAGGGAAAACCAAATGTGGTAAAAGACACATCAGAGGAGACCTCTACCATAAAAAAAACAAAAATTTAATTCGATGCCAGAAAGAGATAATCAGCAAGGAGAAAACTAGATTTAGCCTGAAATATAGGTCTGCTCAAGGCTCGTCAGGGGAAAGAAGGTGAACATTCAGGTTGATTTTATAGAGAGCTCCTAGAACACATAAACTACATTGTGATGACTAAATATAAAGAAAGATGATTATCACTCTTTTAGGCAGGAAATGGGGATGGATAGAGACTGGCTGTGCAGATGGAGGAAGAGAAAATGGTTAGTGTGAGATAGGAAATGGAAGAGAAGCATAAACAGGATCCCTTGGTATAATGGCCAAGAATTCCTGATTTCTACTGTGTCCCCCCTTTGACTCAGAATAAAATTAGTATCCACAAAGAAAGAGATAGTCTTAAATTAGAGGGAGCTGAAGAAAATATTTTGGGGGGAGAGGAGATGAGAATTTGACATGTTAAAGGACTCCTAGGAATATAGGGAGAATGCTTTCTGAAAAGGAATTCCATTGACTCAGGGTTTAGACTTAGGAACATGTGACTTATACCAAGTAGACATCGACTCACTTTGATATTTTCAGTATTATATACAATTGCTTTTAAAAATTACTTCTATTGTTTTCCTTGATTACATGACTGATACATATTCTTATAAAAATGAGGAGAAAATAAAAATAATCAGTGGACCACATATGACTTACACCAAGTAAACATCGACTCCTCACTTTGATTGATTTTCAGTGTTGTATACAATTGCTTTTAAAAATTACTTCTACTGTTTTCTTGATTGTGTGATTAATACATATTCTTATAAAAATGAGAAGAAAATAAAAAATAATCAGTGGACCACTAGAGATATCCACTATTACCATTTTTGATATATTTACTTTTTCTAATTATTTACATGTAATAAAAAATTGGACTCAGATTCTATAACAATTTTATACATTGTTTCTTTAACTTAATATTATTTCCTGAATAGTTTTTTGTGTGTCATATAGATGGGCCTATATATTTATTTTTCTCACAACTTTTATGCTCAGAAAATCTCTACTAAATTAATTACTAAGGGGTTTTGCTATGGTATGAATGTTTGTGTCCCCCTACAAATTTATATGTTGAAATCCTAACCTCCAAGGAGATATATTAGAAGGTGGGGCCTTTGGGAGGTAGTCACATCATGAGGGTGGAGCCCTTATAAGGCCTGAGAGAGACCCCTTGCCTTTCTGTCACATGAGGACACAAGAAGACACTATCTGTGAATCAGAAAGAGGACCCTTGCCACACACTGAATCTACTGGCACCTTGATCTGGGACTTCCCAGCCTCCAGAACTGTGACAAATACATTTGTATTGTTTATAATCTACCCAGTTTATGGTATTTTATTATAGTTGTCCAGATGGGCTAAGGCAGATTACAAATCTTTACCTTCCTCATACTGGTGTGTGATGGTGTAGGCCCTGTGGGGCTGATTTAGGATTTCCTGGGTGCCTTGAGTTGTGAGAGGAGAAAACAGTATCTCTGCAAATGTAAGGGAATTGGACCTTGGAGTTGGGGTTTGTGTCTCTTACTAGTCTGTCTTTGAGGTATTTTGCTAAACTTCTATTTCCTAATTCAAACAAATGATAGAGAGCTGCTTGACTGAGAGAAAAATACTAACTCCTATATCAGATATTTAGAAGAAGCAGTTGAACAGTTCTTTAGAGTTGGGTGAAAAAAAATCATAGCCCCAACTAAAAATGCTGGGGTCACAATTGAAGAGGAAAAAAATTCACAATTGACCTGAATAGTAAATTCTCTAATGTGGGATCTTGCATTAATGAAAGATCTGGGTTAAGCCCTCAAGTCTAATGATTGAAACAATAGTACAGTATGCAGGATCCAAAGGACTTTCTTCTTAAAAAGTTGTGCCGTAGTCATGATGAAGGTGTCCATTCATGGTCAGTTATGTGCTCTGATGTTGAATTTCTTACTGTAATTTGTAGATATTTGTGTAAAATGACTCATGCAACTATTCTGAGGGAAGGAAGCAGTTTGGTGATTTAGTATAAACCAGAATGGAGCCAGAATATTTTTAGAACCCAAAGTTTTTTAAAAATCTGTTTTCATTTATCATTTATTTGAATTTAGGTCTCACTATGGTAGGTGAGGTTTGGTATGTAAAGTGATGCAAGACAAACTCTCAGGAGCCAGACTTCAATATACTTTTATGCCCAGGTCTGATTCTTCTTATTCTCCTTGGGCCTTCATTTCTGCCCACTCAAGCCTGAAGATCCTACTGGTCCAGGAAAATGTCTAGTTGGTTTTCTTGTTGCTTCAACACACAATTCATATTTACAGATTAATATATGGTAAAGACACTTTAAAAATATGAAATACATATTTCTTTCTGATGTATAAGATTGTTACAAAAAACATCAAGCAACAGATAAGTGAGAATTCTCTTTTCATGTTCTGTAGAGATAACTCCTATTGACAACTTGGTCTGTATTCTTCTAGACTTTTAGTCCATATTTCATATTTATATAATTTTTAAAACATTTATTACTATTATGTAGCCAACTCTCTTACTTTGTATATTTTAGGATCTATTTCTGCATCCATATATAAAGATCTACTTTATCTGTTCAGTATTGATTGATCTATAACCCGTGATTAGATAATCCATGCAAAGAAATAAAATTCCAAGATGGTAAACACTGAAAGGACACTTCTCCCTACCCCTATTCTCCTGCCTCACAGTTCGCAGATCCAATGATCCAGAGGCAATCATTGCTATCAATTTCATATACATCCTTCCAGAGCAAATACAAATGGCATCATTCCTGTATTCCTGTATTAGTTTGGTCTTATGCTGCTAATAAAGACATACCCGGGACTGGGTAATTTATAAAGAAAAAGAGGTTTAATGGACTCACGGTTCTACATGGCTGGGGAGGCCTCACATTCATGACAGAAGGCAAAGGAGAAGCAAAGGCACACCTTACTTGGTGGCAGGCAGGAAAACATGTGCAGGGGAATTGCCCTTTTATAAAACCGTCAGATCTTATGAGACTTATTCATTATCACGGGAACAACAGGGGAAAAACTGCCCCCATGATTCAATTACCTCCCACCGGGTCCCTCCCATGACATGTGGGGATTATGGGAGCTACAATTCAACATGAGATTTCGGTGGGGACACAGCAAAACCATATAAATTTCCTTCTGTAAACAAGCAAGCTGTAACATCTCCCAGCCTGAAAGAGGAGGAACTTTCTTTGACTTGTGTATTCCTTTCCAGCTACCACCCAATTTCTTTGCTCCTTTTAGAGCAGTAATCCTTGAAAAATTATCTCCAATTACTGTTTCCACTTCCTCTTTTCTCACTGTGATCTCAGTTTTCATCCCATACTTAAGGACTCATTGTTATGGGAGCTATACAATTCTGGCTCCTTTGTTCCATCTTGGAACAAATTGAAGGGCCTTCTTGGTTTCAAAGTTCCTTATGTGGGTGGACTGGCCCATTAGTTGAGACTGTATTATAGCACAACTTTCCTCAGCCCTACTTCCTTCCTTCCCCTTGCTTAGGGGGTCATCCCAAGATAACTCCTTAATAAACTTCCTGCACGCTAATCTCCATATTTGAATCTCCTTCTCAGGAAGACAACCTGTGACATTATCTGGTGGTGTCCTATCTGAGAATAAAAGCCTGAAGTTCTTGCAATGGCTCTGTGTGAACTGCCCCTCTCTTCCCACTGCCAACATTTCTGGCTACATCTCCTATACTCTCCCTTTTGTTCAGTTTTGTTTAGCCATTCTCTAAATATATTAAGACTAGTCATACTTTTGAGCTTTTGCACTTGCTCTTCTGACTTCCTGGGATATACTTCCCCCAGATACCCTCCTGTCTCAACCTTCATTTCCTTTAGGTCTCAATTCAAATGTCACTTGTCAGAGATTATTTCCTGACCACTCTATATAAAGCAGCATCCTCACTACTGTTCTGCTTTTCTTTTCCTTTAGAGCAATCAACACTGTTGGATACATACTATATTTTATTTACTTACTGTCTTTTCCTGTTTTGTTCTCTGCTGTATTCCAAGGGCCTGGAAAAGTGCTTGGCACAGAAAATATGTTCAAGTAATATTTATGAGTGAATGAGTTATCTTGTTTTTTAATGGAAATATATCTTCTACATAAATGTATTACAGACTTTTAATATAACAATACAACTCAGAAAACGTCCCAAATAAGAATACTATGAGCTGTAAACAACTGCATAGTTTTCTACCGTATGTAAAAACACAATTTAATTAGTCCTCTATTAATGGAGGTTTTATGTTATTTCCAGTAATGTGGTGAATAACTTTGTGATTTCTTCTGTAATGTGACTATATCTGTGAGAAATTCTAGAATTGTATTTTGCTGGGTCAAAGGGTGTGTGTGTGTGTCTGTGTGTGTGTGTGTGTATATATATATATATATATATATGTATCTTGCATTGGTAATTTTGTTAGATATAACCAAATTGTTTTCTGTAATCTTACACTAATTTACATTCTTCCCAGCAAGATATCAGCATGTGTCTTTCAGCACATCCTCACCAATATTTTAATGTTGCTAATCTGATAGGTAAAACATGGTATTTCAGTGTGATTTAATTTTTAATTCTGTTATTGAAAGTGAGGTTGAAAATATTTTCATATATTTAAAAGGCAGTTGTATTCTCTTTTGTATAATCTTTATTATAATACTTTTTCTTTATGAAGGTTTTGTGAACTTTGTCCAGTCTTTTTGATTTGTAGAAAATAGTGTGCATATTTGCAAATACTTTTCTTGGTTTGCTGTTTATCTTTTAACTTTGTTTATAGCATTTTCTATTTCAAGTAGGAATGTAAAACAGTTTTATAGTGAAGTTTGATTTTTTTTCTCTTATAGGTTTTGTGTCTTTTTTAAAAAAATTATTTATTTATTTTTTATGAGATGGAGTTTCGCTCTTTTTGCCCAGGCTGGAGCACAATGGCATGATCTCGGCTCACTGCAACCTCCGCCTCCCCGGTTCAAGCAATTCTCCTGCCTCAGCCTCCTGAGTAGCTGGGATTACAGGCATATGCCACCACTCCCAGCTAATTTTGTATTTTTAGTGGAGACGGGGTTTCTCCATGTTGGTCAGGCTGGTCTTGAACTCCCAACCTCAGGTGATCTGCATGCCTCAGCCTCCCAAAGTTCTGGGATTACAGGTGTGAGCCACTGTGCCCCCCAGATTTATTTATTGTACTTTAAGTTCTGGGATACATATGCAGAACGTGCAGGTTTGTTACATAGTATACATGGGCTATGGTGGTGGCTGCACCCATCAACCTGTCGTCTACATTAGGTATTTCTCCTAATGCTGTCCCTCACCTTGCCCCCCATCCCCTGACAGACCCTGGTGTGTATGTTCCCCTCCCTGTGTCCATATGTTCTCATTGTTCAACTCCCACTTATAAGTGAGAACATGTGGTGTTTGGTTTTCTGTTCCTGTGTTAGTTTGCTGAGAATGATGGTTTCCAGCATTATCCATGTCCCTGCAAGGGATAGGTGTTGGTATAGAATAGGGTCCCCTCCCCTGGCTGGGTCGAAGAAGGTGGTGTTGAGGTTATGGTCTGTTAACAGCATGGTGATGCCAGCAGCTAGGACTGGGAGGGATAGGAGAAGTAAGACTGCTGTGATTAGGACGGATCAGACGAAAAGGGGTGTTTGGTATTGGGTTATGGCAGGGGGTTTTATATTAATGATTGTTGTAATGAAGTTAATGGCTCCTAGGATAGAGGAGATGCCTGCTAGATGCAAGGAGAAGATGGTTAGATCTACGGAAGCTCCAGGGTGGGAGTAGTTCCCTGCTAAGGGAGGGTAGACTGTCCAACCTGTTCCGGCGCCGGCTTCCACTATGGCAGATGCAAGCAGAAGTAGGAGAGAAGGGGGTAGGAGTCAGAAGCTTATGTTGTTTATGCGGGGGAATGCCATATCGGGGGCACCGATTTTTAGGGGAACTAGTCAGTTGCCAAAGCCTCCGATTATGATAGGTATCACTATGAAGAAGATTATTACAAATGCATGGGCTGTGACGATGACATTGTAGATGTGGTCGTTACCTAGAAGGTTGCCTGGTTGGCCTAGCTCAGCCCAAATAAGGAGACTTAGAGCTGTGCCCAGGACTCCAGCTCATGCGCCGAATAGTAGGTACAGTGTTCCAATGTCTTTGTGGTTTGTAGAGAACAATCAACGGTCGGCGAACATCAGTGGGATAAGGTAAAATGGCTGAGTGAAGCATTGGACTGTAAATCTAAAGACAGGGGCTAAGCCTCTTTTTACCAGCTCTGAGGTGATTTTCATATTGAATTGCAAATTCGAAGAAGCAGCTTCAAACCTGGCGGGGCTTCTCCCGCCTTTTTTTCCTGCGGCGGGAGAAGTAGATTGAAGCGTTGATTAGGGTGTTTAGCTGTTAACTAAGTGTTTATGGGTTTAAGTCCAATTGATCTAGTAAGGGCTTAGCTTAATTAAAGTGGCTGATTTGCGTTCAGTTGATGCAGAGTGGGGTTTTGCAGTCCTTAGCTGCAAATGAGTCCTTAGCAAGGGACTCATTCTTTTTTATGGCTGCATAATATTCCATGATGTATATGTGCCACATATTCTTTATCCAGTCTATCATTGATGGGCATTTGAGTTGGTTCCAAGTCTTTGCTATTGTGAATAGTGCTGCAATAAACATATGTATGCATGTGTCTTTATAGTAGAATGATTTATAATCGTTTGAGTATACACCCAGTAATGGGACTGCTGGGTCAAATAGTATTTCTGGTTCTAGATCCTTGAGGAATCGCCACACTGTCTTCCACAATGGTTGAAATAATTTACACTCCCACCAACAGTGTAAAAGCATTCCTATTTCTCCATAGCCTCACCAGCATCTGTTGTTTCCTGACTTTTTAATGATTGCCATTCTAACTGGTGTGAGATGGTATCTCATTGTGGTTTTGATTTGCATTTCTCTAATGACCAGTGATGATGAGCTTTTTTTCATACGTGTGTTGGCTGCATAAATGTCTTCTTTTGAGAAGTGTCTGTTCATACCCTTCGCCCACCTTTTAATGGGGTTGTTTGTTTTTTTTCTTGTAAATTTGTTTAAGTTCCTTGTAGATTCTGGATATTAGCCCTTTGTCAGATGGATAGATTGCAAAATTTTTCTCCCATTCTGTAGGTTGCCTGTTCACTCTGATGATAATTCCTTTGGCTGTGCAGAAGCTCTTTAGTTTGATTAGATCCCATTTGTCAATTTTGGCTTTTGTTGCAATAGCTTTTGGTGTTTTAGTCATGAAGTCTTTGCCCATGCCTATGTCCTGAATGGTATTGCCTAGGTTTTCTTCTTCTAGAGTTTTTATGGTTTTAGGCCTTACGTTTAAATCTTCAATCCATCTTGAGTTAATTTTTGTATAAGGTGTAAGGAAGGGGTCTAGTTTCAGTTTTCTGCATATGGCTAGCCAGTTTTCCCAACACTGTTTATTAAATAGGGAATCCTTTTTCCATTGCTTGTTTGTGTCAGGTTTGTCAAGGGTCAGATGGTCGTAGATGTGGTGTTATTTCTGAGGCCTCTGCTCTGTTCCATTGGTCTATATATCTGTTTTTGTACCAGTACCATGCTGTTTTGGTTACCGTATGCTTGTAGTATAGTTTGAAGTCAGGTAGTATGATGCCTCCAGCTTTGTTCTTTTTGCTTAGGATTGTCTTGGCTATATGGGCTCTTTTTTGGTTCCATATTAAATTTAAAGTAGTTTTTTCTAATTCTGCAAAGAAAGACGATGGTAGCTTGATGGGAATAGCATTGAATCTTTAAATTAATTTGGGCATTATGGCTATTTTCACAACATTGATTTTTCCTATCCAAGAGCATGGAATGTTTTTCCATTTGTTTGTGTTGTATCTTATTTCCTTGAGCAGTGGTTTGTAGTTCTCCTTGAAGAGATCCTTCACATCCCTTGTAAGTTTTATTTCTAGGTATTTTATTCTCTTTGTAGCAATTGTGAATGGGAGTTCACTCATGATTTGACTCTCTGTTTGTCTGTTGTTGTTGTATAGGAATGCTTGTAATTTTTGCACATTGATTTTGTATCCTGAGACTTTGCTGAAGTTACTTATCAGCTTAAGGAGGTTTTGGGCTGAGATGATGGGGTTTTCTAAATATACAAACATGTCATCTGTAAACAGAGATAATTTGACTTCCTCTCTTCCTATGTGAATACTCTTTATTTCTTTCTCTTGCCTGATTGCCCTGGCCAGAACTTCCAACGCTATGTTGAATAGGAGTGATGAGAGAGGGCATCCTCGTCTTGTGCTGGTTTTCAAAGGGAATGCTTCCAGCTTTTGCCCATTCGGTATGATATTGGCTGTGGGTTCATCATAAATAGTTCTTATTATTGTGAGAAATGCTCCATCAATACCTAGTTTATTGAGTGTTTTTAGCATGAAGTGGTGTTGAATTTTATCCCAGGCCTTTTCTGCCTCTGTTGAGATAATCATGTGGTTTTTGTCATTGGTTCTGTTTATGTGATGGATGACATTTATTGATTTGTGTATGTTGAACCAGCTTTGCATCCCAGTGATAAAGCTGACTTGATCATGGTGGATAAGTGTTTTAATGTACTGCTGGATTTGATTTGTCAGTATTTTATTGAAGATTTTCACATCAATGTTCATCAAAGATATTGGCCTGAAATTTTCTTTTTTTGTTGTTGTCTGTGCCAGGTTTTGGTATCAGGATGATGCTGGCCTCATAAAATGAGGTATGGAGGAGTCCCTCTTTTTCTATTGTTTGGAATAGTTTCAGCTCCATCAGGTCATTTATGTTTTTCTCTAAATTGGTTATTCTAGTTAGCAGTTCCTGTAAGCTTTTATCAAAGTTCTTAGCTTTCTTGCATTGGGTTAGAACCTGCTCCTTTAGCTCAGAGGAGTTTGTCATTACCCACCTTCTGAAGCCTACTTCTGTCAATTTGTCAATCTCATTCTCTGTCCAGTTTTTTGCCCTTGCTGGCGAGGAGTTGTGATCCTTTGGAGGAGAGAGACATTCTGGTTTTTGGAATTTTCAGCCTTTTTGCACTGGTTTTTCCTCATCTTCATGGATTTATCTACCTTTGGTCTTTGATGTTAGTGAACTTCGGATGGGGTTTCTGTGTGGTCATCCTTTTAGTTGATGTTGATGCTATTGCTTTCTGTTTGTTAGTTTTCCTTCTAATAGTCAGGCCCCTCTTCTGCAGGTCTGCTGGAGTTTGCTGGAGGTCCACTCGAGACCCTGTTTGCCTATCACCAGCGGAGGCTGAGGAACAGCAAAGATTGCTGCCTGCTCCTTCCTCTGGAAGCTTCGTCCCAGAGGGGCACCCACCAGATGCCAGCTGGAGCTCTCCTGTATGAGGTGTCTCTCGACCCCTGCTGGGAGGTATCTCCTTGGGGTCAGGGACCCACTTGAGGAGGCAGTCTGTCCCTTATCAGAGCTTGAGTGCTGTGTTGGGAGATCCGCTGGTCTCTTCATAGCTGGCAGGCAGGCAAATTTAAGTCTGCTAAAGCTGCGCCCACAGCTACCCCTTCCCCCAGGTGCTCTGTCCCAGGGAGGTGGGGGTTTTATCTATAAGCCCCTGACTGGGGCTGCTGCCTTTCTTTTAGAGATGCCCTGCCCGGAGAGGAGGAATCTAGAGAGGCAGTCTGGCCACAGCAGCTTTTGAGAGCTGTGGTGGCCTCCACCCAGTCCAAACTTCCTGGTGGCTTTGTTTACACTGTGAGGGGAAAACTGCCTACTCAAGCCTCAGTAATGGTGGACGCCCCTACCCCCACCAAGCTGGAGCATTGTCCAGGTGGATTTCAGACTGCTGTGCTGGCAGAGAGAATTTCAAGCCAGTGGATCTTAGTTTGCTGGGCTCCATGGGTGTGGGATTTGCTGAGCAAGATCACTTGGCTCCCTGGCTTCAGCCCCCTTTCCAGGGGACCGAACAGTTCTGTCTCACTGGGGTTCCAGGCACCACTGGGATATGAAAAGAAACTCCTGCAGCTAGCTAGGTATCTGCTCAAATGGCCGCCCAGTTTTCTGCTTGAAACTCAGGGCCCGGGTGGTGTAGGCACTGGAGGGAATCTCCTGGTCTGCAGGTTGCAAAGACAGTGGGAAAAGCATAGTATCTGGACCAGATAGCACGGTCCTTCACTCGTGGCCCTAGGGGAGGGAGTTTCCTGACCCCTTGTGCTTCCCAGGTGAGGCGACACCCCACCCTGCTTCTGCTCCCCTTGGTGGGCTACACCCACTGTCTAACCAGTCCCAACGAAATGAGGTAGGTATCTCAGTTGGAAATGCAGAAATCACCCGCCTTCTGCGTTGGTCTTGCTGGGCACTACAGACTGGAGCTGTTCCTATTCGGCCATCTTTCCCGGTAATCCCCTGGTTTTATGTCTTTATAGCTTATTTTTCCATTAAAATTTTGTAATCAGCTTGTCTAGTATCAAATAAAATATTTTTGGTGTTTTCATTAGGATGATGTTACATTTAGAGATGAATTTAGGTAGACTTGACATTTCCATAGTGTTGAGTCTCTATATTTAGAACATAGTATATTTTACTATTCAGGTCTTCCTTTATTCCCAACAATATGTATTCCCTTTTTCATGATTGATTGACTGATTAATTTTTAGAGCTGCAATCTCACTCTGTCGCCCAGGCTGTGTACAGTAGTGTGATCATAGCTCACTACAGTCTCAAACTCCTGGGCTCAAGCGATCTTCCTGCCTCAGCCTCCCAAGTAGCTAGGACTCCAGGCAGATGCCACCACGTCTAGCTAATTTTTAAAATTTTTTATAGAGATGATGTCTCTCTATGTTGCCTAGGCTGGTCTCGAACTCCTGGCCTCAAGCAATTCTTCCAATCAGTCTCTCAAAGTGCTGGGATTACAGGCATGCACCACCATGCCCAGCCCCTTTCTCTTGTTTTTAAATTGCTACATATGTGTATATGCAATGTTTTTAATTAAAAAAACTTTACAGAAAGCACCTGACCTGTAATTACCTAGATTAAAAAACAAAAATAGAACTTTGCCAGAGAAAGGAAAATAGAAACTCTTGATCAGAGAAGAGTACGTGGAATACCCTGTGGCCCTTCCTAAGTAATATACTTTTTGACTTAGTGATCATCATTTCCTTGCTTTACAGTCTTAATGCCCATGTAGGCATCTCTAAATAATATAGTTTGCCTGATCTGGTGCTTCAAATAAATATAGTCATGCCACATATATTCTTTTGTGTCTCACGTGTCCGTGTGAAGAGACCACCAAACAGGCTTTGTGTGAGCAACATGGCTGTTTATTTCACCTGGGTGCAGGCGGGCTAAGTCTGAAAAGAGAGTCAGCAAAAGGGTGGTGGGATTATCATTAGTTCTTATAGGTTTTGGGATAGGCAGTGGAGTTAGGAGCAATGTTTTTCGGACAGGGGGTGGATCTCACAAAGTACATTCTCAAGGGTGGGGAGAGTTACAGAGAACCTTCTTAAGGGTGGGGGAGATTACAAAGAACCTTCTTAAGGGTGAGGGAGGTAACAAAGTACATTGATCAGTTAGGATAGGGCAGAACAAATCACAATGGTGGAATGTCATCAGTTAAGGCTATTTTCACTTCTTTTGTGGATCTTCAGTTGCTTCAGGCCATCTGGATGTATATGTGCAGGTCACAGAGGATATGATGGCTTAGCTCGGGCTCAGAGGCCTGACATTGCTGTCTTTTGCTCAACATGTTTATGAGGTTTGTCCGTGAATGTTGCCTTTTTATAAAACACTTTTTAAAAATTAATATATTCAGATCACCATATAATTTTTAAAAATTTCTTTCAAACATGAAACAGACCTTACTTTCCTGGAATGAATCAATCCAACGTGGATATATAACTTTTATGTTATATTCATAGTTTATAGCCAAATTCATCTTACGAGGACTGGTCTACTTCTAGTTTACCTTTACCTTTACTCCTCTGAAGTGGTCCTTTAGAGGTCCTTCTGAAAGCCTAAATTTTTACCAGGGCCTCTCCTCCTTAGTGGGTTCTGAGCTCCAGTTTTTGTCCCTGCAGCACTGAAAATGGCTAGAAGTTCAGTTTAGCTTCTTAAGCTCTAGATTCGGCTTATACATCTGCAAAGACCTTGAGGGGGAAAATGGTGCCAAATGTCTTACTTCTGTAAATTTGCATTCTCTATGAGAATATTTATACTATATCTTCAGAACTGATTCTTATTTGTCTAGCTTGTTTGGTTGTTCTCAGTGAGGTAGTTGGTCTACATAGGCTAGTCTGCTATAATCAGAAGGAAATATCAAGAAATAATATAAATTGGCAATTTAAGATTCAGTCAAAGTGCAAATAGTATTATCAGTGAATAGTGATGATAATTTTATGTCGATGCCTCTGGGAGGAACAAAGGTAGCACAAGCTACCTCAAATACCAGAAAAGACATTTAATATCCTAAGGGTTGCTGAGGTGATCTGGCTGTGGCATCTGTCACCCCACCAATCTCAGATTAATTCTGATCATCTCAAAAGCTGGGCAGAATCTCCCTTCTCCCTAATTGCTTCATATGTATCCCACCAGATGCTTCCTCCTGGTTTAATCAATTACCCATGCCAAGAAATGAAGAGTTATTTATCCTAACTTCTATGCATCTTCTCCCACAATGTCCAACTGGTTACCAAATTACGTCTATTTTATCTCCCAATGTTTATATAATTTGTTCACTCCTTTCCATCTCCACTGCCTTTGCTTAGGTCTAACTGTTATAATTTGTCTGAGTTATTGAAAAGACCTCTACTGTCATTCCTCTATCAAAACAAGGAAAGATCTCTCTAAATACAAATCTCGCTCAAACTTTTGGTACTGTGCTTAAAATCCAAAAGTGGCTCTCTATAACCCATAGAATGAAATTACATATGTTATGTGGCTGTCCTCCCTGTGGCAGATACTGAAGGCAGGCAATGTGTGATGTGGGATACTCAGAAACTTCTGTCCTTGTTCAGGGACTACCCCTTTCCAGCATATGACTGGAGCACATGACAACCTCTCTGGACCTTGATTTCCTCCTTTACAAGAAGAGGAAATTGAACCAGAATATTTCCAACTCCAGTGACTTTGTGATTCTGAATCATTGCCTTAAAATATATTGTTTGCTTTTAAAAATTAATCTTATGTTTATACCAACATCCATATTAGGTTGTACAAATTTTATGTAGAATAATCTCAGACATCAACTATGTAATTTTTATGTAGCAACAATTGATTTTATCTGCAGTGATTCATGACTCAAGTGGGAAACTAAATCCCGATTTAACTAAATCATTTTAATTGACGTTCTCCACCATTAAAAGGCCTGTAGAAGTCCCTCAAGATTAAGATACATGCAACCTGTGATCCTAGAAATCCCTTCCTCTGTACTAGCCTGAAGTGTGAGGGTTATCTTATTATCCAGTTACATCTCTTGACTCTCTGCTCATTCCCACCCTTGCAAACTAAGCTCTTCTCTGTTATTCTCAGCCCCCTCAACAAAAATACCTCATACTATCCTTCTACATCTCATGTGATGCCCCTTCCTCCTTGCATGCTTTCTCCCATTGCCCATGTCTGGCTCTCTCTTACTTGGCCTTTAGAACTCAGCTTTGCCTCACCTCCTCTAATTGCCTTCTCTCTCTTTTTCTGGGTTAGGTGTCCCTCCTCTTTTTCCTGTTCTCTTGACACACTCTGTAGATATCACTGTGCTTCTCAAACTACATTGTAATATATATATATATATATAGAGAGAGAGAGAGAGAGAGAGAGAGAGGCATTTGGATACATGCATATATATATATATACCTCACATAACTTTCAGTGTGTGGCAGATTTATGGAAAATTATGTTTGTATTTTTCTTAAGTTCTCTTAGGAATATGTTTCAAATAAGCATAGCTTTCCAGACTGATGTTAATACTTGGTTCTAGTCAGAAAATCTTGTCTTCATTTTGTCATCTTTCTTCTTTTGTGCTGGCAAGAGCTGACAGCTATTTAAATGAGAATTAAAAATAGATCCCTGTGAAGTACATGTTCCTTTTTTTTCCCTGCCAGGATATAACTGACCACAGAACTGGGATTATCTTTCTCTCTCTTAAAAAAAATTCTCCATGGGCTGTGCTATCTAATATAGATAAAATCTAGTGATGAAAAAAATAACTCCTAAGAGATATTCCAGTGGTCCAAATACTTTTGCCACTCCTATTAGAAAATATGCCTTTTTCTTATTCTTAAAGGATATTCAAATAATTTAAAGGTTAAAGTGCCACCAGTTTATGTCAAACTGGTGTTTATGAAAACCATAAAAATGAAATGCCACCATTATAATCTGTGATTAATCTACATTGTGAATTTGCTTTGACTATGGGATGTGTCTTGCCTTTCTGTATTATTATCACAAATGGAAGAACCTCAGCCTGTGGAAAGTCGGAACTGGGGTGCTGGAGAAAAAGGGTAACTGTTTGTCAGAGAAGGAACTATGTTTGAAAGGCTTTTGGCCTGAGGAAGGTAGATTCTAATTTATCGTCAGAAGTGACTGGAGCAAACCTGGCTTAAGACTGAGGCTGAGAATGGGCTCTAAGGCACACTCTTTGTTTGTTTGTTTGTTTGTTTTTTGAGACAGGGTCTCTCTCTGTCACCCAGGCTGGAGTATACTGGTGCGATCACGGTGCACTGCAGCCTTGACTTCCAGGGCTTGGGCAGTCCTCCCACCTCAGCCTCCCAAGTAGCTGGGAACAGGCTTGTACCACTACACCTGGCTAATTTTTTATTTTAATTCTTTTGTAGAGATGGGGTTTCACTATATTGCTTAGGGTGGTTTTGTACTCCAGGGCTCAAGTGATCCTCCTGCTTCAGCCTCCCAAAGTGCTTGGATTACAGGTGTGAGCTACCGCACCCGGCCTAAGGCACACTAAAAAGATTTGATATGCGATTGGATCATTTGTTTGTTCTTTCATCAAATATTCATTGAGTTTTATAATGTATTTTATAATGAAGCCTACATGACATCCATTATGTCACCTCAGGGCTGCTGGTCACTCTGAACTAACAATATCTCAGGAGACTGGGAGTTGGTTGGGGGTAGCTTGCTGAACCCAGAAGCAAGCTATGTGTGCTCCATTGATTCTATAATATTCCAGAATTCATTCATTTAGCAAACATTCACTGACATTTGTTAAGGGCCCAGTGCTGTTCTAAACCAGCTCTGCAGAGATGACCCTGACATAGCGACTGCCAACTATGGTTTTCTTAGTTGGGGAGTGAGGGAGGTAAAGAGAACATTAAGATGTCAGGCAGAGGCAAAGCCTGGGAGCACTGAGGAGGGGTCATTAAGCCAGGCAAGGAGAGTCACGAGGCTTCTAGAGGAGGTGGCCATTGAACTGACTGTCAGGAAGTTTGAGAGAGTGGTAGCCAAGGAAAGAGAAGGGACTTTCAGACTTTATCCACTTTGGTGTTCTCTCTTTTGGGAGACCATGGCTATCCATTCACGACAGATTAATTTACCCTTTTATTTCAACTTCTCTCATAATGAGATTTGAGTCATTCTTTCTACAAGTAGTTCTCAGCAAATCTCCAACCCAGGAAATTCTTCCCTATATCTAGCTATGCCCACCCCTTCCTGGAAATCCAGACTCTGTCCTGGAGTTCTGACTTTTGTGGAAACCATGAGTAGGGTGTTGATGATGAAGTTGGAAGATTTGTGAATTTATCCTGTGTTACTTCTGGGATTCAGAATGCTCAGTGCTGGCATGGAGGAACTCACATCGTAAGGAGGCACTATGCGTTTTCCTTCCACTGTTTATTTTTTTGCTAATTTCTTTTCTTTTCTGCAAAACAGTCATATTAGCCAGTCAGTGGAGTACTTTATTAGAGGTAGCATGCTTTAGTAGCTATGTGTCACATTGTAAAGGAGAACTAAGTTTCATAATTATGAAAAATGCTTAGAGTATTCTTGTATTTATAGTTTTCTCTATGAAGGGAATGAGTATTCTTTATAGGATTCTGGGCAGTTAGTTTACTTTCACTGGGACTTCCTGGGGAATGATGCACTATGTGACTGGATACTGCAGTCGGAATCTGAAATTGCTCCGTAAAACAGCTGTCCAAGTCACTTGCATGCCTCTCTTGAATTCTATGCTCCCTAACAATCCACATCTCTAACAAAACTGTCATAGTTCTATGTTTATTAGTGATGGGTCTAAGCTCTCTGTGGGTTTTTAAAGATAGGTGTATAACTTCAGTGTTTCCCGTCAGCTAAAGTAAACTACACCCCATGTTGTGGGGTGTTGAGGAAGCACTGCACACAGATTGTAAGCTTTACATGTGAGCTTTCTATTGTAACCAAGCAACTGACACATTAGACACCCCTTTGCCATCAGCTTACATTCTCTGAGAACTTAGGTCAGTGCCTAAAATAACCCTGTTAATTGTGGGGGCACATGTGGAATGAAATTCCACTTAGCAGTCTGGGAGCTGAGTGACTGAGGATTTGAAACCTTGCTATAGTTACAGTTCATAACAAGTGTCTAGGCAGTTAGACCTTAAGTGTTCAGGTATGGAAAGAAAGTCATATGTTATGTTTTAGATTCTGTTTGTAAAGCTGGTTAACTAGAGACAGCTGATGAAAAACCAAATCGACTTGAGTTACAAGATCTGGGCTTTCTCTGCTCTGCTTTCAACCTGTTGGTTGGTGGTGGAGTAGCTGACAGAAGCGAATGGCTTGGCTGAGGGACATGAAGTGACAGCAGCCTGTTTAGGACCACACCACATTTTGGACCTCTTGCTGTGCAGTTCAGGTAGGCTGTTGTTTATCTGGCATTCCTTATAAGACTGACAGAAGTCATTAAACTGTTCAGTTTCAGAGTTGGGCATGAGAATCTCAAGCCTCTCTCCTGCACATAGCACGTTTATGTTAGTGGACACTGCTTCACTCCCTAACTAGACAGTATGCCAAATGAACGTCTTCGTATTGTTGTTACCCAAGTTCACTTAAATTCTAGGACATAAGGGAGGCTGAGAGCATTCACACAAAGTGCGACTTATCTGGCGCGTGGTAAAATGCATCTTTAAAATTTACCTTCCTCTTTTCTGTTTTATTTTCCTTATTCTTGTTCCAAAAGGCAGGCTTTTGTGTTTGTGGGAAACAGTGGGAGAAAATGTTAAGCCTGTTAGTATATTCCAGAACATATGGTTTTCTTATTTTTTTAAACTGCTTAATAGGGTCTGGGTTTTATTTGAAGAGTAAGATGAAAATCAACACTACTCTTTTCCAAATAAACTCAGTTAAACTACTGTTTGTGCCCGTATCAGTGTAAGTAACATAAATTGCTGCAATATTGTTGTTCTTCTTACCCCAATGTTGACCTGTATTATAAAGTATCAAATTTAGTTTTGGCTTCAAGTATCTGGCACATAAAGTAAGTATACAAATGCTGTATAATAAGTATGTGAATGCTGTAAATGATGCTTTGGGACTTCTACCTGATTAGGTTATTTAATCCAGCATTTATTCAAACTTATACCTCATGTCACATGACAGACATATTCCTAAAACATGTAAATCAGGTTTTGTAATTAGAATGACTTAACACATACTTGGAAAGCTGATCACTTTTAAGGAATCTATGTATAAAATGAATAGAGAGTTACAACTAAATTTATGCTTTGATGGTTCTTTTTTGCATGTCAGGTTCTTAAATTGAGATTCACTGATGGTGCATAACTTTGGATAAGTTTCTCAGGAACAAAAACTGCATTTTTATGATCTTGAAGTATACACACAGATGTACATGTATATGTACATGTGTATATATATGTATATTATATGATCACATGAAGCCCTTGGGGGTCCTTAGAAGGATGTCTAAGGGGATTTGGGAGTGGCCTATTGATATATTGGATGTTAAATTGTGCCTTCGGTGGAGAAAGATTTTCTGGAGAGAAGGGTCATGGTCTGAGACTTGAGATTAAAAAAAAAAAGTTGAAAAGAATATTTTCCTACTGTTTGTATATTAATGTCACTAATATACTTGAAAAGCTGCAGTATTATTACCCATCTAACATATTGTTAATGTATTGCAGCCTCAGGAATTATTAGCTTGAACCATATGAAATTGCCAATATTTGACAATTTTTGACCTATAAAAATGGCAATTTTGTATGGCTCAACCTAGTTATTTAATGAACATTAACTCATATTAATGAAAGGTTAGCCTTAAGTGCCCAACAGTAGTCGTATGAACCAAATATATTCTTATAATTGAAGTATGAGAGCTGTCTAGTTAAAAAGTAGATCATCCAGAGTTACTTCCTGTGAATAAATCCAGTATGCATGTGTTATGTCCTTCTTTTAATTCTTAACTTCTTTGTTTGGTCTCTTAAAAAGAACTTATGTTTCTGCCAAGTGCTGCCTACGGTGTTTTTGAGATCCGGAGACCGTGGGCATACATCCTCAATGGCTGGGAGTTGATATTTAGCAGGATTTGGGGGTTATCTTTGAGAAAGTTCATCCTCTGGATAGCTTGCCAGTAATCGAATGTGTGTCACAGTGTTAGGGTCTCTCTATGCATAGTATCTTAGTGTTCTTTTTCCTTTTCTAGAGTGAAATCTGAAGTCATTGATTTGAAACCTTTCCTCATGTTTATATAGGTGTTTGGTGCTATAAATTATCTCCTAAGTCCTGCTTTTAGTGAGAATCTCATGTTGTATGTTTGTTTTCATTCATTTAAAATGCTTTCTCATTTACATTTTGACTTTCTTGACTCATGGAGTATTTAGAAGTGCATTATTTCTTTTCTAAGTATTTGGGGATTTTCCAAAAGTCTTTCTATAATTCAGTTGTGGTCAGAGAACATACTTTTTATAAGTTGAATCTTTTAAAATTTATTGAGACTCATTTTATGATCATAGTCTATCTTGGGAAATGTTCCATAGACACTTGAAAAGAATGTATTCTACTGTTTTAGTAGAAAAGAAAGTATTCTACTGTTTTGGTTGACTCTCCTAATTTACCTAAAATGGCACTAGGTCAAGTTGGTTGCTAGTGTTGTTCACATCTTCTCTCTATGCCCTTAGTGATTTTATATATATATATATTTTTTTCCAATCAATTTTTGAAAGAGGGGCATTAAAATCTCCAATTAAAATTGTGAATTTGTCTGTTTCTCCTTGAAGTTCTTTCAGTTTTTGCTATATGTATTTTGAAGCTGTCTCATTAGGTGAATTAACATTTAGGATTGTTGTGCTCCTTGATGAACTCATCCCTTTATCATTATAAAATGATCCTTTTTATCCTTGGTTATAGTCTTTGCTCTGAAATTTACTTTTTCTCATGTCAATATAGCCATTTCAGCTTTCTTTGAAAGTCTTTTCTTTTTTAGGGAGTTTCAATCTAAGGTATTTATGTAAAAACTGTGAAACTAATTTATTAAAATACTTATTCGATTAATCAAGGTATAAGTAGAATTCACTGATAGTTTTCAGTCGTCCTTCTACAATTCCATTTCTACAATGTTATGGCTTTTATAGTCCTTCCTCCTCCATTGTCATGTGACTGTCATTTTACAGCCCACATAATGCAAGATTTTCATATACTTAACATTTAGCATGAAATGAGCACTGGCCAATTAGAATGAGTGCCAGATATAAAAGGTATGGCTTCACTGGTGCATGCTGGCTGAATATCAGTCCTGAATATATAACAATTAATGTCTCCTGAGTTAGGTGCAGGAGCCATTTTTTTCCAGTCATTCATATGAAACTCTAGCTTCTATAGATACCTTAAAAATTAAAATAATCTTTAACACTTAGAATTCTAAGCACTATTTAGTAATCAAATATATCAATATGTATATCAACATCTTAAGGCATGACTTCTTTATATTAAGGGAAAATTCCACAACAGAACTTATTTTAGATATTGGCCTTAAAACTTTTATTTTAGATATTGACTATTTTATGTAGCAAATATTTGTTCATTAATCCACCAGTTTGTTTGCTTTTTTTAATTGAGGCTTTCCTGTAGGTCAGCCATTGGGAATTCGAGGATGAGCAACACTACTTGGTCTTGCCCTTAAGAAACTACTGTAGTCAGGGAGCGAGAACTATTCCCAGTTCTGGTGCACTCAAGATATCATGTGGCAGAGGGGTAAGTGGGCGGGAGGGTGTAAGAGGACATCCCTTGGCCTCACAAGATCTCTCAAGGTGTAAGAGCCAAAAACAATTTAACTTCATTTACATATGTCCAAAAAGGTAGCAATTAATTTGTAATCTATACTTTGTTCCATTCATTGAGAAACTTCACTTACCTTGTAATCAGCATACCTTCAATAATTTTTTTTTTTTGGTCCATGTCTGGGGTTTTACTGGAACCCTTCCTTTGCTTTCCATACTCTATGTAGCACATACTACCTAGTGGAGTACTCACACATTGTTGGCACTCAGTAAATATTTGTTGAACAAATAAATGAATGAATATTTGCCCCTGGTACCATGGAGGATATAGGAAAAAATTGGAGCTGTTGTTCAGCCCTTTCATGAACTGGGTATTACCTGAAGAAAGTGAAGCATCTTGGCTGTTAGCAATGTTCAATTTCTTTATCAGAGTAGTGGTTACACATGTGTTCACCTTATGATTATTTGTTATGATTTATCAACTTTTATCAAGCTATATTTCACAACACAAAAACTTAAAACACATGATAAAAAATAAGTGTAACAGCAAAAAAAAAAAAAAAAAAAGAGAGAAAGAGTGGAAGAAGGAATTTTAATTTTTAAGCCTCCCAAAGTTCTGGGATAATAAGCATGAGCTACTGTGCCCAGCCTGGGCTGTCATTTTTTATACAATTAGGAAAGTTGTTCTGCTCCCTCCTTCAGTTTTGGATGATGTTTGATTTTAGTCTTATGTAGACAGATCTTTCTGTATTATAATTTACACTGTTTAGAAGATAAATATGGTAGATAATACAAAGCAGTGTTATTGTTGCTCAGAATAGAACTTGGATAACATTTTTGACACTGTAATAATAATATTAAATATCACTATTAATATATTACATGATGGTTGAGATATTTACATAATATTTATTAATCTTATCATTGGTATGTATTATAAAACTAAAAATGATACTGAATATTATTAATATATATTTTACATGTTTAATTTTTCAATCATTAATCACTTAAAAAGAGAGCGAGATTAGACACAGTATTAGTTTGTTACATGGTTTTTAACCTAAAACTCTGACAATTTTAGTTGATGAATACTCATTCATACCAAAGACCTATTATTAGGAATAGAACTTGTTAAATATGTACATATGTACCTGATTAAAAAAACTAAAGCTTTGCAGTAAGAATTTGTATTTGTATGTACCAAAACAATATATCTATATTTAGCTCTTATCTATAAAAATCTAATTGTAATTGATATGTCTAAGAAACACCCAAAACTCAGATTTTGATTCTTTTTTCCAGGATCTTTGTACTTTATCCAGTTAGACTAGGTCTTTACTTTCAAGAAAAGAGAGACGAGAAGAGGGAAGGAAAACTCACTTAACATGTTTCATCAGCATGATCCATGAAGTTATCAGCAGGAAATATAAACAGATTATTTTAAGCAATGATCTTGCTAACAAAATACTTGAATGTGCTTTGTAGAGAAGTAGTTACCCACACATAACCCATGACCTGTTCATTTGGCAGATTGCCATGAAGTATTTACTTGATAAGATTATTTATTGACATCTAGCTTAAAATGAATATTGCATTATGTCTGAATGTGATTCTTATTACAAGGACAGAGGGATAATACAATAGTGAACCAATGATCACTTCCTATACTTCTGTCACTCTGTGACGCTGAGCATACTTCCCCAGAGTCCCTGGTTGGAAGGAGGGCACACTTACTATATGGGATGCATAGGTGCCAATGGTTGAAGTTGTGTTCATGCAGCATATCTACCCAGAATTGGTATGGTGTTGCCAGTGTAGGTGCTAATACTACTTAGAATGGTGAAGATTTGAGTACAGAAGCTTCCCTGAGAAGTTCTGTACTTTAGTCTTAATTACCATATATGGGGAAAAGTCTGTATCAAAAGGGCTGTGTATTCTTGACTGATCTTTGTGTCTCCCAACCTTTTCTCTTTTTCTTTGCTAGTTATGCCAGATGTTTCTAGTGTCTACAGGTATGATGGTCATAGTCACCACCATATCATAAGATACCTTCCCCCATTCCCTTTATCCTGACTTGGTATAAACAAGTTCCTTTTTCCTTTACCTTAACTGGGGCAGGTATGTATACAGGGAACCTTCAAATGGACTCTTAAAGAACAAAGGTCAAGCCCTGAAGTTTCCCATTGCAAGTGCATTCTAGCCTGTGGCACACCAAAGTATTTGGAAAGCTCTGCTCTATCAGTTATTCAAGGACTGAGGTTCCTTCCCTCCTAAGCAACCCTGTCCAATAAAAATACAGTAGAAGCCACAAATGAATCATACTTGCGATTTTTAAATTTTCTAAATCAAGAAAGTAAAAACACAATAAATTTTAATATCTCTTATTTAACCCAATTTGTCCAAAATATTGTTTTAACATGTAATTAATATAAAATTATTAATAAACAATTTCAAATTCTTTTTTGCACACAAAGTTTTTGAAATCCAGTGTGTATCTTATACTTAGAATACATCTCAATTTGGACTAGCAAAAACATTTCAAGTGCTACCACATTGGACAGTACAGATCTAGAGGTTCATTTTTCTAGGACCTCAGAATCCTCGATCTTCAGAATCCAGTCAGCAGACAAGGAAAAGAGAGTACATAAAATATCTCAAAGGAAGTTTTAAGGATTCAACCTGGCACCAAAGTATATCACTTCTACCCACGTTCCATTGGCCAGTATTTAGTCCATATGACCTGATCTAACTAACTGCCCAGGGCACCTGGAAAATGTCATTTAGCTGTGTGCCCAGGAGGAAAAAAAAATAGGTTTGGCGAGTACAGAGTAGAGTCTTTACCACAGCATAAGGTATTATTATTACCATATTTTACAGATCAGGAAATTGATGCCCAGGCAGATTAACTGACACTCTTGTTAATGAGAAAATGTAAGTAGATGCGAGGTCTTCACTCTCTGGAGTGATATTTCTTCCATCAGACTGCCCTTCTTTCTTTCCTTTATTTGTCCTTCAACCTCCCCTTTAACTCTGTGCATGTAGATGCAGCTCTTGCAGTAAACCTATGTCTTCAATATTTTATCACATTGGCTCTCCTAGGCTGTACTCTGACTTAATGACAGTATCCTATTACTTCTGTTTTAGAAAATGATAAGCGCCCAGTATAATGAAGCAAATATGCCTTATTACTGGATCGTTTAACTAATAGTACTATTTTCAGCATTGCATTATCATTTTGAGTGGGCCTTTTCCTTCCTCATACTGAAGCTCCTCATTCAAAGCAAAAGATTGTTAAGGTCCTCATCAAGCCATTTCAATCAATGTATAAATTGTATTTTATGTTATAATGAACAGTCTGTTCAATTGAAGTTTTTAGCTTTTTAAAAGTGCTTAGAAGAATAGTAACAGAAGTGCTCTTAATGGTGAAATTATTGAACTGAAGTGCTTGGATAAGCTGTTTTATTTCTTAAATGAAAGGAGATATTTTAGATGGAGAAATGAGATAAATATTCCTCAAAGGAGACTGGTGGTAAAGAGTGACTGCTCTCCATGGATTACTGATTATAACACAAGTGTCCATCAAGAGCAGCTTTTATTGAAGACAGTTTAATTGGACCACTGCCCTTTAGCTTTAAATTACCCACGGCAAACTGGTTTAGAGTTTTTGTTGCTGTCTGTCTTATATTTGTGAATATGAAATACATTTACAGAGCCAAAAATTTAAAAATATGAAAAGATATACAGTGAAAACGCCACCTTTTATACTCCAATGCAGAGAGCTGGCCTTTCTAACAGTTTCTCCCTTTTGTAACCCAACTTTGTAGGTACTCATTCTTCTCTTCTTGCATATTCTTCTAGAATTTGTATATGCATTTATAAGCAAATGTGAATATATATTCTTAGTTTTCCTCCTGTTTTATCCTATACATACTGTTCTGCACCTTGCTTTTTAAACTTTATACACCATGAAGATCTTTCTGCGTCAGAATATAAAGTCTTCTTATTATCCTCATTCTTATAGTTGTGTAGTGCTCTACTGAATAAATGTACCATACTGATGAACATTTAGTCTGTTTCCAATCTTTGGATATTACAAACTGTATTGCAATAAATAAGCTTGAACATAAGTCATTTCACAAAAAATGTAAACATATTGCATACATAAATTCTCAGAAGTAGAATTGCTAGTCAATATATATAGTATATGCATTTGGAATTTAATAGAAATGGCCAAACTGCTTTCCACAGTGGTTGCACTAATTTACCGTCCAACCAGGAATACTTAATAGTGCCTATTTCATGTGCCTTTCCCCATAGATTGTGTTATGAAATTTTTTTTTGCTCTGTGTCTGAAAATGATATTTTAGTGTAGCTTAAAATTATATTTCTTTTACTGTGAGAAAAGTGAGCATCTTTTCATATGTTTAACGATCATTTGTGTTACTTGTTCTATGAACTGTGCTCATATCCTTTCCCTATTTTTCAGTTGTGTTGTTGGTCTTTTCTTTTTTGACTTATAGGAGCTCTGTATTTATTATGGGGATAAGCTGTGTGGTATAAGCTGCAATATTTTTTCTACCAGTTTTTCATTTGTCTTTTGACTTTACTTATGGCATCTTTTTTCATTACTATGCATTCCTTTTCTTTTTCTACTGTAGTCAAATTTATCTTTCTTTTAATGGCCCTGGATTTTGAATTCAGAAGTCTTTCTTCACTACAGGGTTATATGTAACTTACAGGGTTTTTTTTTCTAGTAATTTTTACATTTTGATCCCCTTTTGAATCTTTGATACATTTGGGATTTATCAAGATGTATAATGGATCCAACTTACTTTTTGTCAGATATTTATCTAGTTGTTACTCTTCACTGATTTGAGATGCCCCCTTTATCACATGCCCAAATACTCATGTATATATATTTGGGTTTATTTTTTGACTTATTCTTCCCAATTATCTGTCTGCATTCTTGTCTCAATCACATAGTTTTAATTACTGAGACTTTACAATATATTTTAATATTTGCTAGACTAGGTTGCCCTTATTGCCCTTTTTTCAGTTTTGTCTGACTATTCCTATTGTCCATTTTTTTGTTAGAATCCAACTCTTTCCCATCCTACCTTTCAACCCTTCCCCCCATAAAAAGGCAAGTTTGTTATTATTTATATTAACATATATTAATGCATTATATTGATATATTAATTATTTTATAAGTATACACATACATTGATAAAATAGCTTAGTGAGGTTGCTATTTTGAGGATATGGAGTTTTCCTATCCAATAATATATTTTATTATTCAATTTTTCTTCTTAAAAAATTATTCCATAGTACTTTAAAGTTTTCTTCATTTAGGTCTTCCACATTTCTCTTAAGTTTATTCTAAGGTATTTTATCTTTGTTATTGCTATATTGTTAATGGAACCTTCAGTTATAGCTAAAAAGAGCTTGTTATTTGTATATTTTATTACTATTGATTTTCAGGTATTAATTTTTTTGTTGTTTGTTTTGTTTGTTTTTTGATATAGGGTCTTGCCCTGTTGTCCAGGCTTGAGTGTGGTGGCATGATCTTGGGTCATGGCAACCTTTGCCTCCCAGGCTCAAGCAATTCTCCTGCCCCAGCCACCAAGGTAGCTGGCACTACAGGTGTGTGCCACCACACCTGGCTAATTTTTGTATTTTTAGTAGAGACAGGTTTCGCCATATTGGCCAGGCTGGTCTCGAACTCCTGAGCTCAAGTAATCTCCCCACCTCGGCCTCCCAGGGTGCTAGGATTACAGGCATGAGCCACCATGCCTGGCCATTTGGAGATATTAATTTTTTATTCCATTATCTGATTGAATGTTTTTGCTTTTTGGAATTTTTAGTCAATTATTGAGTTTTCCCAAATATACAATCATATCATCTTTGAATAATGGTAGGCTTACCTTTTTCTTCCCAATAGTTACTCCTCTGGTCCCATTACCTTTCATTAAGTTATTTTGTCACAATAAACAACTCTCAGATCTTCATGGCTGACAACAATAAGATACAGTCGTGCTCATGTTACATACCCATTAGGGTAGGCCTCAGCTCTGCTCCATGTCTTTGTCATCTGGGACTACACTAAAGGAGTGGCTCCATCTGGGATATACTAGTCTTCTGAAATCAGACAGGAAAGCGTGACAACAGAACCAATTGATGGCTTTTAGAATTCCAGCTACCTTATTTTGGCTCACATTTCATTGTATAAAGCAAGTCATATGGCCAAGCCTGATATCAATGGTGCAAGGAAGTACAGTCCTTTCATAGGGAGGAGCACTGAATATTAGAAATGAAGAGTACAATCTACTATAACCTCTAATTAATTTTTCCAGATAGGCACAGCAAACTTCAAATAACATAATCATAACTCTTAGAGCCCACTAGCTCCAAGTACTTAATTTGTATAGACCTATAATTGTTAGTGTTAATTATCAGTTGGTTCTTTCTATATGACAAACCACTGCAGTTGACTCAAGGTGGCTGATGTTGGCCAGGCTTAGCAGGCAAGTTCCTTTTCACATATCTCGTATCTGCCTTGAATCAGTGAGTTGGCCAAGGTAGGGCTGCATCTATGGTGAGGCAAATGAGGGACTTCTCAGGCACAAAATTTAAGAGGATGACAAAAAAAACTTGGTAATCAAGATATATGATATTTTAATATAGTATTTTTGAAAACCAAAATTAATGCAACCAAATCCATGATGAACAAAATATCAAAATTTTAAACAAAGACAGAAATAAGAACAATGCTGTGCCAAGCCATATTGGAGCCTAAGCCAAAAGGGAAAATTAGTAATACTTATTCTGTCTTTATGAAAAATTATTGAAAAAGTATCACTTGAGTGTTATGTGTAAAGTATTATGTTACATGCAAAATGTATATTTTTATTTATGAGGTATATATAAATAGAGATGATTCTACTTAGTTAAGAAGTCATACGGTATTTATATCAAATAATTGTAGCTCTTTTCACAATTACAGTCTGATAATATGCACAGTAGTTTGAGAATTCATTTTTTGAAATCTCCTTTAGACATTTTTGCATTTTTCTTTGAAAGTCTTACATGGTGGCTAATTTTCATGCTTTTTATGGTAGATTTTTTTAAAAAACAGGCAAAAATTATTAAGGGTCAAGTGTTGGGTAAGTAAGCAGGGTTAAGCTGGGTATTAATCTTGATCAAAAATAAGAAATGGGCTAAGCGTCGTGGCATGGACCTGTAGTTCAAGCTACGCGGGAGGCTGAGGCAGGAGAATCACTTGAACCCGGGAAGCAGAGGTTGCAGTGAGCCAAGATCATGTCACTGCACTCCAGCTTGGGTGACAGAGTGAGACTCCATCTCAAATAATAATAATAATGATAATAATTATAAAATGAGATATACACATAAAAAAGTTAATAAACTGCAAATGCCATAAAGTTGTTATTTATTATTGATATAGCTAAACAAGTTTGGGTTTATGTGTTTCTGAATCAGGGGCTGGATAACTGATCCATTCACAGATTTATTGATTAATGAATGGACTGCCCTCACCTAATGGCCGATAAGTCTAGGTGTGTCTAGATACTCACATATGCATACATAATCAAGGCCAGATCTTACAACCAAGCATGACTGAAATTCTGGAGGAAGGGACAGGGAACAGTTGATATAGATGTGGTAGGGACTGGTCACCCCATAGTAGAGCATTTGCTACTCTTTGTAGTCTTTTATTTTCAGTTTCTACATCACGACAGAACAAATAGAACTGTGGCTTTTGGGTTGGGTGTCATGGCTCACACCTGTAATCCCAATACTTTGGGAAGTCGAGGCAGGAGGATTGCCTGAAGCCAGGATTTCAAGAACTATGACTTTTGTCATAGTTGGGATTACAGGCACCTGCTACCACACCCGGCTAATTTTTATATTTTTACCAGAGACGGGGTTTCACCATGTTAGCCAGGCTGGTCTTGAACTCTTGACCTCAAGTGATCTGCCCACTTTGGCCTCCCAAAGTGTTGGGATTACAGGTGTGAGCCACCACACCCAGCCCCTCATTTTAGTTCTTTTACCTCAAAAAAATTGCGCATCTCTTTTTCTCTGTGTGCATGTATAATTATACACATTCATACACACATATACACACACACTTCTTAGGAAAACATTAAGAAAAAAAGTCTAGGTAAATGCTTAAAAATCATTTTTTTTCCTGAGTTATACAAAGGAAGGAGACACTGGTGACTAGCATAAGATAAATTAAATATATTAGAGGGTTTTTGTTTGTTGGCTGGCAAGATTGAGTAAAATTTTTGACCATCTTCTTTCCAGCTTAGTCAGTTATACACATATTGTCTGTATCTATCCAACAATTGCTTGTTATTTGTCAGTGATATTAGTCAGGTAATTATAGCATAGCAAACCTCAATTGGGCATTTATAGAATTACTTATAGAAAAGTAATCAGACCTGTTCCAAAATTTGTAGTCTAATGTTTGCACAAGGCACAGTAGTAATCACTAGGATAAGTAAGGTACAATTCTTCCCCTCAAAGACTTTACCATCCAGTATCTCACAATGTAAGAAATAATCTTAAGGTGGAAGGCTTTACAATTAGCAAAACAGAAACACAGGCCTCAAATTAACTTCTACATTTAAAATAAGGGTGTTGGAAACATCAAAATGCAATGGCTGGGTAGTTGTGCTTATTAAGTGGTGTGTTTGAGCATCAGAATGTATTTGGCTGATTCAGCACATTGTGGTGGTTTTTTTTTTTTCTTCCATTTCCATCCTTTTTTTCCTTCCTACACACGCAGCAAGGTATTTCACTCAGCTGTGAAATATTTACCATTGCAAGGCAACATATAATTAAGTGCCGGAATGAGTGATGCAGTCAAGTGCTATTGGAGATCAGCGGACAAAGAATTCAGTGTGGCCTGGGACAGGCATTGTAGAGGAGACAGGGCTTAAATTGGATCTTGAAAAATATTTGATCGAGCACAGAGGAGGGATAGGATGATGATGCAAGCAACAGCAATGCCATGAGCAAAAGGCAAGAACCAGAATGAGTCAGGCTTATTTCAAGGATAGTATGAAACCCATGTTCTCTGAAATGAGGATCTGGGTAGGAGGTGAAGCTGGCAAGGTAGACTGGGAAGCAGCTGATAATGGTAGAAAGGAACAAGCCATGGCCTGCAAGCCCAGAGACCTGAGTTCTGTCACTAACTGGTCTGTGTCTTTGGCAATCATTGAATCTTCTACTTCAATTATCTGTGATGTGAAATGATGCTTTCAGACTAAAAAAATCTCTAAGGTGGCTTCCTGTTTTAAAGTATTTTGTGATTCTTTTATGGTGATCCTTGATAAACTGGAATTAGGACTTTTGAATCTATCCTAACAGTCCTTAAGGTTGTTCTTAACAAGAAAATCACATAATGAAAGAGGGAATTCATCACATAGTGAAAGAGGTAATTATTGGTATTAAATTCAGTGAAGAATGATTGCCTTGGGAAAAGGGATTAGACATACTGGAGGAAGGAAACCAGCTTGAAGGCTATGCTGATAGTTCATATGGGAACAGGGTAGTTGAAATAGAAATCAAAAGGAGACAGACACTAGAACCATTGTTTATTCATTCTATGTTGATCATCAAAACTATGCTAGGTTCTGAAGATCCGGTTGCAGGAAAGACAGAAGAGGCCCCTATTCTTGTGGAACTTACATTCTAACAAAAGGAAAAACTCAGCAGGATTTGGTGATTGACCAATAGGATATTTGTGCCTTTAAGAGAATGACACTTACTGCAAGGCCAGATGTCTAGCTACAAAGGATTGACCACATAAATGTTGAACATTCATAAAATGAAATACTAGGCAGCCATACGGAATTATGAAACATACTTATTTACATGGGAGACTATTCATATGTTATTGAGTTAGAAAAACACAAATATAGAATATGATCTAGAAAATTATATACCATTTTATATGAATAATAGGATTATTAGTGATTTATCTGATTACTCTTCATTCGGTGGTTGTTTATTGAGTACCTACTTTTTTTTTTTTTGATACGGAGTCTCGCTCTGTTGCCAGGCTGGAGTGCAGTGGTGCAATCTCGGCTCACTGCAACCTCCACCTCCTGGGTTCAGCGATTCTCCTGCCTCAGCTTCCCAGGTAGCTGGGACTATAGGCGTGCACCACCATGCCCAGCTAATTTTGTATTTTTAGTAGAGACGGAGTTTCACCATGTTGGCCAGGATGGTCTTGATCTCTTGACCTTGTGATCCTGCCTTGGCCTCCCAAAGTGCTGAGATTACAGGCGTAAGCCACCATGCCCTGCCTCTTTTTTTTTTTTTTTTTTTTTTTTGAGAGAGTCTTGCTCTGTCTCCAAGGCTGGAGTGCAGTGGCGCGATCTCGGCTCACTGCAACCTCTGGCTCCTGGGTTCAAGCGATTCTCGTACCTCAGCCTCCTGAGTAGCTGGGATTACATGTGTACACTACCACGCCTGGCTAATTTTTTTTGTATTTTTAGTAGAGACGGGGTTTCGCCATGTTGTCCAGGCTGGTCTTAAACTCCTGAGCTCAGGCAATCTGCCCACCTTGGCTTGTTTATTGAGTACCTACTTTGTACCAAGCATTGTTTGGGGCTCTTAAGGATAAGTGGTAAACAAGATGGACACAGTCTGTTATTAGTTTTTTGTCTTATCTTTTCTAACTTTTTTTTGTAAGGAACTCACATTATTTTTATGGCAAAATAATTTCTTAAAAAAGTTTAAAAAAATCCTTCCATTGGCCATTTGTGTGGTATGTGTGTTTTATGAATTCTCCTTGACCATACATTTGGAGTGGGTGCACTCTTTTAAATTACACTGTTCTGTCCTGTGTCTTGTCCAGGTCTTGCACAAGATAGGAGGTGGCTCCAGGACACCAGTCTCCTTCTTAGGGTAGATTAGGGCACTGTCTGCCCTTTGGTGAAGCCAGCGTGGTCAGAACTCCCAGATTTGGTTTGGCTCCAAGGCAAATAGAGTCCTGCTGGGACTCTGCTGGCTGTTTATAGTCCTTTCAAGGGTCCGGTCATTCCAACCTTGGTGTCTATTTACGTTTGCCGTATGTTACTTGACGCTCCTTCATTCCCGTTGAAGCTGCCTCTCCCGGAAATCTCTGTCATTCCATAAGCCCTAGCTGCTGCCTCACCGTGCAGCTGACCTCATGCAGATTGAAAAACAAAATGTATTCTGGCTACATTTAAAGGAAGTTTTGAGGCCAGTTGATGGGCAAGGACTTGGCTGTATTACTTTGTGGGCGGAGCGCTTAAAGGGGGATCTAGCACTGGCTAGCACCAGATTCCAGGGCTCTTACACAAAAGCCTTTGTGTTATTTTTTCCTCCCTCTGCCCAGCTCTTCTCCCATGACTACTAATAGTGTCTCTCTGCTATAATGCACTCATCATTGCCTTCTATTTTTAAAATGCTAGATCTTGCATATGCCAAAGAACAAACAGGCAAGCAAAAAGCCACCGAATTATTAAAAAGTATTCCATGTTCCTATAATAAATTATATAAGTAAACATATGGATACATATATATATGTGTATATATATGTGTATATATATATGTGTATATATATGTATATATATGTATATATATACATATATATATGTGTATATATATATACATATATATGTGTATATATATATATACATATATATATGTGTATATATATATATATGAAGAATTACCTACAATCTTATTCCCTGGAGATATTTTGATACAATTTCTCTGTATACTTGTTTTTACTTTGTGCTCACATGGTTTTTCTAAGCTTTTGTTCTACCACTTATATAGCCTACTTATAGACCTTAAGCTGTGTCTGTACCAATGTTTTCCACCTAAGATAGACCTATTCTTTCTATAGAGAACAAATGCTATTATAATTTGGTACTTAACTACTTTTTCTAACTTCAAGATGGCCTCTTGGCCCTCATCATATGATCACAGAATATTTGTTCATTTCAAGGAAGCATTCATTTAGTTTTTCGTGTTAGCTCTAGTTATGTGAAATCTCTGGAGTCATGCTGGCCAATCTAATCCTTACTGTTTGGATTCTGTGATAACACCGAGGGCTCCTTGGGGTCACTGATGATCTTGAGCTTTGCACCAACCTGAAGGAAGAAGGAGGAGAAGACGTTCCTCTGACCAAAATCATCCCACACTTACCCTCTATCATCTGTTTAGAGTGTTAGAACATTGTTGACATTTGTGTGAGCAGTCCTGGAGCACAAATCCTTGATACAGTGTAAGTGAATGGACAAGCAACACGGACAAAGTTTAATTGCAGGGTCCATTTTTTTGCTAGTTTCAGAAATAAATTTTCCTTAGGAATTTCCTTGTTGTCAGTGTTTTCTCTCTGATTATTGAGTTCAGCTCTTTTCAGGCCAGACCTCTGTACATCTAGCTTTCTCTGTCTTCCAGAGTCTGATTAGTGTCACAAAGATGCCATGCAATTCCAAAGAGGCAAGATCTTTCTTGTTTCAGTGTTTCAGGTCTTTCTTTAATTCATTCTGTTTACAGAAATCATCTACTGCTACCTTCTTGGTTTTTTTTTTTTTTTTTTGAGACGGAGTCTCACTCTGTGGTCCAGGCTGGCTGGAGTGCAGTGGTGGATCTCAGCTCACTGCAACCTCCACCTCCTGGGTTCAAGCAATTCTCCTGCCTCAGCCTCCAAAGTAGCTGGGACTACAGGTATGTGCCACCACGCCTGGCTAATTTTTGTATTTTTTAATAGAGATGGGGTTTCACCATGTTGGCCAGGCTCGTCTAGAACTCCTGACCTCAGGTGACCCACCCACCTCGGCCTCCCAAAGTGCTAGGATTACAGGTTGTATTAACTATTGATAACCCCTTTATATATTTAGTTCCCCATACCAGTTCTTTTTGTTCGGCCGTCTACTTTTGGCCACACATTTTTTCCTCTTTTCACTGAGCTAAACTGAGTGCTGAATTGCAGTAATAATCTCATTTTAAATGTCTCGTTCATCTTTCTCTTTCCTGTGTTTTAAAATTTTATCTTTAATAGTGTACCTTACTATTTGTAAGTCACCTGCCTTCTCCCCTCTGTTTTGGAAGCAGGTAAAGTATAAATCATAGAGAGATCATATAAGTTGTCCCATCCTTGTAAATCTCTCACATAGTCTTATGCATATTTTCTGTATCTCCAGCTCAGTTGTCCCTCATTTTGTTTCTTTAATTTTATTACTTACTTTACTTGTTAATTTACTTGTAGACATTTGGATTTTCACTAGACATTCACAAGATGGTTTCTGTCTGTAGTTAAATAGTGGTGGGATGGGCATAAGATTTAGGGTACTGTGGAGGGGTGCTTTTTAATCATGTTGATTAATGTTGAAAGAAATGACTTGAGGTTTGGTTGATATTTATATTTACTCAGAGCTAATTTTTTGATTCTGTTTTTCCTTTTGTTTGCCTTCTGAAACTCCACTCGTTGTTTGATATGAGTAGAATTCTGTGTGTATAATCAGAGAGAAGAAAGTTCTTTCTCACTAAGTTTATGGTCAATCTAAGTAAGCAATGAGTTTAAAAATTACTTTATAGACGAAATTAATCTGGAGGTTTAGAAAGTGCATTGAAATTGAATTTGTTTCTTAGCTGGCAACTGATTTCAAAACTGAAGCACTTTTGAGTGCTTTGAGGGATGTTAGCCAATGTTATAGGATTATTTGAATGAACCCTTCATCCTCCATTTTGGTGTGACATTGGGACATTAATAATGAATGATTACTGTACTTGGTGGTCAGATATGCTATTCTGATCCATGTTTATTTCCCAGAGGGGCCTCTGGAAAAGGGCAATGAGGGTGGATTTAAAACCACAGTATTGGAATTCGATAACTTTAGTCTTGCTTTGTATGTCTAGGGCTTGCTGAAGAGTAGTTATAATACGGACAGTCAGTCAAGCAAGGAGCAGGCAAAATACCAAAATAGATTTTCATAACTCAGACATAAGCTGGATTCTGTGTTTTAATTTAGGCTCTAATGCTCAGCAATAAATTTTCCAGAAAATGTTCTAGATTGAAAATCTATCAGTACAAATTATTTGGGTTAGTGAAAGTAAACATAAGTTTATATAAACTAATTAGCAAAAATTATATGTTGCAATAAACCCTAAGGAATTTTGAAGGACTGAAATTTTAGTCATGCAAAGTTTATCCCCAAGGGAGGACTAAGTTCTCAGATGTCTTTACTCCCCCAGTAATTACTCAAAGGCTTGAAAGTGGAAGATTCTGTATCTTAGGGTGTTGGGGTCACTCCAGGAGGTAAACAAGATCTTGCTTTGTCAAGTGATGGAAACTGTCCATAGAACTATCTCCTCCCTTGTGGGTTTATATGAAAATGTAGAAGAGGATTGGTAATCTATTCAGCTATACTCCAGGGCAAAGCAATCAATCAAATTAAAAAGGAGATGGAGTGAGTAAGGTTCACATTCCCACTCTTATTTCAGATTAATAAGTGTATTTTCCTTACCTATGTCTTTATTTCAATTCTGCTAAACTTAAGGAAAAAACAATCAGAGCAAACACAGTTAATAATCCTAGTAACCAGAATTAATGATATGTTATTTATCTGTATACCTGGCTAATGTTACCTGGCCACCTGACATAGAGCCCTAAAAGAATGAGGGTGACTGTGGAGTGAGAGATCCCTGCTTACACAAAAAGAATGCTGGGAATCTGAGGATCCTGCTGCTTTGGTATAATTCAGTTGCCTGCTTTGATATTATACTTTGTATCCTTCTTGTGCATAGTTTGACATGCATTCCCTGACTGTTGTTTTGCCATGGAACTGACTTAACCTCTTGGTTGTTTAACTTTTTATTTTTTTTCTTATTTCTCACAAAAGAAATACATCTCTAGTGGAGAAAAATTTTAAACATACAGATAAACAGTACAATAAAAATCATTTGTAATGCTGCCACCTAGAGAAAATACTATGAATAGCTTTGACATATTTTTTACTTTAGTATACATAGCTATACTTTTTTTCTATATAGAACTCTTTTATAACTTACTTCTTTTCTGGTAACAATATGCCTTGAACATCTTCTGATGCGATTAAATATATTTTACAATGTTTTTAGCATCTGTGCATTTTTTTTCATTATGTGGAATACCACATCATGTTAAACTCATCTCTCTTTTTATAATTTTTCACCATTATAAACAAGTATTTGACAGCATTTCAGTAGGTAAATTCATTATTGCCTTAGAAAAGAATCCTGTGAATAAAATTGTTGGGTCAATGGGAGGTAATGGAGCTTTCCAAAGGTTAATCGACAGCTTGCCTTCCCATCTACCCGATATGAAAGAATGATACTGGCTTCAGAATCTGGATTTGTTGTTATCTAATTTTCAGAACCTTAACCAAAGGACTTTGATCCTATGAGGCTTCATTTCCTGTTCTGGACTCTCAGATGTGAGACCTAAAAACTTGTGTCTATAATATTAGCTCTCAACAGACATACTGTAGTTGTTTAAATACAAATCAACAGTCAAGCCAGTTGCTGTGGATATTTATTTATGTGGGGGAGGAAGGCATAGAAACACATCCTTAGAAGCTGTGCCATGGTCTTACTGATCTAAATAGATAAAAAGTACATCTAAGAAAGAGCTGCCAAAGGTCATACAATGAGTCAGCAATGAAATCCCAAATAGAACTTTGATTTCCTTAACTTCTTTCTCCCAGTAGAAAAAGTACTAATGAATAGGTCAGGAGAAAGCATTTGTAAATTAACCTGTAAGATCCTTTATACCTTGAAACGCTCCAGAATTTCAATGGAGTTACTAGAAATTTACATCAGATAAAACAAATCTAAACTGCTAATGGATATTGATAGATTCTTTACAAGATAAAATCTTAAATGACTGTAATGAAGAAAAAGCAACAGGTGGTATAGGGAGTTGAAAATGAGACTCAAAGGAATCTGTGTATACCTCTTGCCTGGGAAAGGATAAGTAGGAGGGTGGAGGAGTAATGGCCTGAACCCAGCATAGCAACTAAGGAAAACACAACAAAAAGGGCCTCTCAGGACATTAATCCTGGAGTGAAGGTGGGGGTCTTAACTTTCATTCTGAATGAACCATAGACCTTTCCTCCTCAGCTTGGTGGTATGGATCTGCACTGTTATTTCAGGGCCTGTGGCAGGGTGACCTGCAGGAGTCCTAGAATGTATTAGTCTGTTCTCATGCTACTAAAAAAAGACATACCTGAGACTGGGTAATTTATAAAGGAAAGAGGTTTAATGGGCTCAGTTCCACATGGCTGGGAGGCCTCACAATCATGGCAGAAGGCAAAGGAGAAACAAAGGCAAGTCTTGCATGGCGGCAGGCAAGAGAGCTTGTGCAGGGGAACTTCCATTTATAAAACCATCAGATCTCATAAGACTTATTCACTACCAAGAGAACGGTGTGGGGGAAACTGCCCCCATGATTCAATGATCTCCACCCGGCCCCACCTTTGACACATGGGGATTATTACAATTCAAGGTGAATTTTGGTTGGGGACACAGCAAAACTATATCAGAGAGATACCTTTCAATGTACCTAGGACTGGAACTCAAGTCTTCTGATTCTCACTTAGTACTCGTTCTACTACTTGGAAGAAATAACAGTAATTTTACAAGGTTTTTCAGAGATATGTAAAAACTTCTGGGTAACTAAAGCTTGGGCTGTCTTATGGGTGGAGTACACAAAATAAAAGAGAAAGAAAACAAAAGAAAATCTTTGGGCTTGAGAGTACAGGTCACCCATCTAGCACTGTCTTTATAGATGAGGAAACTGAGGCTCAGCAATCTATGGGGATACAGATAACCAATACACACAGGGGCCAAGAATTCAGACTCTCTGATGCCTAGCGTGATGCAAAGTGATCTAGATACATTTTTTGCTTCATATATTCTTTTCATGATCATCTTGAAGCTTTCGTTTCATGGTTTGTGAATTCAATATCGGTAACATCAGTATGTATTAAGACTTCATTTACATGTGGTACTAAACTCTGTGAAGCAAAATAGACAAAGTGCTTGCCCTACAAGAATTTCCTAAGGCAAAGAGACATAGACAGAAATGACCTATACACCACTGAACAAACAAAGCAAATATATAAATTGCATAATTTTTGCCATGTGAGATGGTGAATGAAGAGATGCTTACAGTCTGTTGCTTGAAGAGAAGACCCATCTTCATAACCCTGTGACCTACAGTAGTTACATTGGAAAGAAAAACAAAAGAGTGCTTCACCTGGCATACCTAGCATTAGAGTTGAGTTTCTTTGGTATATCATTGATGACTATCTTCAGTGATTTTTGTCCTTTTTGCGTATTCTGTGATGATCTGCAAAGACTAGAAGGTTTGCTGAGGCAGAAAGCCTCTCAGGGTATGCCTTCTAAAACCAAAGGGCTTTTCCCTCTTTGGAGGAGAATTAATGATCACGTGTTTTTGTCATATTTTTATTGAGCCTTTTTTTCCTTCTGGATGGACCTTGAAGATGGTAAAGGAACTTATAAATTCCCAATTTTTAAAACTGTATAATATGAACTGTGGTGAACAGTGAGACTAGGATATAAGTTGTTTGCTCTCAAAGACCAGATAAAGACAAATCAGAGGTGAAACTCCTCTCTTCTGTGCTGAAAAAAGGCACCTTGATCAGGTTTCTTATAAATACCTGTCCTAGTCTTTCGCTTCAGTACCAGTACTAGTAGTAGTATTAAGATAGTATTGCTATTCTGAAACTATCGTATATGTAATGTGAAATAAAACGAAAAGTAAGTATGAGATCTTCTAATTCTATTACCACAAATTTTTGGGGTGGAAGAAAGGAAATACGGATATACTATAGAAGATATTAGGTAAAAACCCTGTATTCCTGAATTTGAATTGGATATATCAATTGTGAACTCATAGGTGTTTTATTTTTCAATACATGTTTTTCCTAGCTCTATTAATGAAAAAAGCCTAGACACAGTGACCAATTCAGTAGTAATGAACAGCCCTATTGCCTTGATGGTGGTCTGAAAAATCTTTTCCCATTAAAGGAAACCAAGCCTTCTTAGAAAAATATCTGATTTTACATCACATACAAGATGAGCAAAGAAGCTATCAAAGATTACTATTACAGAATAGTCAACTTGAAGCTAGATTGAAGGAGATCCCACTGGCCAAAGATGGGCAACTCTCAATAAGGTTAGAACTGCAGTGAATCAAAAGTGGATCATATATGTTTAAATCCATGAGTATGCAATGATATCAAGTAAGACGACCAGTTGGTTACCTTCTGAATATGACAGAATCAATTCATTTCCTCGAAAACTAGCTAAAGAAAATTAAAGAATCAAATATTTATCTTAACTTTCCTTTATGAATTTTACCTGTATGAGCAAATAGTTGATAAAGGGAAGCATCTTCTATTGAAGTTATTCTAGCTAATAAATGAAAACAAAATGATAGAATATCATCATGCTGGAGGCTGTTCAAAGATGGCAGAATAGGAACAGCTGCAGTCTACAGCTCCCAGTGTAAGTGACGCAGAAGACGGGTGATTTCTGCGTTTCCAACTGAGGTACTGGGTTCATCTCACTGAGGATTGTTGGACAGTGGGTGCAGCCTATGGAGTGTGAGCCAAAGCAGGGCGGGGCATCACCTCACCCTAATAGCTGTGCTTTTCCAGTGGTCTTACCAAATGGCACACCAGGAGATTATATCCTGCTTCTGGCTCAGAGGGTCCTATGCCCACGGAGCCTCGCTCACTGCTAGCACAGCAGTATGAGAGCGAACTGCAAGGCAGCAGCAAGGCTGGGGGAGGGGCGTCCACCATTGCTGAGGCTTGAGTAGGTAAACAAAGCAGCCTGGAAGCTCGAACTGGGTGGAGCCCACTGCAGCTCAAGGAGGCCTGCCTACCTCTGTAGACTCCACCTCTGTGGGCAGGGCATAGCTGAACAAAAGGCAACAGAAACTTCTGCACACTTAAACCTCCCTGTCTGACAGTTTTGAAGAGAGCAGTGGTTCTCCTAGCACGGAGTTTGAGATCTGAGAAGGGACAGACCGCCTCCTCAAGTGGGTCCCTGACGCCCGAGTAGCCTAACTGGGAGACACGTCCCAGAAGGGGCCGACTGACACCTCATACAGCTGGGTGCCCCTCTGAGACGAAGCTTCCAGAGGAAGGATCAGGCAGCAACATTTACCGTTCTGCAACATTTGCTGTTCTGCAGCCTGTGCTGGTGATACCCAGGCAAACAGGTTCTGGAGTGGACCTCCAGCAAACTCCAAAAGACTTGCAGAGGGTCCTGACTGTTAGAAGGAAAACTAACAAACAGAAAGGACATCTACACCAAAACCCCATCTGTCCATCACCATCATCAAAGACCAAAGGTAGACAAAACCACAAAGATAGGGAGAAACCAGAGCAGAAAAGCTGAAAATTCTAAAAATCAGAGCACCTCTTTTCCTCCAAAGGAAAGCAGTTCCTCACCAGCAATGGAACAAAGCTGGATGGGGAATGACTTTGATGAGAGAAGAAGGCTTCAGAGGATCGGTAATAACAGACTTCTCTGAGCTAAAGGAGGATGTTTGAACCCATCGCAAAGAAGATAAAAACCTTGAAAAAAGATTAGACGAATGGCTAACTAGAATAAACAGCATAGAAAAGACCTTAAATGAACTGTTGGAGCTGAAAACCATGGCACGAGAACTACGTGACACATGCACAAGCTTCAGTAGCCAATTCGATCAAGTGGAAGAAAGGGTATCAGTGATTGAAGATCAAATGTATGAAATGAAGCGAGAAGAGAAGTTTAGAAGAAAAAGAGTAAAAAGAAACGAACAAAGCCTCCAAGAAATATGGGACTATGTGAAAAGACCAAATCTACGTCTGATTGGTGTACCTGAAAGTGACGGGGAGAATGGAACCAAGTTGGAAAACACTATTCAGGATATTATCCAGGAGAACTTCACCAACCTAGAAAGGCAGACCAACATTCAAATTCAGGAAATACAGAGAATGCCACAAAGATACTCCTTGAGAAGAGAAACTCCAAGACACATAATTGTCAGATTCACCAAAGTTGAAATGAAGAAAAACATGTTAAGGGCAGCCAGAGAGAAAGGTCGGGTTACCCACAAAGGGAAGCCCATCAGACTAACAGCAGATCTCTCAGCAGAAACTCTACAAGCCAGAAGAGAGTGGGAGCCAATATTCAACATCTTAAAGAAAAGAATTTTCAACCCAGAATTTCTTATCCAGCCAAACTAAGCTTCAGAAGTGAAGGAGAAATAAAATCCTTTACAGACAAGCAAATGCTGAGAGATTTTGTCACCACCAGGCCTGCCTTACAAGAACTCCTGAAGGAAGCACTGAACATGGAAAGGAACGACCAGTACCAGCCACTGCAAAAACATGCCAAATTGTAAAGACCATTGAGGCTAGGAAGTAACTGCATCAACTAACGAGCAAAATAACCAACTAACATCATAATGACAGGATGAAATTCACACATAACAATATTAACCGTAAGTGTAAATGGGCTAAATGCTCCAATTAAAAGACACAGACTGGCAAATTGGATAAAGTGTCAAGACCCATCAGTGTGCTGTATTCAGGAGACCCATCTCACATGCAGAGACACACAAAAACTCAAAATAAAGGGATGGAGGAAGACCTACCAAGCAAATGGAAAACAAAAAAAAAGCAGGGGTTGCAATCTTAGTCTCTGATAAAACAGACCTTAAACCAACAAAGATCAAAAGACACAAAGAAGGCCATTACATAGTGGTAAAGGGATCAATTCAACAGGAAGAGCTAACTGTCCTAAATATATATGCACCCAATACAGGAGTACCCAGATTCATAAAGCAAGTCCTTAGAGACCTACAAAGAGACTTAGACTCCCACATAATAATAATGGGAGACTTTAACACCCCACTGTCAACATTAGACAGATCAACGAGACAGAAAGTTAACAAGGATATCCAGGAATTCAACTCAGCTCTGCACCAAGCAGACATAATAGACATCTACAGAACTCTCCACCCCAAATCAACAGAATATACATTCTTCTCAGCACCACATCACACTTATTCCAAAATTGACCACATAGTTGGAAATAAAGCACCCCTCAGCAAATGTAAAAGAACAGAAATTATAACAAACTGTCTCTCAGACCACAAGGCAATCAAATTAGAGCTCAGGATTAAGAAACTCACTCAAAACTGCTCAACTACATGGAAACTGAATAACCTGCTCCTGAATGACTACTGGGTACATAACTAAATGAAGGCAGAAATAAAGATGTTCTTTGAAACCAACAAGAACAAAGACACAACATACCAGAATCTCTGGGACACATTTAAAGCAGTGTGTAGAGGGAAATTTATAGCACTAAATGCCCACAAGAGAAAGCAGGAAAGATCTAAAATTGATACCCTAACATCACAATTAAAAGAACTAGAGAAGCAAGAGCAAACACATTCAAAAGCTAGCAGAAGGCAAGAATTAACTAAGATCAGAGCAGAACTGAAGGAGATAGAGACACAAAAAACCCTTCAAAAAATCAATGAATCCAGGAGCTGGTTTTTTGAAAAGATCAACAAAGTTGATAGATCGCTAGCAAGACTAATAAACAAGAAAAGAGAGAAGAATCGAATAGGCACAATAAAAAATGATAAAGGGGATATCACCACCAATCCCACAGAAATACAAACTACCATCAGAGAATACTATAAACACCTCAACACAAATAAACTAGAAAATCTAGAAGAAATGGATAAATTCCTGGACACATACACCCTCCCAAGACTAAACCAGGAAGAAGTTGAATCTCTTAAACCAATAACAGGCTCTGAAATTGAGGCAGTAATTAGTAGCCTACCAACCAAAAAAAGTCTAGGACCAGACGCGTTCATAGCCGAATTCTACCAGAGGTACAAAGTGGAGCTGCTACCATTCCTTCTGAAACTATTCCAATCAATAGAAAAAGAGGGAATCCTCCCTAACTCATTTTATGAGACTATCATCATCCTGATACCAAAGCCTGGCAGACACAACAAAAAAATAATTTTAGACCAATATCCCTGATGAACATCAATGCAAAAATCCTCAATAAAATACTGGCAAACCGAATCCAGCAGCACATCAAAACACTTATCTACCAAGATCAAGTTGGCTTCATCCCTTTGATGCAAGGCTGGTTCACCATATGCAAATCAATAAACATAATCCATCATATAAACAGAACCACAGAAACCACATGATTATCTCAATAGATGCAGAAAAGGCCTTTGACAAAATTCAACAGCCCTTCATGCTAAAAACTCTCAATAAATTAGGTATTGATGGGATGTATCTCAAAATAATAAGAGCTATTTATGATAAACTCACAGCCAATATCATACTGAATGGGCAAAAACTGGAAGCATTCCCTTTGAAAACGGGCACCAGACAGGGATGCCCTCTCTCACCACTCCTATTCAACATAGTGTTGGAAGTTCTGGCCAGGGCAATCAAGCAGGAGAAAGAAATAAAGGGTATTCAATTAGGAAAAGAGGAAGTCAAATTGTCCCTGTTTGCAGATGACATGATTTTATATTTAGAAAACCCCATCATCTCAGCCTAAAATCTCCTTAAGCTGATAAGCAACTTCAGCAAAGTCTCAGGATACAAAATCAATGTGCAAAAATCACAAGCATTCCTATACACCACTAACAGACAAACAGAGAGCCAAATCATGAGTGAACTCCCACTGACAATTGCTTCAAAGAGAATAAAATACCTAGGAATCCAACTTACAAGGGATGTGAAGGACCTCTTCAAGGAGAACTACAAACCACTGCTCAATGAAATAAAAGAAGACACAAACAAATGGAAGAACATTCCATGCTCATGGTTAGGAAGAATCAATATCCTGAAAATGGCCATACTGCCCAAGGTAATTTATAGATTCAATGCCATCCCCATCAAGCTACCAATGACTTTCTTCACAGAATTGGAAAAAAACTACTTTAAAGTTCATGTGCAACCAAAAAAGAGCCTGTATTGCCAAGACAATCCTAAGCTAAAAGGACAAAGCTGGAGACATCATGCTACCTGACTTCAAACTATACTACAAGGCTACAGTAACCAAAACAGCATGGTACTGGTACCAAAACAGAGTTATAGACCAATGGAACAGAACAGAGACTTCAGAAATAATACCACACATCTACAACCATTTGATCTTTGACAAACCTGACGAAAACAAGAAATGGGGAAAGGATTCCCTATTTAATAAATGGTGCTGGGAAAACTGGCTAGCTATATGTAGAAATCTGAAACTGGATCCTTCCTTACACCTTATACAAAAATTAATTCAATATGGATTAAAGACTTAAATGTTAGACCTAAAACCATAAAAACCCTAGAAGAAAACCTAGGCAATACCATTCAGGACATAGGCATGGGCAAGTACTTCATGACTGAAACACCAAAAGCAATGGCAACAAAAGCCAAAATTGACAAATGGGATCTAATTAAACTAAAGAGCTTCTGCACAGCAAAAGAAACTACCATCAGAGTGAACAGGCAACCTACAGAATGGGAGAAAAATTTTACAATCTACCCATCTGACAAAGGGCTAATATCCAGAATCTACAAAGAACTTAAACAAACTTACAAGAAAAAATCAAACAACCCCAACAAAAAGTGGGCAAAGGATATGAACAGACACTTTTCAAAAGAAGACATTTATGCAGCTAACAGACACATGAAAAAAATGCTCATCATCACTGGCCATCAGAGAAATGCGAATCAAAATCACAATGAGATACCATCTCACACCAGTTAGAATGGTGATCATTAAGAAGTCAGGAAACAACAGGTGCTGGAGAGGATGTGGAGAAATAGGAACATTTTTATACTGTTGGTGGGAGTGTAAACTAGTTCAACCGTTGTGGAAGACAGTGTGGCGATTCCTCGGGGATCTAGAACTAGAAATACCATTTTACCCAGCCATCCCATTACTGGGTATATACCCAAAGGATTATAAAGACACATGCACACGTTATGTTTAATGGGGCACTATTCACAATAGCAAAGACTTGGAACTAACCCAAATGTCCATCAATGATAGACTAGATTAAGAAAATGTGGCACATATACACCATGGAATGCTATGCAGCCACAAAAAAGGATGAGTTCATGTCCTTTGTAGGGACATGGATGAAGCTGGAAACCATCATTCTGAGCAAACTATCACCAAGGACAAAAAACCAAACACCGCATGTTCTCACTCATAGGTGGGAATTGAACAATGAGAACACTTGGACACAGGGTGGGGAACATCACACACCGGGGCCTGTCTTGGGGTGGGGGAAGGGGGGGAGGGATAACATTAGGAGATATACCTAATGTAAATGATGAGTTAATGGGTGCAGCACACCAACATGGCACATGTATACATATGTAACAAACCTGCACGTTGTGCACATGTTCCCTAGAACTTAAAGTAGAATTTTTTAAAAAAAGAATATCATCATGCTACAACTCCCAATACATTAACAGATCTAGGCACCGCTGACCAGCAATTACTAAAATAGTTGATATCACCAACTATCGAAAAAAGAACAAAAATCAAAGTTGAATACCTCTCTCTCTCTCTTTTTTTTTTTTTTGAGACGGGGTCTGATTCTGTCGCCCAGGCTAGAGTGCAGTGATGTGATCTCAGCTCACTGCAACATCCGCCTCCCAGGGTCAAGCCATCCTCCCACCTCAGCTTCCTGAATAGCTGAGACCACAGGCACACATCACTATGTCTGGCTAATTTTTGTATTTTTTGTAGAGATGGGGTCTCACTTTGTCGCCCAGACTGGTCTCGAGCTCCTGAGCCAAGCGATCTGCCGGCCTCAGCCTCTCAAAGTGCCAGGTTGCAGGTGTGAGCCACCATGCCTGGCCATGAAGTTAAATACTCCTCCTGATTAAAAAAAAAAAAAAAAAAAAAGACTGTGGTACTTACTGTTTTGTCAAAGAAATTGAAGCTGAGGTGAATCAGGCCTCAGGATCCAGATGCCAGTTTTTAGAAAGTAAAGAGGACAGAATAACTGGCAGGCTGGATTGCTTCATGTGGCTTCAATCAACAAATCCAAATTGTGGAAAACTCTGCAGGTCTAATGCCCGAAGTTCTTCAACAGATAAATTGTATGAAAAAGGAAATACAGATAGAAAAACAGATTAAAAGAGACTTAAGCTGGGTGTGGTAACACGTGCCTATAATCCAGCTACTCCAAAGGCTAAGGTGGGCACATCATTTGAGACTAGCCTAGGCCAAACAGCAAGAGCCTGTTTCAAAAAAAAAAATGGAGAAGAGACTTAAAAGACATATCAAGATAAAAACTGGGCAAAAGTAAATTATTATATGCAGGTACTCTTGTGCGGGAATGATTGCTGTGCAAATCAGGATAGTGGTCACTTTTGGAGGGATGAAGCCTCTGTGATGGAAAGGGGACAGGCGGAAGCAGTTCTGGGGTGGGGATGGCTGGTAAAGTTCTAAATTTTGGCCTGGGTGGTTGTTACAAGAGTGTTTTCCTTATAATAATTTACTAAGCCATATATATAAACATCTGGTATACATGTAAATAGCATATTTACTATATACATATATATTACATACATATATTAAATATATTTATTTGTGTGTGTGAGACAGTCATTTGTTTCATTTTATGATAAAGTGTACAAAAAAGCAAAAGAGAAGGCATGTTAGAAAAATCCACAAACCTGATGCTGCCCTAGAGATTATTACAACACTATCAGTACTGGGTAAATAAAGTTATGGAATGTTGTTTTCTGGCGCACAAAGAATGTAAATTCTACTGTAGATATATTTGTGTAATATCAGTGGTGGGCTACCTTTCAAGTGCTGGGAGCTTTTGCTTTTACAGTGCTTAGCAGCAGGCTTGCACGTAGTTCCCACTTCAGCATCAGTCAGCCTAGACAGATGACCCATTTCTGGCTCCGTGTTTTTCAATGTGTGGTGCATAGAACACCAGCATGATGGCCATCACATGCTTAAGAAAATGCAGGTTCTTTGGCCCTAGCTGTCTTGAAAAGGAGTAGCCCAGGAATATGCATGGTTAACAAGCACACTGCAAGGTAAGAACCACCACTGTCTTCTCTATTAATTTCTACCTGAAACACTGCTAAAAAAAATCAGTTCTATGAAGATGTCTTGGGGAAGGTATAGATATTCTGAACAATTTCCAGAAGAGCTATTGAGAGTCAAGACCACAGCCATGATTTTTTTAGTGAATGAACTCAGATTTTGATCCTGCATTGTGTCATGTAGAATACTGAATGCAAGAATGACTAAGCAGTAGCTTGCTTAGAAAAACAATTTCTCCAGTGTACAATAACAATGGTCAGTTTTCCTCCAAACTTTTTGTTTAGGGTTTATTCCTGGTCAAATAAGTCAGAGCCTGGTATTAGGTATTTAAAGTGATAGCTCAATAAATGAATCCTCTGAAGCTTTTTAATAACAATTTTATGCAAAAAATTTTCAAAGCATGGAAAGCAAAGCAATCTACGTTTGTATATGGCCAGGTATATCCTGACAGAACTTCTAATTGGTCCTTTCTCAGTTGAAGGCAGAGGAGACTTTCAGAGACGTGAAGGCAGAAGTGTGAATGCTTCCAAGACTGTATTCTGCATCTTCATCATTCTCTTTCTATCATCTCTTCCACGCTTCCAAATCTGCTCGCTTTTTCAGACCCTCTCCTAATCAAAGCAGGAGGTGACCCAATGTCAGTGACTGCTGACATTACTTGCTGAGTAAGTGCCAATTAGTGTAAATATACTTCAGAAAGAAATTTAAGCTACTATTTGCTTTTTAGGGGTTTACCTCTAATTTGTAAAATACAATATTTTATCCAATTGAATTCGACTTCACAAACATCCTTTGCATCTGTATGGCGGTGTCCTAACAGTGTGGCATTATAGATAACCAAGACAAATAAGACACATTTCCTGCTTCTAGAAAGATACAGTCTAGTTAGGGAGATGGATGAGTAACAGCCAATAATAATAGCAAATCATTTCCACATAAATTAGCTCATTTTAGTCATCACACTCTCATAATTTTAGCACTAAAAAGAATAACTACTGTTTATAGAGTTCTTCAAACTTTGGAGAGAAGTTCTGTGATTATCATAAAAAGTCAGGATTATTCCCACTGCGCTCCATTATGGTCATTCTTTTTTTATTATTTTTAAATTTGAGACAGGGTCTCACTCTATTGCCCAGGCTGGAGTACAGTGGTGTGATCATGGCTCACTGTAGCCTTGACCTCCTGGGCTCAAGTGATCCTCCCTCCTCATCTTCCCAAGTAGCTGGGACTACAGGTGTATGCCACCAGGTCTGGATAATTTTTTTATTTTTATTTTTTTGAGACAGCCTTGCCCTGTCGCCCAGGTTGGAGTGCAGTGGCGAAATCTCAGCTCACTGCAACCTCTGCCTCCCGGGGTCAAGTGATCCTCCTGCTTCAGCCTCCAGAGTAGCTTGGATGACAGGCACCTGCCACCATGCCCCACTAATTTTTGTATTTTTAGTAGAGATGCAGTTTCACCACATTGCCCCGGCTGGTCTCAAACTCATGAACTCAAGTGATCCGCCCACCTTAGCCCCCACAAAGTGCTGGCATTACAGATGTGAGCCACAGTGCCTGGCCCAGGCTTGCATACTTTTTGTATCTTTTGTAGAGATGGGTTTTTGCCACATTGCCCAGGGTGGTCTCAAACTCCTGGGCTCAAGGGGTCCTTCGACCTTGGCCTCCCAAAGTGATGGGATTGCAGGTGTGAGCCACCATGTTCAGCCCATTATAGTTAATTCTTAATATGACAAAAGAAGAAACTAGGCTTATTAGAAAAGTGTATTTGCTAGAGGAAAAATAAAGAAGAGGTAGTCTAGTTTGTGTTTTTTTAAATAGTATTTTTGTAACCAGTTTAGATTCACAGCAAAATTAAGAGGCAGGCACAGAGGTAGCCCTTATATCCCCTTGCATTAAGGTTTCCACACATGCATAGCTTTCCACATTGTCAGCACCTCCCACTAGGGTGGTACATTTGTTACAATTGATGAACCTACTTTGGCACATCATTATCACCCCAATTCCATAGTGTACATAGTGTACATTGGGTTCACTCTGTCTTGTACATTCTATAGATTTTGAGGAATATTAAATTATGTGTATCCACCTTTATAGTATATAGAACAGTTTCACTGCCATAAACATCCTCTTCTCTACTTAGTCTTCCCTCCTTGCCCCAAACGGTCTGGGAGCCACTGCTTTGCCTTTTCCGGAATGTCATATAAATGGAATAGTACGGTTTGTAGCCTTTTCAGATTGACTTCTTTCACTTAGTAATATACATTTAAGGTTCCTCATGTCTTTTCATAGCTTGATAGCTTACTTCTTTTTAGCACTGACTAATATTCTATTGTCTAGATATACCAAAGTTTATCCATTCACCTACTGAACTCCTTGGTTGCTTCCAAGTTTTGGCAATCCTTGGTTGCTTCCAAGTTGTGGCAATTATGAATAAAGCCGCTATAAACATCTGTGTGCAGGTTTTTCTGTGGATATGAGTTTTCAACTCCTTTGGGTAAAAACCAAGGAGTGCGATTGCTGGTTTTTATGGTGAGAATATGTTTAGCTTTGTAAGAAACCACCAAACTGCATTCCCACTACAATGAATGAGAGTTCCTCTTACTCCACATCCTCACCAGCATTTGGTGTTGTCAATATTCTGAATTTTGGCCATTCTAATGATTATGTAATGGTATCTCATTGTTTTAATGGTATCTCATTGTTTTAATTTGCATTTCCCTGATGACTTATCATATGGAACCATCTTTTCATATTCTTATTTGTCATCTGTCTATTTTCTTTGGTGAGGCATCTGTTAAGGTCTTTGGACTGTTTTTTAATTGGGTTGTTTGTTTTCTTTTTGTTGAGCTTTAAGACTTCTTTATATATTTTGAATAATGATCCTTCATAAGTCTTTTGCAAATATTTTCTCCCAGTCTGTGGCTTGTCTTTTCATTCTTTTAATGATGTCTTTCACAGAACATAAATATTTAATTTTAATGAAGTCAGCTTATTAATTCTTTCATAGATTGTGCCTTTGGTGTTGTATCTATTAACAAAAAGTCATTGCCAAACCCAAGGTAATCTAGATTTTCTTCTATGATATCTTATAGGATTTTATGGTTTTGCATTTTACCCTTAGGTCTGTGATATATTTTGAGTTAATTTTTGTTAAGGGTGTAAGGTCTATGTCTAGGATTATCATTATTATTATTACTTGCTAGTAGATGTCCAATTCCAGCACCATTTGTTGAGAAGACTGTCTTTTCTCTATTGTGTTGCCTTTGCTCCTTTGTCGAACATCAGTTAACTATTACTTATGTGGGTCTACCTCTAGGCTGTCTAGTAGGTCTACCCTTAAGTCTGTGATATATTTTGAGTTAATTTGTGTTAAGGGTGTAAGGTCAATGTCTAGGATTATCATTATTATTATTATTTGCTTGTAGATGTCCAGTTCCAGCACCGTTTGTTGAAAAGACTGTCTTTTCTCTATTGTGTTGCCTTTGCTCCTTTGTCAAAGATCAGTTAACTGTTACTTATGGGGGCCTACCTCTAGGCTGTCTATTCTGTTCATTGATCTGTTTGTCTGTTCTTTTGCCAATATAATTGTCTTGATTAATGTAGCTTTGTAGTAAATCTTGAAGTTGGGTAATGTTAGTCCCCCCGTTGAGTTCTTTTTAAACATTGTTTTGGATATTCTGGGTCTTTTGCCTCACATAAACTTTATTATTATTATTATTTTTTAGACAGAGTCTAGCTCTGTCCCCCAGGCTGGAGTGCAATGGCGTGATCTCGGCTCACTGCAACCTCTGCCTCTTGGGTTCAAGTGATTCTCCTGCCTCAGCTTCCCAAGTAGCTGGGATTACAGGCATGCAACACTGCTCCCAGCTAATTTTTGTATTCTTAGTAGAGTTTGGATTTCACCATGTTGGCCAGGCTTGTCTTAAACTCCTGACTTCAGGTGATCCACCTGCCTCAGCCTCCCAGAGTGCTAGGATTACAGGTGTGAGCCACCGTGCCGAGCCTCTTCACATAAACTTTAGAATCAGTTTGTTATCTATAAAATAACTTTCTGGGTTTTTTACTGAGTTGAGGCTGTACATCAAGTTGGGAAGAACTAACATCTTGATAATATTGAGTCTTCCTATCCAGAAACATGGAATACCACTGCATGTATTTACTTCCTTGATTTCTTTCATCAGAGTTTGCAGTTTTCATATAGATCTTGTACATATGTTTTTAGATTTATACCTAAGATTTCATTTGGGGGGATGCTAGTATAAATGGTATTGTGTTTTTTATTTCATATTCCAATTGTTCATTGCTGGTATATAGGAAAGCAATTGACTTTTGTATATTAACCTCATATTCTGCAACGTTGCTATGATTGCTTATTAGTCCCAGGAGTCTACTTTTTTTTTCCATCCTGTCAGATTTTCTACATAGACGATCATGTCATCTTTGAACAAGACAGTTTCATTTCTTCCTTCCAAATCTATGCCTTTTCTTTCCTCTTTTTATCTTATTGCAATAGCTAGGACTTCTAGTATGATGTTGTAAAGGAGTGCTGAGAGGAGGCATCCTTGCCTTGCTGTCAGTCTTTGCGGGAAAACTTCTAGTTTCTCACTGTTAAGTTTGCTGTTAGCTATAGGTTTTTTGTAGATATTCTTTATCAAGTTGAGAAAGTTCCCCTGTACTTCTCCTTTACTGAGAGGGATAGTTCACTTTTGGGGAAATAAAAATATTTTGCCATAGGGAAATCTATCACTCTGTTTTTGGAGAAAGTATGATTTTGATAGTCAACTGAAGATTATACTCTGCAATAGGAAGATTTTTTGTATAAAGTTGCAATTTCAATTTCAAAGGTTTACTTGTGAGTTTTATTGCAACTAACTGTGATATTTCTTTAATCTGTATTTTAAAATATAAAATACATGTATTAGGTCAGAATCTCTTTTTAGCTTTCTGTAATAAACACATACACATATGGTGAACATATGGGTAAAGAAACTTTTTTTTTTTTTTTTTTTTTTTTTGGAGACAGGTTCTTGCTTTAAGACAGTTTTTTTTTGGAGACAGGTTCTTGCTTTAAGACAGGTTATTTTATTGCTTTGGCCAGGCTGGAGTACAGCGGTACGATCATGGCTCACTGCAGCCTACACCTCGTGGGCTGAAGGCATTTTCCCACTTCAGCTTCCCAAGTAGCTGGGACCACAGGTGTGTGCCACCACACTTGACTAATTTTTAAAAATTTTTATAGTGATGGGGTCTCCTGTGTTGCCCAGGCTGGTCTCGAACTCCTGAGTCCAAGCAATTCTCCTGCCTCAGTCTCCCAAAGTGCTGGGATTACAGGCATGAGCCACCTCACCCAGACATTAGGGGAATTTGCCTTTCTTTCCTTCTTTTTTTTTGTGTGTGTGTTTTAGAGGATTGCATTTGTGCAACTTTGTGGAACTGAGGTGCCAAGTGTTGCTTCAGTACCTGGGTGAGGATGTTGCTGGGAGGGCAGACTTCCTTCCAGATGCACATGGAGCCCTGGAGATTGGCAATTTGAGGCACCTTGGCAGAATGTTGATCCATGTACATTTGTAATTTCACAGGGAAACCTTTAAGATGTTTTGAGAGTGATTGAGAAAGGGTATGATGGCCTCATGATGAGGCAGCAAAGAGATCGTCTCCCAGGGACAATTAGCAGGAACTGAGAAGTCACACTCAAGAGTTATTACAGTAAGCATTCAGAGCAATCACAAGAAGGGTGCCTCATTTCTGTCTCTAGCTGGTGAAAACTGGACATACTGGTTAAATATATGAGTTACCTTAACATCCCTGTATTTGTTTAGAAGAAATAAGATACAATGAAAAAGTGTACAATAATATGTTTTACAAAAGGAAAAGGTACCCCTCTCACATAAGCATACAACCCAATTTAAAAAACAAAAAACAAAAAACAAAAAACAAAAAAACCAACGGACTCAGCCAACTAGAGTTTATTTGTAAACAGTCTCAGGTCACCTCAGTGTTTGTATCAGCTGCTTCAGTAACCACAGAAGATTCCTGTCTCATTGACTGGAGACAGCAGCTTCAATTTTGAGACAGCAAGGTATCTGGAAGGTTGAGTGAAGTCAGCAATTGGTAACATAATGTATTCAATACATTTTGGTCTGTGAGTACTGCATGCCATGGTGCTATTATGCTATATGTGAATTAAACAAAGCAATGTAGAGGGTCACTTTCCCACATTAGCACAGTAATATCTGTGGAAAAAAATCTTATGCAACTTTTAAGATATTGTTAACCATTGTCATTTGTGTTAACTCACTTTGAGATGGGCTTCTGATTAGCTTCATTTTCCTTTATACTTGCTAGAAAATAATATGGGAGCTACACAGAATTACTATATAAAATTAGTGCTGATGATCACAGTACCGTCATGACTTTAAAGAGTTGTGCTTTTTGTAATTTTCAAGAATACGAAGGCAGTATGTGATCCAAAATGAATTTTATGTGTATTTTACTGAGACTATAAACTGCTTTTCCTGTAATTAGTTTAAAAATTATCATACAGCAGAGTTGACTTTCTTTTTGGTGTACAGCTTAACCCATGTGTAGATTTGCATAACACCTCCACAATCTATACCAAACAGTTCCATCAGTCTGCAAAACTCCCTTGTGCTATCAGTTTAGAATCATGCCCTCCCCATCCCCAGTCTCTAGTAGTCACTCATCTATTGTCTATCATTATAGTTTTGTCTTATGAGAATATTATTTATATAAATAGAATTATACAGTGTGTAACATTTTGAGACTGGCTTCTTTCACTTAGTGTAATGCCTTTGAGATTTATCCAAATTGTTACATGTATAGTGGTTCACTTTTTAAAAAACTGCTGCATAGTGTATAGGCATACCATAGTTCATTTATCTGTTTACACATTGAAGGACCACTTACCCATGATCAGTTTACCTATTGAAGGTTTTAGCAATTGTGGGTGGAGCTTCTTTTCATTTTTGTGTGCATGTAAGTTTTCATTTCTCTTGGATAAACACCCAGGAGTGGGATTGCTGGGTCATATTGGTAATTGTATGCTTAATTTTATAAGAAACTGCTAACCTGTTTTCCAGAGTGACTGTGCCATTCTGAATTCCCATAAGCAGCATAGGAGAGTTCCAGTTGTTCTAGAAGTCCTTAGCAGTTGGTGCTGTCAGTAATTTTTTTATTCTAGGCATTTGAACGGGTGTAAACTGGTATCTCATTGTGGTTTTAATTTACATTTCCATCTTGGCTTATGTAGTTGAAGATTTTGTAATGTGTTTATTTGCCATCATTATATCTACTTTGGTAGGTCAGCACTTATGGGAAGGGTGTTTTTTTCCCCTTAGGGGTCCATCTGCTTCTGTGGGAATGGGGCCAATTTACCTTGCCCAGTTATGTAGGGAGTAGGATGTGAAAACCTAAGTTAACTGGCACCAATGATACCTTAGTGCCCTTTATATATTGTTTTCCCTGGATAGTTTCCTGGCAATCTTGACCCATGACCTTGTTCTGACTACGTTCCTACATCTATTACAAAGGAGCCAAATCATGTATAAGAGGAACAGATGGCATGTGCTTTTACATGATGCTTTCGTGGTGCCAAGTCTCTATGTAACATTTTGTATTGCAGGATGGTGTGGAGTAGATGAGAAATGTATATATGGCTATTCTGAGCTGGTAGCATAAAGGTTACCCAAGTGTTTTTCTCTCCTAGGTATGTAAGATATTCTGCATCTTTAGCATCAAAGTGAGATGCCAGAGACAGAGGCTAACAAATCTGAGTTATGAATCAGGAGTATGAGGGAGTGGAGACTACTGCCAAGATAGTAGTTGAACAGTGATAACTATAGATGCTCCCCATATCAGAGGCATACCCCATAGATGCTAGCAGGAGGGTAGTATTTGAGGAAAGGGTCACTGGAGAAGCTGGTGGCATGGATGAGGCTGAAGAGCACCTGTAGTGGGAGACAGGAGTGAAAAAGTTGAACAAATAGAGGTTGGTGGCATAGGGGAATTTCTGATATTGTTACACAGGTGAAGTGATAGTGAAGTCCACAGTAGAGCTAGGGTAGAGACTTGTCCCAGTGGAATGGATATGAAGGTCCTGGGAGCTGTAGAGTAAAGGAAATCTGAGGCTACCATGTTGGTTGGTTCATCATTGTCAATACTGACATTACCAAAGATAACGCCATGCTTGGTATAGAGAGAGTGAAATGTGAACCACTTGCATTCTTCAGTGTAATGTAGAGGAGTAAAAGGGAAGAATGTAGGTAACAGCAATGAGGGAGGAAGATGGTAAGGTTTATCAGACTAGGCACCTACTGGGAAAAAAGGGTGTTAGTATGAGAGTGAAAGAGTAATGATCAGAAAGTGCCAAAGTGGCTAAAAGGCATTGAGGCCAGCCTTTCCCCCATCATCCCTACTATAGTGTCTCAGGTGAGGACTGGGAGAATGAGCAGCCTTCCCTGGGAGGACAACAGGGGAAGTGGGATTCTTGGGCAGAATCAGGTTTGGGTGAGTCCAGGTAGTAGATGGATTCTGTGAAGAAGTTAAGGAGTGTTTTTTTACAACAGAATGGGGGGAAGTGTACAGAATTTGGAAGAACTCAGCCGTGGGAGGGAGGGAGTTTCTCAAAGTGGCACAGAACAACACAGAAATGAACATCCTAAGAGGACAAAAGATACAGGCATTTATTTTGGGGTAGTGGTCAAGAGGTGTGGGGAATACATGAAGTAGGTGCTCCAACCAGAAATCCCGGGCAATGTGGAATATCTGATGATAGCAGTGAGAGCCCTGCTCTTTTGTGATGAGGCCAGCAGAGACGAGCTAATCTGGCTGTGATTGGTTCCCATGCACTGGCTAATAGATTTTTTGCCCTAAATTTCTTTTGGATTGCATTACCTTGTGGGTCACATTTGGGAGAACCTTACCTAATTAGTGCTTCAAAGTTCATCTAGTTTAAACTTTTGCTCTGTTTCAAGTTATAATCACCAGTTTGCACCACTGTCACCAATTAGTTCTTGGGTTTCAAGAACTAATATTGGAGCACTCATTGGAATTGTACAACAATTAATATTCATAATTTAGCACAATTTATCATTCTTCAATAGATTTTTTCCCTTGTACATTTTTAAATACAGATTATATATTTTCATTTTTCTCTTTAAAAAAGTAACTGAATTACATGAAATCAGAAGGTTATGTTTCCAGCATAGAATGACCGTTTTGACACTGATGGTAGGGCTCAGAACTCAAATGCTATCTTCAAATTTTGGTCTTAACAAAAATCATAAATAAAAGCTCAGTTTTAAAAAATCACTAATGTAAAACTAAAAACGAGCAACTGAGCCCTTTTAGCTGACACCATCATTTTGATGCTTAATGGTCTCTTAAATTGTCCAAGTAAATACTACCATTGATGCCACTCATTTCATGCTGCTGGCCTCTGACAGCACGATGGAAATTTGGGAACTTGTAAGAACAAGTGACATGTCAGATACCAAATCTTCCTACCTAATAGTATGTGTCAAGGAGACTGAGACTGAGTTAGTAATGTTTTTGTTTAAAATGTCTGCATGAAACGAAACAAAATTGTATTTTGTCTTTTTTCATCTTTGGAATTTTTCTGGCTTTGTTTCATAAGAGTGATTCTGCTTGCAAAGTGTGGGTTGAAAATTTCGATATCCACTGTGAATTTAGGCTGGGTGCGGTGGCTCAGGCCTGTAATCCCAGCACTTTGGGAGGCTGAGGTGGGTGGATCACCTGAGGTCAGGAGTTCAAGACCAGCCTGGCCAACCTGGTGAAACCCCGTCTGTACTAAAAACACAAAAATTAGCGGGGCGTGTGGCAGCCGCCTGTAATCTCAGCTACTTGGGAAGCTGAGGCAGGAGAATTGCTTGAACCCGATAGGTGGAGGTTGCAGTGAGCTGAGATTGCGCCATTGCATTCCAGCCTATGTGACAAGAGTGAAACTCTATCTAAAAAAAAAAAAACAAAAACAAACCAAAAAAAAAAAAAAAACACTGAATTTGAATATTAAGTTGTATACTTGTGGGAGAGTGACAATTGCCCCTTACATCAAATACCCCGTAGTTCATTGAGAATGGCTGAGAGTGCCTATGAAGCACACATTCTAGGTTATCTTTCTTCAAAGGTGTCTAGGTGATGTTTCTAACCTGAAATATTGTGTGCCCAGTGTAGCTTAGTGCTAGCAAATAAAACAGCCACTGGTTCCCTTCCAGAATACCCAACAAACAATAAAAAAGAGAGCAGTGAATTGGAGAGATGCACCTCTCACCTTGGCTGACTTTCAATTTGGGCATCTGATGGAATAGTAGGATTTGTGTGGTTTAGAAAAAGATTGATTTACCTAAATGACCGAAGGCCCAGTGCACAGGAATATGGCCTGCAACTGGGTATCTGAACTAAAACAAAGGCCCCAGGTATCCAATGTGCTACTGTTGGCCCTGATAATTGGTGTTAGGTAAGAGTGTACTTTTCTACTACCCTCACCTCCCTCCAGGATAAGGCAAAGTAGTCCTCACATATGTTGCTTTTCTTTACTGCAGGACATTTGTGAAGATATTTCTGATCATGTTGAGCAAATCCATGCCCTCCTTGAAACAGAGTTCTCCCTAAAGCTGCTGTCTTACTCTGTCAACGTGATAGTGGACATCCACGCAGTGCAGCTCCTCTGGCACCAGCTTCGAGTCTCAGTGCTGGTTCTGCGGGAGCGCATTCTGCAAGGTCTGCAGGACGCCAATGGCAACTACACTAGGCAGACGGACATTCTGCAAGCTTTCTCTGAAGAGACAAAAGAGGTGAGTGTTTTCCTTGAAGTTAAGCAATGCATTTCCAGGTATGACCAATTGAGAATGTTTTCAGTTTAGAGATGTAGGATAGGAATTCTTTGTAGGTAAATAAGCAGGCCCTGATGGGCTTTGAATCTAGGCATAGTGACTAGAAGCTAGGGCACTTCCAATATGAATGGGGCTTTAGACCAGAGTTAGCTCATACCTGGTAATTTGCACATATGCCATTCATTGTTATTGATGCTAACCTGGCTTCCTTTTCCTCTTCAATTATTTAATAAATATGTATTGAGTACTTACTATGTGTCAGACACTCAGTGCTAAGAATATAATAATGATCAAAACATGGTTTCTGTCTTCAAGTAGCTTTGAGTCTAGAGGAAAATGGAGCCAAGTGAATAGACATTCAAGCCAAACTGTGATAAGTCTACAAGATGCCATTGGAGGACAGAGAAAGAGTCACCTAATTCAGATGGGAGGCTTTCCAAAAGAAATGACTCTACCTGAGACGTAAAGGAGAGACAGGAATAGACTGGTGAACAGAGGCAGAACATGTTCTAGGCAGAGGACATGGCATTATCAAATACCCAGAGATAAGAAAGAGAATGGCAGGCCCAGAGAGCTGCCAGTAGCACTGGAGCAAAAAGCCCAAGGAACCAGGAGGCGGGATTTGGGCTAATAGGTAAGCTGAGGTCAGATCATGAAGATAAAGAGCTTTCTAAATCCATATTAAGAGATTTGGACTTCATTTTGAGGACAAAAGAAGTGTTTGTTCAGCAAACTCCCATGATTCATGTTTTAGAAGAATCATTCTAGATACAGTGAATCAAATGGACATTAGAATATTATACAAAATATATTTGATTTTTCTTATTTATATTCAGTACCTGAAAGATTTTATTGTTATTCTTGATGAATAACTTAAGAATGGACCCTGTACATCTGAATTCGAGTGAACTGTCTCATTCTTAAATACAATGGACATATATTTATAGAAAAAAAAGTGTTTTTGCTTGCTAAGCAGCGGCTGTATGTATACATATATGTACGGATACCATATATGGATACGTTGCATGTAGGGAGTGGTGGGTGTGTACGCGCAGGCATGTGTGTTTAGTCCTTCGGCTCTTAATACCCAGTTTAGTGTTCTACTATTAGTTTGTGGAAAACATATATTCTACAAGTTTATAAGGCACTTACATTAATATATGAGATTAAAAGGCCTTATAATGAGTGTTGCATAATTCATTAATTTATTGACATTAATGTTTCAGTGGCTCCAACATTATCAACAACACCAAACAAATCTGTGCCTATTCTCATAAATCATTTATTGTTGTTGATTTTTGTTTATTCAAAATAAAGTTTCTTGCTGTGGCAAACTCTCCGCAGTGCCTAGAAGTCTATAGGAATCAAAATCGACTAGGCTTACCTCTAACTTTAAGTCACAGTCTTTGTTTTCAGTTAGCTCTCCTTGTTACTGTGGCAGGACTTCAGTAGAGTAACCACGGGATGAATATGTGAGTTGCGTGTTAGTTCCCAGATGCCATCCCTCCCAAGTTAGATCCCTAGAGGGTTCTCAACTGGGACTGTTGTGGTTATGGGAGACTACAAAGAATCTCAAGCTGACCAACTTTGCCCTAAATCTGATATCCTTGATAGAATGTGCTAATGGAGATCAGAGATGAGGAAGGTTTGTATAACCTCTAGAGAGATCTTTCTTTAGATATCTACCTGGCATCTTCAAGTCTATATATTCTTTTCTTCCCCCTTCCCCATTTGTTGTCCAACACCCAGTGCTCTGTCCAACATCCAATGCTGGTCAGTGATCAAATCTGCCTGCTTTCTACTACTAGAAGGAGATTAAAAATCATTGATTCAAATCATATATTTATTAAATCAATAAACATTTATTGATAATCAGCTCTGTTGTAGGAGCTGGAGATATAGCAGTGCTCTAGGGTTTGTTGTTATTATTGTTCTGTGGAATACATTCATCATACACTTAATTGAACTTGTATCATTCATGAAGTAGTAGCTCAATAAATGATGAAGAGCCATGGACGGTAATTGTTGCTGGCCACTGTTTTTACAACTGTGTTGTGAATTTACAATAAGTAGCATCTATTCTCACAACACGAACTCAGCAATTATGAATGGATTTGATTGGAAGCAGTTTAGTGCATTCTTATGTTTGAAGTCAGTCTTTAGTCCTGTTGTAGAGATTGCAGAAAATTTTTGTGTGAGGGGTAAAGGAACAGTAGATTTTCAGTTATCCGCTTTATGGATATATTTCTATGAATTAAAGTTCTGCCTCTATAACCATACTTCCTGAAATTAGATTTCTGATCCTTTATTTCTGTGTGTCTAGTGTGACTCTATGAGGATGTTTAAAAGACTGCTTAGTTTTATTTATTTCTGCTAGCACAATGGAATTGTAAAAAGCAGGAAGATAATTAGGATAAAATTATCAGCTTTCTCAGAATAAATTCAACTATGAAAGATTTGTAGAATGATGAGGGAAATGGCAAAATAAAAAAACACCCAAATTTAAAAAGCACTGGTAAATTAGAATAGTAGATGTCCTTCCAGTAAAGGAAGATTCATTTTTCTCTTTCTGGAAGTTAGTTAAATTTCAGAGCCATATTAAAGAGCAAGTTTGAAACTCTGGAGAGTGGCAAATTCCATCTTCTTCTCTTCTTGAAAAAACAATATATGAACTTTATTCTTTATTTAAATATGGAGCAGACCATATCTAGTAAAAAAAAATTGGCCAATACCTTACTAAAATAAAACTAGTCAATAACTAAACAAACAAATAAAGAACACTTGAAGGCAAAGCTCAAAACTATTTAAAAAATATGTTGTTCTGCAATTTTCTATATTCCAGACATTGTGATAAGCACTTTAAATTTGTTTCATTTAGGAAGGAAGGTGAGGGATATTAAAAGTAGTTCCCTTTTATAGATGGAAAAATTGAATTTAAGAATAGGTTAAGTGAATACTTCTATGTAACAAACCTGCACATCCTGCACATGTACCCCAGAACTAAAAATTAAAATTAAATTTAAATTTTAAAAAAGAAGAATTTAAGTGAATATTTAAGGATATAAATCTAGGTGTACTTAAATAAAACAAAACCAGTTTTTAACTGATTTCTATTTTAATAATAATTATTGTTTCTTCCCTGCCTTTCTTCCTTCTATCTTCTCTATTTATTGGTTTCTTACTATGTATAAGACTCTATGCATTCAAAGGTGAATAACACATGTTAGAAATGACCTTCATAATTTTTTTGGTCCTCACATAGTTCTGAGAGGTAGGCAGAGCAAGTGCTGTTATCCTCAATTTACAGGTATTATGATTGTATTCATCTTACAGATGAGAGAATTGGGGTCAAGAGAGGTAATGTCACACAGGTGATAAGAGAGTGATAACTCTTAATAATATCAACACAATAGGAAACATTGATTGAGAACTTACCATGTGCTAGATGGTGTGGTAAGCACTTACCTAAATGATACCTTCTGCGTGGGGATGCATTGGTCCTTCCAGAGTGCTCACAACATAGCACTTTGTGGGTTCCTCCACTGGCACTTATAATGGGCCAAATTGTATCAGGCCAAAGTATGTGCTATATTTTGAACTACATGAGGGTTAGTTCCAGATTATATTCATCTGTGTATCTCCCACAGCACATAGTTCATATTGCTGTAAAAAAATCTGATTAGTTGAATTAAATAATACAGATAATCCCTGCTTTAGATGTGGAAGAGGGAGACATAATTTCAGTTTGATAAACTGGGAATTAATCATGAAGATTAATTGTTTGATTCATAATTTCAGCAAGTAGAAAATGGAAGTTCTCTTAAGAACTATTAATATTGTGTAAATAAAAATATTGAAAGATTTTTGTATATGTTTTCCCCTTGCCTATGAGAAACAAACCTTTGTTGTACTTCACAGTTGCTTGTCATTACTTGCTCTTCTCATCAACTGCTGTTCTCTGGGATGCATTCGGAATCATAGAATCCCAACGTGGTAGGGCTGAAAGGAATCTGACAAAGTCTAGTCCATGTAGACTAACATGTAAATTGATGGGCCTCTTACTAGAATGCCACAGCCCCCACAGGTCTGAGGACTCATGATCTCCGCATCTCTAAGTTACGAATGTTAGATTTCATGTTCAGTTGGTGGCGAAACATAGTGTTAACAAAAAGAAAGATCTAAGAAGGCATTTGGAACTAGGCTTCAGTTAATTATGGAAAAGGAACAGAGTAAAATGTCTTGCTTAGAATTAGAAAAAAAAAAGGAGGGGTGTTCTTTGCTCGTGCGCTCTCTCTCTCTCTCTCTCTCTCTCTCTCTCTCTCTCTATATATATATATATATATATATATTTTAATTTTTTATTTTTTTTTTTGAGAACAAGTCTCACTCTGTTTCCCAGGCTGGAGTGCAGTGGCACGATCTTGGCTCACTGCAACTTCTGCCTCCCGGGTTCAAGCAATTCTCCTGCCTCAGCCTCCCCAGTAGCTGGGATTACAGGCACATGCCACCACGCCCAGCTAATTTTTGTATTTTTAGTAGAGATGGACTTTTGCCATGTTGCCCAGGTTAGTCTTGAACTCCTAGGCTCAAGCAAACCACCTGCCTCATCCTCTCAAAGTGCTGGGATTACAGGTGTAAGCTACTGCGCCTGGCCTGCTTCATAACATGTTAAATGGAGGTATATTTAAGTGGAGTGGGTACATGGCTAGGCGGCTCTCACCCAGCTACAAGTACTACACAATTACATGTGATATTTCTGAAATAAGGGCAGTAAAACCAACAGGCAACACCCCTAACTCCATATCTTCCTGAGACTTTATTATGTATACACGTTAGAAAACTATCTGGGAAGATGATGTGGAGGGAAGCAACAGAACTAAAAACATTAGTATTACTAAGCAATATTTTCAGAGATAAAACTCATTCATCTGCTCTGAGAAACTTTAGAGAACTTTCTTTTCTTACAATTGCCTCTGCATAGTGAAATACTATATACTGTTTTTGGTTTTGCTTTGTTTTTTTTTTCAGGGAGGGATTTTTTTTTTGCATTAAAAAATACAGTTTGAATAAAAAATAGTTACCCCGTGAGGGATAAAAGACTACAAATAGGGTGCAGTTTATACTGCTTGGGTGATGAGTGCACCAAAATCTCACACATCACCACTAAAGAACTTATTCATGTAACCAAATACCACCTGTTCCCCGATAACCTATGGAAATAAAATAAATAAAAATAAAAAATAGTTATTACCCCACAAGTGATAATCACTCAACTGTCTCACTGGTTAAGATGGTATTTACTCACTAGTTGAGATGGTTGGCCGGACTGATATGGTGGGACAGGATGGGAGAGAGCTTCCTCTGAAGCATTAAGTGTTTTTGAGTATGGCGTTTTCTTTTCTAAACCAGGAACTGGCTAGAGATTTAAGAAAAGGCAGCTATACTTTATTCTCTGAGATGTATTCAGTAAACAATATATTCATCTAATATATATATATATATATATTCAATATATTCATGTAACATCACTGATTGAGCATCAGTTATTCTCGAGCAAGACAGTACCCTGGTCTTAAGGTGCAATAACCACCAGAATGGGGACCAAATATATTTGCAAGACTATCATGTTCCCTGCTTGTCCAAAGGCAGGTGGCTGACACTTCAGTTTGGAGTCTAATTTTTACCTGGACTCTCAAATTTCTTTTTTTTAAATCTATCATATAAATACTTTTCTATAACCTCATATAAGCACTGCGGTGCAGTAACCATGATAAATGTAACAGAAAATCATGTTGCAAATTTCAGCTACATATTAATTTAAATAGGTTTTATGAGATAGTTTTGGAATTTAACCATCGTTTTATAATACTATTTCTGTAAAAGAATAAGTTCTGAGTAATGAACAATGAAAAGATTAAAGAAAATACAACCTGCTTTTGAATTGGGAATCTCACTATTACTCTTTTAAAAATTGCATAAAGTATAACTTTTGTTTGGCTGACTGATTTCTAGTTCAGTTATGAAGCACAAAAGTTATACAATTCCATTTAGGTGATTTTTGTTGAGATTGATTTCTTATTTTGTGCAGTATAATTTAGTGTTAGCAATAACTCTCATCTTGAAACTTTCCTCCTCAATATACTTCATTATTAAAAATAATAACGTAATAAGAGTGAACATTCATTGAGCACTCATCCATGTACTAGACTTACATATATTACATATCTTACATATATTACCTCCTTTAAGCCTCTCAACACCCCTATGGCATGGCTTATCATTTCCTTTTTATAGATGAAGGAAATAAAGCTTAGCAACATCAAGCTACTGGCTCATGGTCACATAGCTAATTAGTGCTACAGCCAGAATTCGAAACTTGGGCTTTTAATTATTGGAGTTAACTAAAACTATGTAATCAGAGAAAGAAATTATAGGAAGGCATAGAGAGACATTCTAAAATGTTGTCATTCATTCATTCATTCATTCAACATATGTGCATTCTGTGTGCAGATCACTATGCTATGTGCTACGAGTACCCTGGTAAGACAACCATTTTCTGTGTGATTTATACTGTCATAGTACTTACAAACTAGTGGGAAAAACAAATTGATCAGATAATCACAATAGTATTTATTTATAAATTGAGATCAATGCTTAAAGAGAAAGCAGGGCTTACAATAAAATATTCTGACTTACATGTGGATCTGGAATCTTGAAAAAGTGAAACTTAAGCTGAAATCTGAGTGATAAGGAAGAGTCAACTAGTTAAGGGGTATAGGTTGGAAGCTTTCCAGGCAGGGCAAGCAGCATGTGCCAAGGCCTTGAGGAAGGAGGGAACATGGTATTTTCAGAAAGTGAAAGCAGGATACTGTGGCCGCGTGTGGCCAGTGAGGGGAGAATAGCATAAGAAAGGCCTCTTTGGGCCTGGCCTTGAAAGGGTTTTGGTTGTGTTTTAAAAATACTTATCTATGACATCGTTGATTTCTGTCTTCAGTCATATACTTGGAAGATCTTCAAATATTAAAGCAATATATCTTTGCATTGAAGTGTGTCATTTTTTGTTTTTATTATTTTTAATTGACACATGACTGCACATATTTATAGGGTACAGTGTAATATTTTGATACATGCACACAATGCAATGATCAAATCAGGGAAATTAACATACCTGTCACTTCAAACATTTATTGTGTCTTCATGTTGGGAACATTCAAAATCCACTCTTCTAGCTATTTGAAAATGTAGAATAAATTGCTTTTAATTACAGTCATCTGACCCTGCTATAGAAACCAGAACTTATTCCTCCTATCTAGCTGTAATTTTGTATCCATTAACCAGCCTCTAGCTATTCCCACCCGCTACCTTTCCCAACCTCTAGTAACTACTATTCTGCTTTTGGCTTCTCTGAGTTCAACTTTTTTAGCTTCCACATATGAGTGAGAACATGTGGTATTTGTCTTTCTGTGCCTTGCTTATTTCACTTAACATAATGTCCTTCAAGCTCATACATGTTGTCACAAATGACAGGATTTCCTTCTTTTTGAAGGCAAAATAGTATTCCATTGTGGATATATGCCACATTTTCTTTATCCATTCACCTGCTGATGGACACTGAGGTTGATTCCATATCTTGGCTATCATGAATAGTGCTGTAATAAACATGGGAGTTCAGATATCTCTTTGACATGCTGATTTCCTTTTCTTTGGATATATACCTATTAGTGGGATTGGTAGTTCAATTTTTAGCCTTTTTGAGGAAAAGTTTGGATTTTTAACTTAACAACAACAGGATGCTTCTAAAGGACTTTAAACAAAGAAGTAACAGATTTGCAATTTGTGTAGGTTATTCTGGTGGCAGTGTGGAAAACGAATTGGAGGTGGGGGCATGCCAGTTTAAAGTAATATCTAATGGGCAGAATACAGACTTTGGGGACAGCCTCTATCCAGGGCCGGTGTCATCTTTTGGTCCAAGCTACTCTTATGTAAGAAAGGGACAATAGTACAGACGGCAGAAGAAAATTTTAAGGATTAAATGAAAAAGTAATTGTAGTAATCAACCATCATCATTTATAGATGAGGACTCTGAGGCTTAGAAAAGTTAAATAAGGCTTTTTGTCTGTTTATCTAGATGTTATGGAATGAGAGTGAGTGGAGTAGGAGATAAAGGCAGGGTGAAGGTCTGAAGGGAGAGAACATTCCAAAAACAAAAACAAACAAATGAGCAGTAAAACCAGATATAAGATCCTGGAGAAGCCAGATCTGGGAAAACCTGGTTGAAAGGATCACAGGGTCCAGCAGCCACATGGAATCCAGCTTCAATTGGCTCACCACAGTTCTTCCTCCAGAAAAAAAGGAGATCTGGGGATGTAACAACCCTTCACTTTTCAGTTTTCTTTTTTCATTTCCTAAGGGGGCTAGGTTAGATCAGTCTGTTATTTAGCCAGTAGGCAAAATAGGATAGTTCCCAGGGCTCTTCTACCCCAAACAAATCATCAGTGAAAATCTTCCCATTTGTTGTATGAAATCAGAAACTGCATTAGTAATGGGACAAAAGCCTTAATTACAGAATTAAAGATTTAACAAATTAAAAATAGTTAATCGTAATGCTGTTTTTTTAGTGTGAGGGAGTTTTAAATCAAATCAGCCTATCCAGAATTATGAATAGTAAGAAAGATGGGCACTTAACAGCTCGCAAACACCAGTGGGAGCAGGACTTGGGGAGAAAAACATGCAGAGGGAGGAGCTGATGCTATCTCTAATGATAAAGTTTGGACATTCATTAATTTTCTCCTTCAAAAGGGTGGGGCCAAACAGAAACTGGTCTTGAACTATTATGTATTTGCAAATTCAGTAGTTTACCTTCCTTTGATTCATCAATATATGTTTAACACAACTGGCTTATTATAATTAATTATTCTACTTAAAAATATTTATTGAGCATCTACCATGAGTTAGCCACTGTGGTAGGTACTGGAATGATAGCAAAAAGCAAAACAGACATTCGTGGAGATTTTACTTTTACATTATTTTGATCCCAGAAATTGTATTACTTAAGGCTTTGTTTATGAAATTCTTATTAAATGAATAATATATTATTTTTAAGTTGAAAATTAAGTCAAGAATGGATTTTTTTGGCTTGCTCTTGACATTTCTGTTAAGGCTGTATACTCCAGATTAGTGAAAAATCTTCAGGTGTTTAAGAACAAGATACTATATAAAGCAATGTGGTAATTGATTAATATCCCTTTGTGTATGTCAAACCACAAGCAATAGGGACCAATACATTTGACCTTTATAGTGCCCTGTACTGCAATTTCATTTACATAGCAGCTGATGTTGTAATTGATGTTGCATTTACTGAAACCATTGCCATTGTCTGTTTCAGGGCCGGCTTGATTCTCTAACAGAAGTGGATGACTCAGGACAATTAACCATCAAATGTTCTCAAAATTACTTGTCTCTGGATTGTGGCATTACTGCATTCGAACTGTCTGACTACAGTCCAAGTGAGGATTTGCTCAGTGGGCTAGGTGACATGACCTCTAGCCAAGTCAAAACCAAACCCTTTGACTCTTGGAGCTACAGTGAGATGGAAAAGGAGTTTCCTGAGCTTATCCGAAGTGTTGGTTTACTTACGGTAGCTGCTGACTCTATCTCTACCAATGGCAGTGAAGCAGTTACTGAGGAGGTATCTCAAGTATCTCTCTCAGTAGACGACAAAGGTGGATGTGAGGAAGACAATGCTTCTGCAGTCGAAGAGCAACCAGGCTTAACACTGGGGGTGTCATCATCTTCAGGAGAAGCTCTGACAAATGCTGCTCAACCCTCCTCTGAGACTGTGCAGCAAGAATCCAGTTCCTCCTCCCATCATGATGCAAAGAATCAGCAGCCTGTTCCTTGTGAAAATGCAACCCCCAAACGAACCATCAGAGATTGCTTTAATTATAACGAGGACTCTCCCACGCAGCCTACATTGCCAAAAAGAGGACTTTTTCTTAAAGAGGAAACTTTTAAGAATGATCTGAAAGGCAATGGTGGAAAGAGGCAAATGGTTGATCTAAAGCCTGAGATGAGCAGAAGCACCCCTTCGCTAGTAGATCCTCCTGACAGATCCAAACTTTGCCTGGTATTGCAGTCTTCTTACCCCAACAGCCCTTCTGCTGCCAGCCAGTCTTATGAGTGTTTACACAAGGTGGGGAATGGGAACCTTGAAAACACAGTCAAATTTCACATTAAAGAAATTTCTTCCAGCCTGGGAAGGCTTAACGACTGCTATAAAGAGAAATCTCGACTTAAAAAGCCACACAAGACCTCAGAAGAGGTGCCTCCATGCCGAACACCTAAACGGGGGACTGGTTCAGGCAAACAAGCTAAAAATACAAAGAGCTCAGCAGTGCCAAATGGAGAGCTTTCTTATACTTCCAAGGCCATAGAGGGGCCACAAACAAATTCTGCTTCCACATCCTCACTTGAGCCTTGTAATCAGAGAAGTTGGAATGCCAAATTGCAATTGCAGTCAGAAACATCCAGTTCACCAGCTTTTACTCAGAGCAGTGAATCCTCTGTTGGCTCAGACAACATCATGTCTCCGGTGCCACTTCTTTCAAAACACAAAAGCAAAAAAGGTCAAGCCTCCTCTCCAAGTCACGTCACTAGGAATGGTGAGGTTGTGGAGGCCTGGTATGGCTCTGATGAATACCTAGCACTGCCCTCTCACCTTAAGCAGACAGAAGTATTGGCTTTGAAGTTGGAAAACCTAACAAAGCTTCTGCCTCAGAAACCCAGAGGAGAAACCATCCAGAATATTGATGACTGGGAACTGTCTGAAATGAATTCAGATTCTGAAATCTATCCAACCTATCATGTCAAAAAGAAGCATACAAGGCTAGGCAGGGTGTCTCCAAGCTCATCTAGTGACATAGCCTCTTCACTAGGGGAGAGCATTGAATCTGGGCCCCTGAGTGACATTCTTTCTGATGAGGAGTCCAGTATGCCTCTCGCTGGCATGAAAAAGTATGCTGATGAGAAGTCAGAAAGAGCTTCATCCTCTGAGAAAAATGAGAGCCATTCTGCCACTAAATCAGCTTTAATTCAGAAACTGATGCAAGATATTCAGCACCAAGACAACTATGAAGCCATATGGGAAAAAATAGAGGTAAGGTGGTTTTCTTAACATGAATGATTTCTCACTTGAGTTTTGGAAGTATTGCTGGGAGAAGGTCACACTCCTACACTCTATTATAAAATGTATGGCTATTTTTGATAAATCTGATTCTCCAAAGAAAGAAAAGAAAAAGCACAATGATCAATGCATGTGACAAAGAGTATGAATCACTAGGAATTGCCCTTGTCAGTGCATTAGCTTGATGTGCTCCTGCCTGGTATAGAATTCTTTGTTGAAATTGTTCAAATCTATCATGACTACTGATGAATGCTGGAACCCCTTGGATCTAATACAAAATTAAATAGAATGATAGCTGTGCACACACAAGTAGCTCAGGAATATATGCATAGACTATTCCAGTTACCCCAGAGTGTTTTTATTCATTTCTTCTGACTCCAGAATACATTCCACATCTCCAATGTTAACTTCTTGTAGAAATAGACCAGACATTTCTAATTTATTAGGGATCTTTTTTTTCTTTACTCTTCCTCCTCTTTGAGAACTCTGGCTAATAACCATATTACCTATACATGTACCACCCATGGACTCTGGGATGTGAAGTTGACATTTTGGCTAAATCTGTACTTTTGAACAAATTACTAGATATGACGTAATGTTTGAGGACAGACTTATCAAAAATCTCAGGACCGACGGCTTGGGCAATGTAGGGAGACCCCATCTCTATATTAGCCAGGAGCGGTGGCACACACCTGTGGTCCCAGCTACTCAGGAGGCTGAGGCAGGAGGATTGCTTGAGCTGAGGAGGTTGAGGCTGCAGTGAGTTGTGGTCATGCCACTGCACTCCAACCTGGGCAACAGAGTGAGACCCTGTCTCAAAAAAAAAAAAAAATCTCAGGACTGAGCTCCATAGTATAAGTAATTATTTGATCTTTTAAGAGGCATCTGGGCAAAGAGATTCACTATGATTACTGTGGTAATGGCCGTTTCCTCAGGAGGCCATTGGAAGTAGATCCAGCTGACTTGATAATTGTTAATGGTTTCTTGTTTGATGACATATCAATGGCCATGCTTGTCTACATATAATTTGTGTATGACTTTATGGTATGCAACGCTCTCCCACATGCTTTTTTTTTTTTTTTTTTTTTCCTCTGAGCAGAGTTTTGCTCCTGTTGCCCAGGCTGGAGTGGAATGGCACCATCTCAGCTCACTTCAACCTCCACCTCCCAGGTTCAAGAGATTACCCTGCCTCAGCCTCTCGTGTAGCTGGGATTATAGGCCCCCACAACCATGCCCAGCTAATTTTTGTATTTTTAGTAGAGACGGGGTTTCGCCATGTTGGCCAGGCTAGTCTCGAACTCCTGACCTCAGGTGATCCGCCTGCCTTGGCATCCCAAAGTGCTGGGATTACAGGCGTGAGCCACTGTGCGTGGCCCATACATTTTTTTTTTTTACTTGATCTTCACAGCTGTCCTGTGAAGGAAGCAGGCCATGCCAGATTATTCTCGCTTTACAGAGATGGAAACAGCCTCCATGAGCTTAAGTGATTTTTCTCAAGCTAAAATAGATAGATAGATAGATAGATAGATAGATAGATAGATAGATAGATAGATAGATAGATATAAAGAGATGGTAGGTAGCTAGATAGAGACAAACAGACAGACACAGATAGACAGACTGACAGACAGACAGGCAGAGACAGAGACAGACAAACCAGACAGACCTTTTGTGTAGGAAGCTGAGACGCAAACTCACGTCTTCTGATTCTTAGTCCAGTTTTCTTCTATAGTATCATGTTGCCTCCCTGAAAGGGGTTGTAGTTTCTCCTTCGCCGGGAAACTATAAGATAGGAGAGAAGAAAGAGTTCAGGACCCATTCAGACTGGATAGAGAATATTGATGTAACTGCCATGGGCACTCCTCCTAATTTTTTTTTGTTCTGTTTTTTGTTTTTTTTACATCCATTCGTTGTCGAATACTACTCTGAGACCAGCATTGTGCTAGACACTGGATAAAGGTATAGTGCATATGGATAGAATAACCTGGAGGAAGAAAATGCAGGTTTATAAACAAAGAGGAAAAAGTTATCAAATATACAGCAGTAATAACATATTAATCATCATTAACATATATCAAGTATTCGTGTATCTAGTCCTCACAACAACCCTGATATTAACCTTATTTTATGGCTGAGGAGACAGGCTGAGAGAGACCATGCAGTCTGCTCCAGAGCCCATATTATTAACTAAATGCCCTCATTCCTGTCCATGAGGAAGTGATCAATAAGTACCGAATATAAAAACTGTGGTATTGTAGAGTAGTAATAATATCAGTGGAGCTAGAATTTGACTGGGCAGTTCTTGTGAAGTACTAAACCTTAAGTGGAGCTTTGAAGGATGTACAGGATTCAGACAGATAAAGGAAAAGGAAGGTGGCGTTTCAGGTAGGAGGAGCATAAACTAAAACACAGAGGTAGAAATGAGAATGAGCATGGATATGGGGTACAAAGAGAGCTGTCCTGGTTGGAAGGTTTGTCATCAGAGATCAGTGAAAGTTTCCATACCTAAAGTAGGTATGGAAAGGCCATGAAGGCCACGCCAAGGCAATTAGAATTTGTTCACCAGGCACCCACAGCAACTTCTCTGAAAGGGACTGACAGTAATAACTAATACTTCTTAAGCTTTTATTTTGTGTTTGGCTCTGTACTAAGTATTTTACGTGGCTTACCCTACTTAAGTCCCGGAAGGGAGGATTTTTTCAGATGAAGAAACTAAGGCAGTATGTGATTAGGAAACTTGCTCAAGTCCTCACAGCTAGTAAGTACAAAGCCAGGATTTGAACCCATAACCAGCATTCTTAAAGCAGTGTAGGCCCTGGTCTCTAGTAGTCTTTCCAGAAGGGTTAATTGGCAATAACAGAAAGATGGTCCTGGCAGACATGGCGGTGACCAGGGCAGAGGTGTTGGCCTGTGGCAGCCAACCTGAGGAACTGCTGTGATGTGGATCAGGCAAGAGGAAGGGAGGGGAGTGTTGAAAAAGTGAATGAGTCCAGAAAACTGGTTCTAGACCTTGCTAGAAAGAATTCAGGAGCCATTCAGTGATTAAAGCCTGGTGTGGCCCACAGCTTGGCATATTCCATTCTGAGCCTTGTTTCATCTTTTGTAAAGAGATGTTTTAACCCGATGATGACTATGATACCAACTTCCAATTTGATTCCACAGTTCTACAAAAATGCAGCTAGGTTTTCAGCATCTGGAGACTGGTGTGTCTTTAATAGAAGGAAACATTTGGATGAGTAGCTGGTTTGAAGTAGAGGTGGTGCAGGTAATTTTTTAAAAACCGTGCATAGATAGCATATGATGAAACTTTTAAGAAGAAATGGTTTATAGGCAGTTGAAAAATCCCATACTGGAGTTGGGATATGAGGGAAGAGGCTAAAAGAAGATCAAGTTCCTTCCTCAGGCCAGCTGGAAATTGTTAATGGTTTGATTGTTAATGGTGGATAATTGTTAATGGTTTCTTGTTTGATGACATATAAATGGCCACGCTTGGCTACATATAATTTGTATATGACTTTATGATATGCAGCGCTCTCCCGCATGCTCTCCCTTACTACACCAGATGAGGGCAGCTGCCAACCTCCAGGTCAACTGGCCTTGGCTATCACACTCTAGCTTTGGTCTCCTCCTTATAGTGACCCAGAGAACCCATTCTGCCTGGAAAATATAATGACAGAGGATATTACTTAATATCTTCTTTATAGAAGGCATCTGCTAGGCATTTTACCTATAATAACTCTCCCATAAAATTCTTATAACAACCCTCTAAGGTAGGTTTTTAATCCTAAATTAACCACTAACCACTTCTCTCCTGTTCCATTCTGGTTCTAGCCCCCATCACCTCCTTCCTGGATTACTGCAGTAGCCTCCTAACTGGTCTCTCTGCTTCTATTCTTCTCTCACTACAGTCTATTTCCAATAGAGTAGCCAGAGTGATCCTTTTAAAAGATAAATCAGATTATGTCATCCCTCTGCTCCAAACTCCACAATAGAGGGTTGCCATTGTATTCAGAGGTCCTACATGGACTGTTCCCTGATTTCCTCTCTGACATCCTTTCCAATGACTTTTCCCCATGCTCACTACACTCCCTTTCCTAGAACATACTTGGCATGCTTCTTGCCTTTAGGATCATTGTCAGCTGCTTTTGTCTACATCCTCTCCAGCAGATGCCCTCATTTATAATTCCTTCACCTGTTCCAAGTCTCAGCTAAAATATTATCTTCTCAGAGAGGACTACTCTGACCATCTTTTAAAAGATGTAACCCAGCTGGGCGCCGTGGCTCATGCCTGTAATCCCAGCACTTTGGGAGGCTGAGGTGGGCAGATCACTTGAGGTCAGGAGTTTGAGACCAGCCTGGCCAACATGGTGAAACCCCATCTCTACTAAATAAACAAAAATTAGCCAGGTGTGATGGTGTGCACCTGTAATCCCAGCTATTTGGGAGGCTGAGGCAGGAGAATTGCTTGAACCCGGGAGGTGGAGGTTCAGTGAGCTTGGGAGCGTGCCATGGCACTCCAGCCTGGGCAACGGAGCAAGACTTGGTCTCAAAAAAAAAAAAAAAAAAAGGTGTAATCTGACCTTTTCTTTCTTTTACAGATCTCACCACATTCTGTAATTTTTGTTTGTTTGTTTGTTTGTTTGTTTGTTTGTTGAGATGGAGTCTTGCTCTGTCGCCCAGGCTGGAGTGCAGTGGCACGATCTCGGCTCACTGCAAGCTCCGCCTCCCAGGTTCACGCCATTCTCCTGCCTCTGCCTTCTGAGGTAGCTGGGACTACAGGTGCCTGCCACCACACCCGGCTAATTTTTTGTATTTTTTTTTTTTAGTAGAGATGGGGTTTCACCGTGAGAGCCAGGATGGTCTCTATCTCCTGACCTTGTGATCCGCCGGCCTCGGCCTCCCAAAGTGCTGGGATTATAGGCGTGAGCCACCACGCCCGGCCTACATTCTGTAATTTTATATAATTTTCTAATGTAGTATATTTATTATTTTTGGTCTGTCTCCCTCTGTTAGAATGGGAACTCTGTGAGGGCAGGAATATTTATCTGTTTAGTTTGTTAATGAATCTCATGTACCTAGAACAATGCCTGGTGTACAGTAATTGCTCGATAAAGACTACTGAATGACTGAATCCCCATTTTAGAACAGAGGAAACTGAGTTTAGAAAGATGAACGAACAATTTTTCCTATGCAGCACAGCTAATAAGTTACAGAGCCAGGCTTCAGGCCACCATCTGTTTTATTCCTCCCACAAGATAAAGACTTGGGAATAGATGAATTCCCTAAAAGAAGGAGACTAGATGGAGAAAAGCAGAGGGACTGATGTCTGAGATTCAAGTTGTAGCTCAGTTATGAGACAGGAACAAGGAAGAGATCCAGTTGTGGGGATCAGAAGGGACAGAAAGAATTCTTGGGTATTAAATACATGGAGAGAGAGAAAGAGATACTAAATAAAATGGACATTAGCTTTGTTCTTTGCAAAAGATAGATCAAGAATAATAAAGACTAAGGGGAAAAAACCCAACAACCTTTAGATTTGTTTGAAATAATTAATGAAGACCTTAGGAAAAAAACAGACTTAATGAAGGAGTGAAAGTAGATATAGGTGATTAAGAAGTAAAAAACAATCATTCCTAATATTTCCTGGAATTGTATTGAAAACACAATATGAGGCAAAGGGCAGTAGTTGAAAGTAAAGTCAAAAGTCTTTTTTAAAAAATTGAAGCTTATTTGAAGGCAGAAGTGGCAAGAGAGATTGAAGTAGCTAGAAAGACTATGTAAATGTGGACACACTGAGAAAGAAGGGAGGGTATGTGGAACTCATAGGGAGAATTATGGCCTGGTATCAAGAATGATAAAATACTGAAAAATATATCCTGCTTCTAATTCCACTTCTGTCAAATGGAAAGTGGAGTCCATTAACTCATCATGGCAGAGTCCTCCACTCTGTCTTCTCTGAGTCACACAGAGCAGAAGGCAGGAGGCACATAGAAGCCCAGTAACTGCAAGAGAGTGTGGGGCTGTGATAGAATCTCCAGTAGGTTCCTGTCAGTCCCCACCCCTCACATTTGTATCTTTCTTATAATAGACTAATTTTGTAAAACAAAAGATTCTTTTTTTCTTTTTCTTTTCTTTTTTCTTTTCTTTTTTTTTTTTTGAGATGGAGTCTTGCTCTGTCACCCAGGCTGGAGTGCAGTGGCACGGTCTCAGCTCACTGCACCTCCGCCTCCTGGGTCTCCTGGGTTCAAGCCATTCTCCTGCCTCAGCCTCCCCAGTAGCTGGGATTACAGGCACCCACCACCATGCCCAGCTAATTTTTGTATTTTTTTTAGTAGAAACGGGGTTTCATCACGTTGGCCAGACTGGTCTCGAACTTCTGACCTTGTGATCCACTTGCCTTGGCCTCCCGAAGTGCTGTGATTACAGGCGTGAGCCACCGCGCCTGGCCAAGATTTCTTTATTCTTTGGGAAAATTGATTTTTGGATAATATATTCACATGGTTTTAAATCATAGACATTTAAAAATACTCAGTAAATCCCCCTCTCATCCTTATCACTCCATCTTGAATTCTCACTTCACCATATGTGATCACTATTGTTTTTAGTACTTACATATTTTTTAAGAAGGCCTTTACATATATAAGCCAATGAAAACAAAAATTTTAAGGCAATATTTTTAAAACTGGGGAATCAGTTGTAACCATTCCCTTTCCACAAATAAAAACTCCTAGTAAACTCTGAGTTCCCAAGGGATGGTCTGTTCCCAATCTTTTTCTGAGGGTTGAGGGGATTTTGCTTAACTCTGGCTGATTTACCCAGAACCCATTGTGTGAATAAATTACTAGAGCATCTTAGGTCTGAGTGCTCAACACCTACGGGAACTTCTCAAGGCCTAAAATTCAAAGCCAGAAGCGAAGTCAAGTAATGGAAACAGACACATTTGTTCCGATACATTCAAGAAATAGAATAAAAGCAATAAGGAGATAAAAGGGAAGAATATATCTGGAACAGATGAAATCAAACAGAATGGTGAAAAATTAACTTAGCATGATACCTGGACATATGTGGTATAAGTAATAGGGATTGGCAAATTATGGCCTGTGAGCCAAATGTGGCCCAATACCTGCTTTTTAAAATATTATTTTATTGGAACTCAGCCATGGTGTTTGTCTGTGGCTGCTTTTGTATTTCAGTGACAGAGTTGAATAGTTGTGACAGAGACCATGTGGCCTAAAAAGATTAAAGATTTACTCTCTTGCCTTTTACAGAACAAATTTGCTGACCCCTGCTCTTGAGTAAGGAAGAAGAGAGGGAGATAATTTCTGATCAGCATCTACTGTGTGCCAGGATCTGAAGTAGATTCTTTCATTTAATTTATATAACAAGCATATGGAAGAGCTGTTATTGGTCTCATTTTACAGATGAGGACTCCAGGCTTAAATGCAAATGACTTGCTCAGGGTCATAATGCTGCAAAGTGTGAGAGCTGGTATTCCAGCTGGGATGCCAGAGCTAACTTGGTTTTCTCCATGAGATATAGTCAAATGCCAGGGAATTTAGACAATAATCACATATGCAAATAAAATCGATTTATGAAGCCCACAGACCACTACTAGATTAGTAAATGAACAGTGTGACTTCTTCCTCATGACCTGAAGAGAGATGAACTGGTTGGTAAGTAGCCACTTGTATAAGGTGGGTAATTATTGATGCTGGGTTAACAGCTGTATAATTCCTATGGGAGCTGACAGAAAGCAGCACAGGGTATGCCATCTCAGTGAAGCATTTCAGGAGATCTGTCCTTTGGGATATAGCGCATGGTCCGCCTCTCACATTTTGGGCTTCCTGCTGCCATTAAATTCTCAAAACTTGTCCTGGAAGATACGACTTAGTCAAGTTGGACTCAGTGATACAGAATCGATGGATGCATGACATAGCTGAGCCTGTTTGTCCACAAGAGATGTAAATGTCTTCATATGCCAAATTAGAGCATCTTGATTATAGTTCAATGACTTAGCTGTTGTATTTTGTCCTAGAGACATCTATAATCTAATTTAACAAACTTCTTCGGTGCCAGCTAAGGATGTCCTTGCACATAAGTTATCTTGGACTCATGGCAGCAAATATTTAGCTGAGTTCTTCCTCTTTGTAACTAGACTGTAAAATTGCAATCAAGTATGCTCCCAGTTTTGTGGTAGCAGCACAAATGTGGCTACCATTGCACTTGCTAGAGATGGAGCTGGGAAGTGGTGGTTAGTACCTGTGTATAATGAAGGTAGAGAAGTTTTTCCCCCGAGATTAACTTGGCACTCATTTTTACATTTCTTTTCCAAGAGGTAGAATGGGTCCAGAGGAACGCATCCTAGCATTCATACTGATGATAGCAGCCATTAAGAAGTATCATGTCCTTCTGAGTTTTCTTTATTGTGGTAAAAATATGATATAACAAAATGTGCTATCTTAACCATTTTTTAAGTGCACAGTTTAAGAATATTTGCATGGTTGTAAAACAGATCTCCAGAACGTTTTCATCTTGCAAACCTGAAACTCTATACCCATTAAATAACAACTCCCCTTTCCCTCTCCCTGCTGTCCTCGGGTAACCAACATTCTACTTTCTATCTCCATAATTTTGACTGTTCTAAGTATCTCCTCTAAGTGGAATCATATAGTATTTTTCTTTTTGTGACTGGCTTGTTTGACTTAGCATGTCCTTAAGGTTCATCCATGTTGTAGCATGTGACAGGATTTCTTTCCTTTTTAGGGCTGAATAATATTCTATTATGTGTTTATTCAACATTTTGTTTATCCATTCATCTGCCAGTGGACAATCTGGGTTGCTTCCACCTTTGGCTATTGTGAATAATGCTGCTGTGAACATGGGTGTACAATTATCTCTTCAAGACCCTGCTTTCAGTTCTTTTGGGTATATACCCAAAAATTGGATTGCTGGATGTTTTTTTTTTTTGAGGATCATGTATATTTTTTGAGGAATCTCCATGCTATTTTTCAAAGTAGTTACACCATTTTACAATCCCACCAACAGAGTACAGAGTTCCAGTTTCCCCACATCCTTGCCAATACTTGTTACTTTCTAGGTTTTTTTAAACAAAAATAGTAGCCATTGTAGTGGGTGTAAGGTGATAGATCATTGTGGTTTTGATTTCCACTTCTCTGATGAATAATGATGTTCAGCATCTTTCCATATACTTGTTGGCTATTTGTATATCATCTTTGGAGAAATGTCACATCCATTACCCATATTTTAATAGCGTTATTTGAGTTTTGTTGTTCAGTTGTAGGAGTTCGTTATATATTCTTTTTTTGTTTTTTTAATTGAGACAGGGTCTTGCTCTGTCACCTAGCCTGGAGTGCAGTGGCATGATCACAGCTCACTGTGGCCTTGACCTCCCAGGCTCAATCGATCCACCTGCCTCAGTCTCCTGAGTAGCTGGGACTACAGGCATGCGCCACCACACCTGGCTAATTTTTGCATTTTTTGTAGAGGCAGGGTTTTACTCTGTTGCCCAGGCTGGTCTCAAACTCCTGGGCTCAAGCAATCCACCTGCCTCAACCTCCCAAAGTGCTGGGATTGCAGGCATAAGCCCCCGCACCTAGCCCATTCTGACTATTAACACCTTATTATATGTATGATTTGCAAATTATTTTCTCCCATTCTGTAGCCTATTTACTCTGTTGGTGGTGTCCTTTGATGCATCAAGTTTTTAAGTTTGATGTAGTTTCATTTATCTATCTTTGCTTTTGTTGCCTGTGGTTTTGGTGCCATAACCGAGAATTCACTGCCAAGCCCAACATCATGAAGTTTTTCCTCAGTGTTTTCTTCCAGGAGGTTTATCATTTTGGGTCTTATGTTTAGGTCTTTGAGTTCTCTCTCTCTCTTTTTTTTTTAAATTTCAATGTAGTTCCCACCCATATTTTAAGGGTCTCACTCTTGGCTTTCTTTTAGGATAAGACACAGCTACAAGGCTAAGACCAAGTCATCTTCTGGAATTTGTCTTGGAAAAAAAAAATACTTTTGAGAGCCCTTTTTTTGTTCTTGTTGGTTTGTTTTTGTTTTTTGAGACAGGGTCTCACTCTGTCATCCAGGCTGGAATGTGGTGGCGTGATGATAGCTCACGTCAAGTCTCCACCTCCTGGAGCTTAGTTGATCTTCCCACCTCAGCCTACCCAGTAGCTGGGACTACAGGTACACACCATCATGCCTGGATAATTTTCATATTAATTTTAGTATTTTTTGTAGAGACAACATTTCACCATGTGCCCAGGCTGGTGTCGAACTCCTTGGCTCAAGCCATCCTCCATCTTGGCCTCCTAAAGTGCTGGGATTATGGACAGGAGCCGCCGCATGGCCCATTATAGCCTACTCTTTTAAAAAAAGTCCTGTCTAGCCATTATTTACTGGATTTGAGATTCAAATAAGTCCCATTTGAAACACAGCTGTATCCTTTTTTATTCACCCACAGAGTAACTTGCAATCACGATTCTGCTATAAATTCAATTCTTACTTGCCTTTGATGTTTCTTTTATACCCACCATGCACCAGTGTTCCTAGTGTTGATGGAGTGGTAGTGTGCTCTACACTACTTGGATGTTGATAATGATCTCTTATGAGTATCCTTATCAGGAAGCGTCTTGAGGCTATGGAATTCCACTTTTCTTCACTGGCATTCCATTTTGCATGTGCCTTTCCCTTATGCTAACTTTTTCATTCACAGTTGCTAGTCCTCCTCTTGTCTCTGTATTCTCTCTTCCTTTTATCTTCTTTCCCATTGCTTTTCTTTACTTTTCTTCTGGATCTAGTTTTCACTCTCTGTCACCCATTTTTTTTTAACTTTCCTTCCTTGAGAGTATCTTCTACTTTCTTCCTCTAGTGTTGTCCTAGAGACTTTCAGATTCCAAATATGATGACACTATGAGTTGTCTCTTCATTACCATTCAAACTGGAGCCCTTGATCTTTTCAGTGCATTTCTGAATCTTTGAAATATGTATCCAAAAAGTCAAGGAATTGTTTAGATACAAGAATAAAGAAAACTAGGATTTAGTTAAATACCAAGGAAAAAGCCAGATTCTTAAAGAATTGGGTAGGTTCAGTTTTGTAATTAAAATGAGAAGATTCAAGAATCCTAAAGGATCACAGATTGAACATGAGTTGACAGTGCACATAATTATTAAACAAAAAGTATAGAAGTTTAATACTGTAGAAACTCTGAATACTTTTTAATTTTTATGATGCACAATCTAAAATTTTGTTTTAGGTCCTGGATGTAGTACTTGAGGTAGATATGGCAACATAATTCAAGGCTCTGTGTCTGTTACATAAGACAATATTTGGTAAGTGCCAAGGGAAAATTCATGCAGTGGGAGAACAGAAAAAAGAAGATAATACAAATGTAGCTTGATGAAGCATCACAGGAGAGGGAATACTTGATCTGGGCCTTGAATGATGAGTAGAATTTATATAGCAGAGATGAGGAGGCATAATGTTAGTGACAGGAACTTGTGCATATGCCAGGGTGGAGGGCAAGAATATTCAAGGTATGTTTGGGTGATAGTTAAGAGAAATCGTTGGTGTTTTGGAGTATAGGCTAAGCCACTATAAACAAAGAGACCCCAAAATACAATAAGATAGAAGTCTCTTTCTCTTTTACCTAGAGGCAGACAGTCGAGGGAAGATAGAGGTCGTCCTGAGGTCCAGGTTGCTTCTCCCTCTTGCTCTTCTATGGCTCACCACCAATACCATGTCTGCATTCCAGCTCACAAGAAGGGGAAAATGGAGGGCAGCCACCTTTCTTCTTATGGATACGACTTAGAAGTTACACATGCCACTTTTGCTCGCATCCCACTGGCCCACTTTGTCACATAGCATTACCTGACCTCAAAGGCGTTTTGGAAATTAGCCTCTAAGCTATGAATATTGGGAGGAAGGTGTCTCGTAAACTAACTACTAGTTAGAAATAACTTTGTTAGAGGAAGGTGAATGTGAAGTTAGAAAGAATAGGGCCAAGATATGAGGGACTTTGAATTCCAAGTGTTTGCATAGCATAGACACAAAATCAATACTATTGAATGCATGAATAAATGAGTAGTTAAGGGAATGAGTAAGTGAACGTATCATTGAGTTTGAACTTTATTCTCTAGATCAGGGCTACAAACTAAAATTAAGAGGCCAGGAAGATAGTATAAATGAATCATAAAGCCAGCTGTAAATGGGGAGTGATGGGACTGAATCACCTGGAAGATATGTGACATGTCTTAAGGGCAGCCACTACTCAGCTCCAGCTGATAGTTGCATGGGAATGTGGGCCATTTGTGCCAAGATTTTGGAATTTTTAAAAAGAAGGAAGAAATCTGGGTTTTATGTGACATCTCCCAATTTTTAGATGTTGGATCTGAACAATTTTTAAATAGGTCAAATAAAAACACATCTTTGGGATAGTTTGGACTTTAAGTCACTAATTCGCAATCTTTGCGAAGATGGGAAACTACTTAAAATGTTTGGCCCAGAGAGTTGGTAGTTTAAGAAGGTTAATCTGACTGTGGTATGCTGGGCACACCTCTAGCAGTAATTTTCAACTGTGACTGCAAATTACAATCACTGGGAAGCTTTAAAAAAATAAAAAAACCTCTTTATCCACCCCAGACCAATTAAATCAGAATCCCTGGGGTTGGGTATTTTTTAAGTTCTTCAAGCAATTGTAATGTACAGTTGCGGTTGGGAGGTAGTCCTCTAAGCCTAATCTTTTTTTTTTTTTTTTTTTTTAAGGCAGAGTCTTGCTCTGTTGCCAGGCTGGAGGGCAGTGGTGCAATCTCCTCTAAGCCTAATCTTAAGGGTTATTGAAATAGCCTAGACATGTGGTAAAAGGGTCTGAACTGTGGGTCTGGAAGCTGACTGAAGAAAGAAATAGATAGGTGGGAGATATTATAAAGGGCAAATTGATAAAATTTTGTGGCTGTTTTAAATAGGAGAGTAGAAGAGGAAAGGAGTCAAAAAGAGTTGAAATTTCAAGCTGAAATTTGGGGGCTGGGAGATATAAGGAATTTAACAAATGTCTCCAAGGCATACATAAACTTAAGATACACAGTAGATGAATGGGGCCCAAATCCAGTTTGGGAATTCTAAGTCAACATAACATTTTAAAAGGTAAGGCTGCACAATTCTTTTTAAGGATAATAAAAATCTTTTGTGTATATTTTATTTGTTGCAATGCCAGGACAAAAACTGTATATTAACATTGCTAATGGATTTGTTGAGACATGTCAGGATCATTGCGCAAGGTTGGTCCAGAAGAACCGTAGGGATCCAAAGCAAATTCCTTGCTGTTTAACATTAGGAATGTTTCAGTCCTGCCTCAGTTTGGTTTCTGTAGAGCTTTCAATGGGTCTTGAGTTGTTATCAGTGATGATTTAGCACCACCGTGAGGCTGTATCCAGTCACTGCATATGGCTGTTGGCCTCTGCAATATATACGGAAGATGATCTGCCCTTTTGTTTGCAGCTTTAAACATCAAGGTGAAAATAGTTCTTTGTAATTTTCTTCGTATGGAAAGGTTATGATGCAATAATATCTTGTATTAAGATGATAACAGTGCCTAACTGCATTTGATGGCAAATATTACTATCGTGATGAAACTCAAAAGATGGATAAACTCAACATTGCGTTTTTATTATTTATTTATTTTTTTAGCGTTGCATTTTTAAATTCAACTAAAATGATTCTTGGAACTTTAGTGAATTATTCTTTATCTTTAATCCCGAAGTCATAATTTTGTGTTGCTGGTAGGATGTTTCAGAAAAATAACAATTTAAATACAAAACAAAACTTTGTTATTTCTTGTCCCCTTGCAAACTGTCGGGCAGAATGCTAAGGGGTTTATTCACTTAGTACATCACTTCATTTAATTCTCAAGAAAAAAATTCTTCCTTGATGCAGACACTGTTACATTATATTTTCATTTTATAAATTAGAAGAGACAGAAGTTAGTAATTTACTCAAGGATATAGAACTTAAACATTGGGCTCAGTTCACAATCCCTCATTTTAATTATGAAAACTTGAATAAGTCACTTAAAGCTTACTGTATAAGTCTTCTAGTCTTCAAAATGAGATGTTAATTATGTTTGTCATGCCTTTGCTCAGATTATTGTATGAAACTACAAAGAGCAAAGGGGTCATTGTAAATCTAAAGGCTACATAAATATTAGTTTTATTATTATTGTGACTTTTCCTATGAATCTAGGGAATTAGCACCATATATATTAGAAATAACTAGGGTAAGAACCTTAATTCTGCCCCTAAGTAGCATCGTGACCTTGGAAATGTAACCTCGCAAGCCTCAGTTTTAAAAAATAAATATTAATAAAGGAATAGAATTGAATGACCTATAAATACTTTTCTGTTCTGAAATTTTATGAGAGACTAACTGTGAGGAATAACTAAGAGAAGCACTCATTTCTTTGTACAATATTCCTTGGCGTATATCACTTCAACATGGCTGACTTTGTGTTCCTTGGAACTTTGGGTGAACTCAAGTTTCCCTTAGAAGATCCTAATGGTAAGTGAATGTGAGGCTGTGACATTAACGAGCCTGGAGGAATGAGCCATTCATGCTGCATTCCTAGCACTGTAATATGACAAGAGCCAGACATCCTTGAGGAATTTGGGGCCTGGCTAGAGTTTATAAGATGCCAAGAGACCAGGGCCAGTGGTGACAGTAAACAAGTGAGTTACCCAGTAAGAATTAGATATGGATTAGCCTGAATTTATGGCAAATAAGGTCAGCTAAGTGAAGCAGTTAAAAACATTTGCCTTGGCAGACTTGTCATTGTGATGCCTTAAAATTACCCATCAGCACTGAGGCTTGTGCTCTGTTCAGACAATATGGGGGGAAATCATTTCAAGAGTGTGGGTTCTGTTTCAAGGTCACTCATGATGTCAGGCCCTGTCTGAGGTTATAGAATTTTCTATCTAAGAATGATAGGCTTGAATTTTGCATGGTGATTAAGCAACTTTATCCAGGAAAGGTGCTGCCTGTAATATCTGCTTCATACGCTTTCCATTCTCAGGTTGATGAGGCTCAGTGCATTGCTTTTTAGGAAGCCCAGTGGCTTTACTATTTACCTTCATGTTTTGTCTAGGAATAAAGGAAGTTGTATTTTCTTTTTTTAATGCTTTAAGAAAAACTGGAAAGGTGTCATTTATAGATGATACTCATATTTTTGGATTTGTCTAGAGACTAGTACTACTTGCTTGAGAAAGGCGTATGTGTGTGTGGGTGGGGAGGGAGTCATAATTGGAGATCTAATACTCTTTTTTCTTCCTACCTGAGCCCCAAAATAAAACTGACAAGTTGAGCTAACAGAAATACTTTTGCTTTTGATTTATTTTCTATAGCATAGAGAAGACTATCGGTAGTCTTTTAAAGTAAAGTTTCAGGCCAGGCCCAGTGGCTCACACCTGTAATCTCAGCACTTTGGGAAGCTGAGGCATGTGGATCACTTGAGGTCAGGAGTTCAAGACCAGCCTGGCCAACATGGTGAAACCCTGTCTCTACTAAACATATAAAAATTAGCTGCGTGTGGTGACAGGTGCCTGTAGTCCAAGCTACTCAGGAGGCAGAGGCAGGAGAATTGCTTGAACCTGGGAGGCGGAGTTTGCAGTGAGCCGAGATTGCACCACTGCACTCCAGCCCAGGTGACAGAGCGAGACTCCATATAAATAAATAAATAGATAGGTAGATAGATAAATAAATAAAGTTTCAGGCTGGATTCTGTAGTGTAGTAATCACATTCACCTCACAAAGTTTCATTAAAGCTATTTTCCTTATCCTATCCTTATTACATCTAAAGTTTTATATTGTTTGGTGCATGCCATTGTATTTATTCCTGTTAAGAAGACTGTTGACCAGAGTCTTCTTAATAGGATGTAGGGTCCATGAAGAATTATATCTGTGCCCATTTCACTTTCTAGACACACTTTTATACAAGGGAAACATGGCTGGGAAGAACTTCCAAAACCACCTTGCTCATGGTACCAAAAGGATGAATATTCAGAAAATTAGTAGATGGAACTCCACAGTAAAGGAAAAGATACATTCATAGTAAGAGATTTCTGGGGGAATGCATATTAATGGGTGAGGGCATTCTTTGGTGCTGGATGGTTGTGAAGCATGGTGACTATGAATGTGGGCTCTGGAGCCATATTGTGTAAACCATGTCTCAGCTTATCACCTGTGTTACAATACCTGTGCTATTGTAAGCAGGTGACTTGACCTCTCCGTGCTCCAGTTTCCTCCTGCAAAGGAGAATTAAAAATCATATCTGCCACAGAGAGTCATGATTAAATGTCTTAAAATGTGTAAAGAGCTCAGAATAGTACCTGGCATGTAGTAAACACTCAATAAATGTTAGCTCTTGTGGTTGTTATTGTTGTTCTCATTATTAGTACTGTGGGGGGGGAAGGGTCAGGTCTTAGCAGCTCCTTGTATAGAGATGACTGGTCTTTTGACATCAAATGCCACCACCTTGTTTTTTCCTTCCACCTTCAGCCACCTTGGTTATCATGGAGCTTCAGCCTCCCATACAACTCTCACCCACAGTGGTTAAGGGTGCTCTTCGCCCTTCGTGGGACCTGTGATGGCCACCCCAGGTTCCTGCACCCTCTTCTCTGTAAGACTCTGCCTTGTCTTCCTGCCTTGTCAGATGATTCTTGAATTGTATTAGAGATAATTCTCCTCTAAGTGGCCCAATAATTTTAGTTAATGTACTTCTTTGACATCTTAGGAAGTTTATATAGGGAAATTTATGCTATGCATGTGTGTTCAGACAAATACAAACAACATTCTAATTTATAATTTTGTCACACAACAACCTTATGAATAATATATACTTATTTATTTATAATTGGTATTTATACATACAGTCGTTCCTCAGTATCCGTGGGGGATTCGTTCCAAGACCCCCTGTGGATATCAAAATCAATGATGCTCAAGTCCCTTATGTAAATTGTATAGTATTTGCATATAACCTACACACCTTGTGTATGCTTTAAATTATCACTAGGTTACTTGTAATATCTAATATAATGTAAATGCTATGTAGATAGTTGTTATACTGTATTGTTTAGAGAATAATGACAAGAAGAAAAAGTCTATACATGTTTAGTACAGATGTCACCATCCATTTTAAAGAAAATATTTTCAATCCAAGCTTTGTTGAATTTACGGATGTAGAACCCACAGATATGGAGGGCCGACTGTATTTATAATACATATTTATAATTATATGCTTATAAATAATAATTCTTACAGAACTCTTTACCTAGAGGTAGATTCATTACAGTATATTAAGGGATGAAAAAGGAAGGGCCTGTAATAGGTTTTGAACTGTCCCTCAAACCCCTGATTGCTAAATATACGAAGATTGAGAAAGTGTATTGGAAAGGCAGCAATAGATTGGGATGATTTGTTGGGAGAGGAGCATTTGAGCTTGATCTTGAAGGATAGATATAGTGAATGGAGTAGAAGGCATTGGGAGGGTATGTGGAAGACTCCAAAGATCAGTTCCCTAATTGGAAGAGGGGCAAGTTGTCTGAATGTCTCAGGCTTTGAAGGAAGCTCTATATGCAAGAACCTCAGATGTTAACAGTCAGAAGGCATGAAAAATCATTCAGCTCAATGCCCTCATTTTACAAGTAGAATCTGTCTCTCCCAAGCCACAGTACTTCCTGTTAGAACATCCTGTCTCCTGGTTATTACCAGATCTTGCAAGCTTGTCACAAAGTGGCAGCAAATACTTTCTTTCCCAAGATCAACACTAAATGTTTCCAGTGCTCTGCAGCTGTTGGCTCTTTATCTTTCTATCCTTGAGAGACTTTGAGGAAATCCCTTTTCTCTGAATTCTGTTTATGTTTAAAGAGTTTCACAGTTGATTTTGAGGCACAGCCAGTGTCAGAATCATTGAGATAGACAACAGAATGACGGACAGAGTGAACAAAGTTGAGTGCATTGCATTCTTGGGCCTCATAATGTAGATGACACAGGTGGATCTTCCCTTTACGTACTGTTCCTAGGCTATCTCATCTGTGCCCATGGTCTTTAGTACACCCTGTATGTTGCTTTCTCTTACTAGATCTTGCTGTAGAGTTCCAGGCTTATACAACTAGCTGTCTTATTAAATGCTTCAACTGATTAAGTTGAGAAACCAAATTTATGATACATAATATCATATTCATGATCTTCCTGCAAAACTATTTTTGTAATGCTTCAAGAAAAACTGGAAAAAATTCTCCTTCTGAATTTTGTATTTCCTCTTTCAGGGAATGGTACCTCCAACCAAAATAGAAAGTTGGCAGTCATCCCAGATTCTAACATCTTTCTCATCATCCATCAAATCCAATTAGTCCTGTCCATTCTACCTTTGAGTACTCTCTATAACCTAGCAGGTTCTGCCCATGTCCACTGAGCTGCTTTAGTTTAGCCTTATCAACTTCTTCAGAGTGCTATAGCAGCCTTTTAACTGGCTTCTCTGCTCTCAGCCTTTCAACTGGCAATCATTTTCCACACTGCAGCCAGAGTGAGTCTTCTAAGAAGCCAATCAGATTCTCTCACACTCTGCATCAAAACTTTAATGACCATTCCATTGTCTTCAGGATAAAGTACAAACTACAGAGCATGTTGTCTGTGGCCTAGCTCCTGGCCAGACTCTGCAACCTCATTTCTAAGTGTTTCGTATTTGTCTTTTGAGTGTTAGTTAGCCAGGATCAGCTACTTGAGAGTTCTCAGAATAAGCTGTTCTCTCTTGGGCTTCATTTTAGGAATGCCATTCTCTGCTCCTCTTAGTCCCCTCTATTCTTTTTCTGAATCACTTACACTTATCTGTCAGGGCTCAATTTCCTGTGATTTCCTCCAGGAAGTCCCCCTTGATGCCCAAAGAGTGAGTTACATGTCTTTTCAATGGCTCCTGAGCACTTGGGATGATCTACAGCAAGAGGTTCTCACAGTATGGTCTCGGCACCTGTAGGGGCTCTCAAGACCCTTTCAGGGAGTCCACAAGGTCAAAGCTATTTTCATATCAACACTAAATGTTATTTACCTTTTTCACTTTCATTCTGTGTATAGCAGAGTTTTCCAGAAGCTCCATAACACGTGATATTGTAATAGATTAAATGCAGAAGTAGAAATAGAAATCCAGCCATTTTCTATTAAGCCAGACATTCATAAGATTTGAATACAGCTAAAATAATGCCATTCTTTTCACTGTTTTTGAAAATGTTCATATATTTATGTTAATATATATTATTATTTTTAGTTAATACATATTTTTAAATTGTTAAAATGAATATTGATAAAGCTCAAAGAAGCAAAAACTTTCTGGGGATCTCAATAATTCTGAATAGGAGACTCAAGATTAAAAGTTCAAGAACCATGAGTCTGCATTATCATACATCTCATGCTTTATGTTGCTCTGAACCCTTTAAGAGAAGAATCTGGGTTATGTGTATGTGAGTCCCAAGGGCCTAATACAATTTCTGATACATAGTAAACTCTCAATAAATTTTTTTTGAATAAACAACTTAATACACACATGTATGTTTACTCATACACATGGAGTTCGAACAAAAAAAGGCAATTTAGTCCTTACTTCAGCTGGCCTAGTGCTATCCAATAGTGTACTCAATTTGCTAAGCCAATAGTACTTTGAAGTTTTACATTATTCTTAAAAACTCTAGTTCTGTACTTTTTTTTTGACCTCTAGAAATCTTTTCTAAAAGATGTCTATGAAAACTTTAAAAATGAACAATTAGGTCTGCGTACTTGATTACACAGCACCTAAGTTCTTCTGGCTCAGCTACCTACTGGTGAGTGAATGTTATCTGTCAAGTACTTAATTTTTTTTTTCTTAGAGACAGAGTCTTGCTCTGTCACCCAGGCTAGAGCGCAGTAGTGAATCAGAGCTCCTGCAGCCTGGAACTCCTGGGCTCAAGCAATCCTCCCACCTCAGCTTCCAGAGTAGCTGGACTACAGGTGCACACCACCCTGACCAGCAAGTGTTTTATTTTTTGTAGAGATGGAGTCTCACCATATTGCCCAGGCTGGTCTCAAACTCCTGGACTCAAATGATCCTCCTGCTTTGGCCTCCCAAAGTGCTGGGATGACAGGCATGAGCCACCGTGCCCAGCCTACTTACCTTTTCTGAGCATCAGATTCCTCATCTGTAAAATGGAGGGAGCTTTGAACTAGATTAATTCTAAGAGCCTTTTGAAAATTGGGTCTGTGCTTCTAATCTCTATGGGAACCTTTCTTTCTCCTTTACCCCTTTCCAAACAGATGTGTTTAGATAATACTGTTTTCTGTCTTCTTGGCTCCCATGACAGTACATTGGTTGAGTTGTTAGCATTTACTGATTTGCCGCCCTGAAGCTCTCTGGTAGAAAGTTGGCCGTAGCATTTTCTTGCTCGTTCAGTATGATAAACTCTTCACATGGAATTCCAATTTTTTTTCTAAAAATAATAACTTTATTATTGCTGAATAATAATTTTGTTATATATTCCCTGGAGGAAATTTAGAGTACTTAGATAAACAACAACTCAACAATCACATGTAATCTTTTGAATAATCTTAGTATTCTGCAAATACTCCCATCAAGCCACACTCACTCTTGTTCCAGATATTTGATGTGCAAGAGTTCTTACTAATCAGGAAAGTATTTAGAGCTAATCTAAACAAGGAATAAAACAACATTTTCAGGTCTGTACTTCAGTGTCAAGGAGTCAGCCCTTTTCACTAAAACTTTATAGATATGTCCAGAAATGTTTATTTAAAGTGATTGATTAGCCCTAGCAAGGCTGGAGGAGACTTTGAACTGTAGAAAAAAGAAAGAAACAATGAGCAAGTGGAAAAAAGAGGAGAAGTGGGGGAAGAGAGCAGAGGAGTGGGGAACAAAGGAGGGGAGGGGCTGGAGAAGAGGAAAGAGAAAAAAGAGGCAAAACAACAATAGTCAAGGAAGAAAGAAAAGAAAGGCTGAAAAGAGAGAGCACAGAGTACAGGAAGAATGATCTAAAATAGGGCTCTGATAGGAATGATTGAACTGTGACAAGAGCTGGGGTTCTCAGAGAAGCTTGGAAAATAGGAGTGAACAACAGAGAATGTGACTGTCCTTTGTTTCCTCTCTATGGACTTTGTGGGAACAAATCTGGTTAGAGAGAGAATATAGCACAGTAGTCCAGAGCTTAGACCCTGGAACAAAACTATTTAATAACCACTTAATAGCTATAGGACCTTAAATAAATTACATAACTTCTCTATGCCTTAGCCTCTTCATCTGTACAATGGGGAAATTTGACTATTCAATAACTTCACAAGTTATTAGTAGGATAGATGGTAGATGTACCTAAATGTTAAATATTGTTAATTATAATACTAGATATGAAAAACCTACAATTAAACCATTAAACTATCATAATCCTAAATTCTAAGTTATGAGTATCTCAGGTGCTCATTTGAGACTTAAAGGCAGATAAAGATGATCTGATCTGCTTATCCAGTGTCTTGGAGGATTGGGGGTGCTTGAAGCAAGGTCTCACCTAGAGCAAGTCTGCCAAGCTTTGGGGCAGTCATACTACCTGAATGAGGGGTCCCCAGCTTCATACCTGACAATGTTGGGAGCTTGTAAAGTGTTTGATCTTGTCTGTGCTTCAGTTTCCTCACTATAAAATGGAGAGTGCAGTAATATTGTATCATAGGGTTGTTGTAAGGATTATGTAAGTGCCTGGTGTGTAGTAAGTGCTCAGTTAATGTTAACCTATTGTTTGTTCCAGTTTATTCCCATTTTTTTATTTGTACCTATTTTTATTAGACTTTGATGATATGCATTCCAATCTTGTTTTGCCCTTAGAATGACTGATAATTTCTTTTTATAAACCCATAGGGAGCAACTGAATTCAAAATCTCTAGATTTGTTAGATGAATCCCTTTCCCATCATAAGAGTTAGGAATCTTTCTGGGTTCTTCTTTTCCCAGTTGAAACCACTATAAATAGTATTTGAAGAAATTGTGGATTCAGTGTAATATTCCTTCTACATGATGCTGAGTTCAGAATAGAACTTCCCACCTGGGTAGCTTTAGATAATACCATTCCATGCCATTTTGCTCTTTCTTTCCCACTGACAGTTTTTACCTTTATTCTGGAACAATTTTATCAGGAATATTTTTATATTCTAAAGCCTTCTCATTCAACCTTTAGAAAAGAAGCTAAATATTTCATTGGGCGTTTCAGTATTTGAGTTTTTTTGGTGGCATCACAGTCAACACTGACTGAAACCATTTTATTTTCTCTTCAATCTTTGTTCTAAAAGCATACACGATCTTTCCTCTTCTGTCAATTACTCGTACTGTGTTGGATTTTCTAGGTAGGAGTGTGGGTATATAAGTTAGGTAGTAGAGTCCAAAGCACAGCTTTTAACTCTCTAGCACTTTGTCTTGAGCCCCTGGGCCTTGGTGGCACATTAAGTATATAGTTAGTTGGTTGGGAAAGGTAAATTGCATTTGAGTGTTGTTATGCAAAAATCTAAATCTAGTCATTTTATGTAGAAACTATGTGTATAACGAATTATGCCCAAAAACGGAAGATTATATATGTTGGTAAATATGTATGTAAAAATCTCAATGCATAATTTTGCTTCTAAATAAAGTTCTAATTTTACTTTTCTAAAAAAGGTTCTAATTTTACTTACCTTATTTAGAGCCTAAACAAACCTTTACTGTGGATAAGAGGATCATGATGTCCTTTAGCTCTTATTTTTTGGTAGCCCCATTGCTGATGTAAAGATAGGCTCCAAAGAATGTAGCCCGTTTTGAAAAATTAAGTCAGATTATTCTGAAACTTGTGACAATTAGTAGAGAAACGTGATGCCCTCCAGATCCACTGGTCGGGTAGCTGGGTGGTGAAATTCTTGCTAACCTGCGGGTTCAGATGCTGCCCCCGTCATGCTGTCTCATTGACCATGTGAGGTGAAAGCCATGACTCCCTCTTCTAAATGCCCAGAGCATTTGCTGCCACCCCCTATATTGTGACTGTGTGGGAACTTTTTTTTTTTTTTTTTTTTTTTTTGAGACAGAGTCTGTCTCTGTCACCAAACCGGAGTGCAGTGGAGCAATCTCGGCTCACTGCAACCTCTGCCTCCTGGGTTCAAGTGATTCTCGTGCCTCAGCCTCCTAAGTAGCTGGGATTATAGGCACATGCCACCACGCCCAGCTGATTTTTGTATTTTTTCTTTTTTTTTTTAGCAGAGACAAGGTTTCACCATATTGGCCAGGATGGTCTCTATCTCCTGACCTTGTGATCTGCCCACCTCGGCCTCTCAAAGTACTGGGATTACAGGTGTGAGCCACTGCGCCTGGCCCGTGTGGGGACTTTTAAAATCCATCTCATTGCCAGCACCTAGTACAGTGCTGTAGACTTAGTGAATAATAAAACAATTTTGAGATAAAAGATGAAATTGGAACTTTTGTGAATTAGGAATGATTTTTTTTAAATAATCACTTATCAAGCTCTTGTTTTACATCAGGCTTTAAACTATACTTTTCCGATTGTCCTCATGTAATCCCACGGTGAATGTTACTGTCCCCATCTTACAGATGAAGAAACTAATGTTCAGAGACATTAAGTCATTAGGTATAAACTAAATGACTCAAATTCAGTTTTGTCTGGCTGTAGCAACTGTTTTCTTAACATTAGCCACACTGGCTTATGAGAAGCACTTTTTCCCCTCTTTTAATATACCCTTCCATGTCCCCCCAAATTAATCCTCATTTAGTTCTTCTCTTCTGATTCCTGCAAGTGTCATAGTCAAGCTGTTAAATCATCTGACTGTTCATGATTTCATACGGTGCCAGTGAGGCTTTCTGGATTCAGGTACTGAGTTTGCCACCTTCTAGCTGTAGGGTATTGGGCAGACTTCCTTACCTCTTGGGCCTCACTCTTCTCATCTGTAAAATGGGGATAACTATAGTACCTACCTCACAGGGCCATTATGAGACTTAAATGATCTACTTGTACAAAATACTTAAAACAGGTTCTGGCACATAGTGAGTACCATCTGAGGGTTATTTGTTTCAGCTAGAATTGTCCAGATGAGAGCATAATAGTTTAAAAGGTTCAACAGCAGAAGCTGACTTTTTTTTTTTTTAATATAGTGAAATAGGCCAGGTGCAGTGGCTCGTGCCTGTGATACCTTTGCTTTGGGAGGCCGAGGTGGAAGGAACACTTGAGGCCAGGAATTTGAGACCAGCCTGTGCAACACAGTGAGACCCCCATCTCTACAAAAATAAAAATAAAAAAATTATCTGGGTGTGATGGTGTGCACCTGTAGTCCCAGCTACTCAGGTGGCTGAGGCAGGAGAATTCCTTGAGCTCAGGAGTTGGAGGCTGCAGTGATCTATGATCATGCCGCTGCACTCTAGCCTTATCTCTAAAGAGACCCTGTCTCTAAAAAATAAATGAATAAATAAATACATAAAATGTAATGAAAATAGTTCACTTTTTTGATACTCTTCAGCAAGTTTCTGTGTGGAGGCAGCTAACTCGATCTAGACTGAGTCAGACATCATGCCTAATTTCTCTGTCCACTAATAAATATGAATTACTCTGAGGATGAATACACACACATTCACATACACTTCCAAACAGCAAATACCAAAAGGAATTAGCAGTTCAGGAGGGTGGCTCAACTGCCTTCTGAGAACTAAGGGCCATGTCCTCTGTGATTAAACTGAGTCAAGCCCATCTGTAATTGAGCACTGGTAGAATGGGCTCATTCAAGCATGTAACGCCCTTAAATTTTTCATTTAAATTTTCTGTGCCTTAGAAATGAACTTTACAGTAATCTTTGCTTTCTAAAAATAAATGTGTTTCTTGTTAAGCATTTAGTCTCATCACAAATTCTGTTTTAGAAAAAAACAACAGAAAATAGTGAATGAGAAGGGTAGGAGACTTAGGACTCAGCGAATTCTATCTCAGTGCCAAGACTTTAAAACTGGGAATAAATGCTACTTCTCCATGACCTGGGTCTGATAATTTGTCTGCAGGAACACTGTTTCTAGAGGGTGGTGTGGTACAGTGGGAGGAATAGACTTTGGAGTGAGATCCATGTTCAAATCCCAAGTCACTTACCTTCTCTGATCCTCAGTTTCCTCATCTGTAAAATGACCATAATCAACACCATCTCGAAGATTTGTGGTGACAACACAGCATTTACTTCCTGCTGTATACTTCCCATTTCCTCTTGTAGAGACAGAATTTTCCACTTTATTTTAATCTATAATTATATAATCCCGTTTAAAAATCACCCTTCGACTTTCAGTTCCACAAGGCAGGGGCCATATCTTGTTTTCCATTATGTGGCTGTTCCCTGGCCCCATATATGGCACAAGGAAGGCCCTCCTTTTTATTCTAGCTCCATATGACAGCCTTGCCAGAGGGCAAAGGTAACCGCCCAGACAGTTTATATTTAACCAAACAAGGCTTGTTGTAGAGGAGAAAGAGTTAGGAAAAGAAATAATGAGTATTCTTAACTTGTTGGGAGAGTGTAGCACTTTGCAAGATTTGACTGTAAGTGTTCACTGTGAAAATCATCTTCAAGTGTATTTTAGCCAGCCAAAGCCTCTAGCAAATTATTTTTCACAAACCAGTAAGTATACATTTGCATGTACTTTCACGGTGCTTCTTAGTCTTTAAAGAGATTGATGTTTTAGAAAGTTTAAAAGTAACTTTTTACCCTCACGAAGGAACTTTCAAAATGCAAATGATTTGAAAGTAGGAGGTATGCTGACAACCACTGGTAGGAGGGCCAACCACTGTTCCATTTTCTTCTGTTTGATGACCAGGATTTCTCCTGGGGGTTGAATCCTGGCTTGGTGCCAAACAAGGGTCTACAGACTCTCAAAGCCTGTATAAAATAGGAGCATGACAAAGAAGGAAACAGTTAATCCATGAGAGTGGGCAGGAGGACAGGATCTTGTGGACTAGGTCACTCTCCATGTGCTCCTGGACAGCTTGTCAGGGAGGCAAAGAAAAGTAATGGAAGAAGCAGCAGAAAGGGACAATAAGGACACTGGTAGAAAATAACAGGAAAGACACTGAACAGATACAGCAGGAGGAGTTTGAACAATGAAGGCTAAAATGCAGCCTTTCAAAGGTTTGTAATTCAGCCTGTGGCAGAGAGTAGAACATGCATAAAATGTACTTTTCATGTAGTGCAGTGGTGGCATTGGGTTATATCATGAAGAAAATCTGATTTTTATAGTCCTCTGACTTTCCAGAGAAGTAAATTTGAATTCAGAATATTAGAAACACACATAGGTAGGCCAATACTAAGAGTGAGAACAAACTTGGTTACAGACAGAATTCCGATACAGATATAATAATTTCACAATATCCAGAAGAGTGTCCCAACTCTTTATTTATTGTAATCTTTTTTGACTATTAAAATTACTTGAATTCAGGCCTTAGACATGCTATATGTTCTGCTGAAATTTTTGCCACAATGATATTTATCTTTGTATTTTCAGCAATGTCTAGTAGTGTGCTTTTTCACACATAGAAGGCACTTAATAAATATATGTTAAATGAAAAAATAAATGACCAATATTTGTTGCATTAGGATTTGATCTGTGTTTCAAAATAATTTTTAAATTTTTTTTCCATTTTCGTATGTCATCCTTATTTTCTTTCATTCACACCACAAAGATGCCAGCAGAGCTTCTGAAAATGGGCATCAAGTATTTGTTGTGTGTGTCCAAATGTGAATACACCTGCACATCCACATGGTCTGTGTATAGAGGGGCACTTTCTTGGTCTTTCTAAGCACATCTCTTGATAGGGGGAGAGTACCTAGTACACTGTCCACTGTACACAGAAACCCGGTGATAGTACACAGATAGAGGGGGCTGAGTGAAGTGGAAAAATAGCATGTGATAAAGGTATCATGAATTGAATGGACCCCAATTTTGCTTTCTTTCATGATTTCTGTTTATATTCTTGAGGCTACACATAGAAGCAGGAAGGGAGGTCGAAAGCTAGATCTCCCTAAAGGGACGGGGTGCTTAGCTTTTATTATAAGTTCGGAACACTGGGATATCTCAGGTTTCTATTGTGAGTGATGAAACTTTTTAGTATTGGCAAGAAAAGAGATAGGAAATGTGCAACAAATAAAAAGTTGTGAGGGTGGGATATAACTCAGAAGAAACCCAGAGAGAATCCTTGAGAGGACTCCTGTTTCCCCTATATCAGACAGCCTTGTTTTGCTATCTGGCTGGGATACACAGAGGTGCCATCCGGAAATGTTCACCCAGGACCAATGGGTTTTGTCTAATCTGCATCTCACAGATTTCAGCTAACTATGTAATCATGGTTCTGTTAGGAAACCTGACACATTGTTTAGTGCTTTTTGGCTAAGACTAACTTTTATGATGAAGCAACCATGCACTGACATACACACACAGGTTATTTGTGTTTGTTTTTGAAGGGGAGAAGATAGTGCATGGTTTTTTAACTAGTTACATTTCAAATAACGTCTTTCACTATTTATCTTCTTGGATTTAACCACTTGTTCCCTAAATAATATACTTTCTGACTTAATTTTCTCCCCAAACCAATTTATATGTACAGATATAACAACACAATTCTAAATACAATAGTAAAAACTGTTTAATGCTGCAAGAAGTATAAAGTACTATTTTCATCTCCCATTTATAAACCATCTAAATTCTGCTTTTCTGACTAGCATCCACAGATGACAGACAATACTTCTGTAAGTCCATCTGGTCAGCAAAGGGTCTCTTAAGTTTTCACGAAAATTTTAATTATGAGAGTATCGAGAATTAGGACTGGAGTTCTAACAGACTCTGCCCTTATTTCTGCTCACAGATTTACTGTACACATCTGAAGGGATCTATGGTAAACATCAAGTCAGATATGAACCTGTGAAATATTCTGATCCCTAGGTAGTCTACCAGATAAAGGAGTTTAGGAAATAACATTTTGAACACATGGGACACTCTACTGAGAAGACTGAGCTTGAGTAAGTGTAACTTCGATATTAAAAGAGTCAAGTATTTGGGAGGAAATGAAAAGCAAAGCAACTCTCAAATTTATGCAAATGCAGGAAAGGCGAAAGAACAGACAAACTGATACCCTGAAGATAGGAGAAGGGGCAAAATGAATGATCTTGCATGGATTCTTGGCATTTGGAAAGAGTTGCAATATGAGAAAATTAGAAAAAAAGGCTGAGTTTGGTAGATCACCAGAAAATTCACTTAGTAAGGGAATACATTGTATGAAATTTCTGAAACCTTCTCTGTTGGACATATTTTCACCTCACCTGGAAGAAAATCTTCTGAGTGATGACCAACAGAAACCTCAATGATGTTGTCAATCAGTTTAGGGTTGGAGTCTAGGACTGGAGGAATGTTAAACTACCATATAGTTCCCAGCTCAGCCAATTGCAATTGTGTAGGTCTCAGTTTGTGATTATGATGTCTCTAAGATGATATTTCTCATTAGTTTTATCAAATCTAACCAATTGGGATAGATTTTTGAAAGAATATAAATGAGAAATCTTGCATTTGTGAAATCTGGTTGTGATATGTATCCCTGGGTGTGACTCTCCTTGGAGACTTGGTACAATAGAGAGATTTTCAATAGGAAAAGCTTTTGGAAACATGTATGAATATGGGAAACCATATGATGTACCACTATGTGGGATGATAGACTGAGCTCTATCTAAACAGGTTGGCAACACACCAGAGCATGGCAGTATGGTATGATCTGACTCTATGGGACTCTGTGCCCACATCTCTGCTTTGTCCCCCTCTAATAAACAATTTGTGTTCCTGAGTGTTATTTGTTTTTTTACTTACCACTCTCCACAATTCCATTTTCTCTTTTTCTCATGATTTTTTTTGAGGTAATCTAATTGCTTGAATTAAAGGTTTATGAATCTTAAAATATTATCTAGGAAAAACCCTAATGGCAAAACCTAGCTTGTGATAAACATTATAAAAAATATTTACTTTTACCTCTTTCCACTTCAGTGTCAGGACATCCTCAGTTAAGCATTAAAAATATTAATCAAGATTATTTGAAAGGCACATCTGAAGAATGGGTTAAGTTTAATAGGGAAACGGCATCTCAACCCATTCCTAGTTATGTGTGGAAGCCTGCCCTTGCTCCTTATGACCTCCAGGTGGTGCTGTTTACCCAGACACGGAAAGCAGGAGCCCAGCCCCATTTCTTTCACTTAGGTTTGCAGTTGGGCTTTCATATTTTCAAAATATTTTCTGTTTCTACAGATGTATACTTCTAAATGGCCAATAAAATTTTATAACCACTATTTGAAAAATTGCAAGGTTATTGTGATTTGTGCTTCCTAGCCAAGAATATATCTTTATGTCTGTACATACCCGAAGTCAAGTATTTATGTTTGTTCATTGGTCCCACTTTCTACGCTTCCTTCCTTTGTAGCACACAGGCTCAGACACAGACATTTGGGCTGTGGACAGAACTCGTCCAAGGACCTGTAAATACTTATGTAATTTTGAAATATATTTCTAGTTCAGCTATGGCAACTAAACTCCACAGGCTTCTGGGTGAAGAACAACATCTTTACAGGAATGCCAATCCCTGTAAAGGATTTGGCAATCCCCCAAAGCCAACGAGTGTTCCTAGCAGACCTGACCTGATTTTTTGGCAGGGGGATGCTTGTCAGACACCAGAAATGTTTTGATGTTTTGAGGTCACCCATACAGTGACACCCCACAATCCAATCCAAATTCCTCAGAAAAGTGATTCTAGAGAAAAACTGAGAGGGAAGCATTGACAGTTTCTTTCCCATTTTGGTAAGAGTTCAGGTCCAGGAATAGTGGAAATTCCATTACAGCAAAGATGAAACTAGGATAGGAGTGCGGTGGGATCGATTTGATCATGGATAAAATTTGGAACTTTTAATATTGGCTTTTTACAGAATAACCAACTAACATGCCTTTCTTGCCCCTTTTTTTCCCCTTTTCTTTCCTTTCACAAGGGGTTTGTAAACAAACTGGATGAATTCATTCAATGGTTAAATGAAGCCATGGAAACTACAGAAAATTGGACTCCCCCTAAAGCAGAGATGGATGACCTTAAACTGTATCTGGAGACACACTTGGTAGGCAAGATTGTGTTGTTCTTGCTGTCAATAATCAAAGGATTTTAATGTACTGCTTGTTTGTTTATGAGAAATATCAATTTTATTTATCAAAGGTTACTATATGTCAATGAAACCAAATTTTAATGGGTCACAGAAGATGAAAATTTACAGGCATTTCAAGTAATACTATGAAACCTAAATCATCTCTGTTTCAAGCTACCTTTTCAAAGCTTTTCCTGGAAGGATAAGTAATTATTTAAAAATACCTTAGAAAATTTTATTAGACCCTTGTTCTCTAAAGCAGCAACTGAAGGTTTTCCCTTTCTTAAAAACAAATAAATGAAAGAGATGATTTTGATGACCATTCTAAGCTTTCTAGAATTCTTGTAAAATTAATGAACCTCTCATTATCAAGAGGGTCTACATTATCTGTTCTACACTGGGTTATTTTAATAAAATATTTAAAATGATGATCTCCATCATTTTTGCTGCTATGTGGGTTTTTCAGCATATAATTAATACAACTGTCATTACACTCATCCCTGTGCATAGAGAAAACCATGGAGGGGAAGTGGAAAACACTCAGATGAATTTGCTTCTGAATGTTAAAAGCAAGAATTATAGACTGGGGGACATTCGATGAACCTCGTGGGGTTTTTACTGAATGCTTCAAATGGCCGATATCAATTATGAAGGGGTGGAAACTAAGTAGTGGAGTGTGATAAAGCATGAAGAAAAAGCACGTGTCATAGGAAATGAAAATTCAAGCTGTAAGGATCTCATCTTTATTCCTTTCACTGATAGCATAAAATTGACAAAGGCAATGAACATGAATCCTTGGGTACTCAACTGTGGGGTTGATTTTCTGCCCCTCTTACACACTCAGAATTTGGATTGAATAAACATTATGTGGGAGTCCTACCTGTATGCGAGTTCACAGGGTTCCAGAACTGTTGTTCTCTATGATGTTAAGTGAGAGAGAGAAGGGAGAGATGGAGAGGGAGAAAAGAGGGGAAAGAGATAATGTTTCAGGTTTTGGTGTTTGTTTTTTGCAGCATGTTTATATAACAGAAAAACAGCTTTAAAATCCTGTTGCTGCATGCAAATAGCCTTGCAGATGATAAAGAATGACAAAACTGTGTGGTAGAGGATGAGTGTATTGCTTCCCTTTTTAGAGACCTGAGTCGATGGTGTGTAAAAATGCAAGTGACCCTAACCACCTCTCTTGTACATGGGTTTTTATATACTGTCCTTAGTACTCATTTCCCTGTTGAGTAGAGTTTCAACTTTTTTTTAAAGAGGGCATTTCATAATAGCAAGATAAAGATATTCAGTGCTTTATGATGTAAATTGTATTAATTAGAATGTCAACTTTTCACTGGCATTGTTCTGACAGAAATTCTAATCTGTGTTTAAACAGGAGTATATGAACTTTATTTCACATTAAGTGTGCTGTCTTACTTTCTCTTGACTTAATATTTTATGGAAAACACACATTTAGTTTTTGAGGTCCCAGAGGGCACAAGGGCATGAAGAGCACTTTAACTCTGGACTATTTATTGAAAGCCGGGCTAGGAGAGTATGGACCCAAGGTCCCTTTTTCCCCTTTGGAGGTTGAATGATATGGCCTCTTTGTAACCAATGAGCACTCTCTTTTTCAAATACAGTATTACAGGGTTTCTTACTTGGCATCCTTATGTTAGCCTCTACTTCCTTCTAGCCCAATGCAGTTCACTGGAGCTTTTGGTGACGATGGAATATTCTATATTGCCCTCTCCTATGTGGGGGCCACTAACTGCATGTGTCTATTGTGCATTTGAAATGTGGCTAATGCAACTGAAGAAATGAGTTTTTAATTTTACTTGACATATTTAAATTTAAATTGCCACATGTGGCTAGTGACTTCTGTATTCTGTCTAGCCTTACAAATTGCCAGCTTTTTATAGGTGACCGTAACGAACGGCAATATCTGTACCTGCCTCGTAATGACATTTTCATCCCAAAATGTGGAAGTTATTCTCCAGTTTGCTGTGGGCCACCAGTATAAAGATCCACAGCAAAGAGTCCTTCTTAAGATATTTATTTCTTAAAGAATAGTCTTGTTTCTGCCTAATGATCAACATTTTCTTAGATGAGTTTTCTCTACTATCCCATGTCTGATTATATTGATTGGAATAGAGATATCATAGAACATCTTCTTTATTTCTACTTTGCAAATAGTGAGGGACTTTGATCTACAGACCTGTTGACTGGATGTTAAATTACAGTCTCAAATTTGACTTCCAAAATAATGAATAATAATGTCTAACAGTTACTGAAGACCTAGTGTGTGTGTATTGCCACTGAATGATATTCTTAAAGCGCAATCAAGAGCTACTGTTACACTGGATGCTGTGTCTGTTACTTTAGATACAGCCTGTGGCTCAAACATCTTTCAATCAAATTCTTAGTTTTCCTGTTTCCATATGAGTCTATATTGTCCTCCTGATCAATATTGTCATTTTTATTGTATTTCTTTACTGTCATGCTGAATTAATGATAAGTTATTCTTCTCAACCTTCCCATAAAAGAAAATGTATGAATAAGCCTAGAGATTTGTATTCTTTAGTTAACCGTGCATAAGTCATTATTGTTTTTTAATGAGGGGGCAAGTGGTATTTGCAAGATTATCCAGTAGTAGAGGTAGCTACACAAGTTTCTTTAAACATCTCTCTAGACTCTATATTTGACATTAAATCAACAGATATGCAAGCCTCTAGGGTCTGAGTCTTCCCTGGTTTATTAATGTGTTAGACTAGCTGGCAACCTCCAATATTTATTATAAAGAAAAATATAAAAATCATACTCAAAGTTGTATGTTCATACTTTGATACTTAATTCAGTTATTTTCCATGATGGTACCAAGGGTTTTCACCAACACAAATCAATTAAAGCTTTATAATACCTTTATAAGAGATATGGAGGAGCTTTATTTTAACTGTAAGAAACACTGTGAAATTGCAATGATACATCAATGATTTTCCATGATAATTAATCATCTGCTTGCAACCTGGCTGCTCCTTTCAAAAATACAATTCCTACCTGCCTAGAAAATGACATTTTCAGGAAAATATCATTCTGGAAAGGTATTTTGCAAGTGTTGAACATTCCCTCTTCTTTGAAAACCACTTTAAGATAGAATTGTATAGGTATGTTCTTGGACAGACTTCTATCTCTCTCCCTTCTCTCACCTCTGTCTTCCTCCTACACTTAAAAAAACAGCTTTATTGAGGTATATTTAACACATAATAAATTGCACATTTTTTTCCCTTTAGTCACACTCTTCATTTTATTTTATTATTATTATACTTTAAGTTTTAGGGTACATGTGCACAACGTGCAGGTTAGTTACCTATGTATACATGTGCCATGCTGGCATGCTGCACCCATTAACTTGTCATTTAGCATTAGGTATATCTCCTAATGCTATCCCTCCCCACTCCCCCCACCCCACAACAGTCCCCAGTGTGTGATGTTCCCCTTCCTGTGTCCATGTGTTCTCATTGTTCAATTCCCACCTATGAGTGACAACATGCGGTGTTCGTTTTTTGTCCTTGCGATAGTTTACTGAGAATGATGATTTCCAATTTCATCCATGTCCCTGCAAAGAACATGAACTCATCATTTTTTATGGCTGCATAGTATTCCATGGTGTATATGTGCCACATTTTCTTAATCCAGTCTATCATTGTTGGACATTTGGGTTGGTTCCAAGTCTTTGCTATTGTGAATAGTGCCGCAATAAACATACGTGTGCATGTGTCTTTATAGCAGCATGATTTAAAGTCCTTTGGGTATATACCCAGTAATGGGATGGCTGGGTCAAGTGGTATTTCTAGTTCTAGATCCCTGAGGAATTGCCACACTGACTTCCACAATGGTTGAGCTAGTTTACAGTCCCACCAACAGTGTAAAAGTGTTCCTGTTTCTCCACATCCTCTCCAGCACCTGTTGTTTCCTGACTTTTCTGTCTTCATTTCGTTATGTACCCAGTAGTTATTCAGGAGCAGGTTGTTCAGTTTCCATGTAGTTGAGCGGTTTTGAGTGAGTTTCTTAATCCTGAGTTCTAGTTTGATTGCACTATGGTCTGAGAGACAGTTTGTTATAATTTCTGTTCTTTTACATTTGCTGAGGAGAGCTTTACTTCCAACTATGTGGTCAGTTTTGGAGTAGGTATGGTGTGGTGCTGAAAAAAATGTATATTCTGTTGATTTGGGGTGGAGAGTTCTGTAGATGTCTATTAGGTCCGCTTGGTGCAGAGCTGAGTTCAATTCCTGGGTATCCTTGTTAACTTTCTGTCTCGTTGATCTGTCTAATGTTGACAGTGGGTTGTTAAAGTCTCCCATTATTATTGTGTGGGAATCTAAGTCTCTTTGTAGGTCACTCAGGACTTGCTTTATGAATCTGGGTGCTCCTGTATTGGGTGCATATATATTTAGGACAGTTAGCTCTTCTTGTTGAACTGGTCCCTTTACCATTATGTAATGGCCTTCTTTGTCTCTTTTGATCTTTGTTGGTTTAAAGTCTGTTTTATCAGAGACTAGGATTGCAATCCCTGCCTTTTTTTGTTTTCCATTTGCTTGGTAGATCTTCCTCCATCCTTTTATTTTGAGCCTATGTGTGTCTCTGCACATGAGATGGGTTTCCTGAATACAGCACACGGATGGGTCTTGACACTTTATCCAATTTGCCAGTCTGTGTCTTTTAATTGGAGCATTTAGTCCATTTACATTTAAAGTTAATATTGTTATGTGTGAATTTGATCCTGTCATTATGATGTTAGCTGGTTATTTTGCTCGTTAGTTGATGCAGTTTCTTCCTAGCCTCGATGGTCTTTACAATTTGGCATGATTTTGCAGTGGCTGGTACCGGTTGTTCCTTTCCATGTTTAGTGCTTCCTTCAGGAGCTCTTTTAGGGCAGGCCTGGTGGTGACAAAATCTCTCAGCATTTGCTTGTCTGTAAAGTATTTTATTTTTCCTTCACTTATGAAGCTTAGTTTGGATGGATATGAAATTCTGAGTTGAAAACTCTTTTCTTTAAGAATGTTGAATATTGGCCCCCACTCTCTTCTGGCTTGTAGAGTTTCTGCCGAGAGATCCGCTGTTAGTCTGATGGGCTTCCCTTTGTGGGTAACCCGACCTTTCTCTCTGGCTGCCCTTAACATTTTTTCCTTCATTTCAACTTTGGTGAATCTGACAATTATGTGTCTTGGAGTTGCTCTTCTCGAGGAGTATGTTTGTGGCGTTCTCTGTATTTCCTGAATGTTGGCCTGCCTTGCTAGACTGGGGAAGTTCTCCAGGATAATATCCTGCAGAGTGTTTTCCAACTTGGTTCCATTCTCCCTGTCACTTTCAGGTACACCAATCAGACGTAGATTTGGTCTTTTCACATAGTCCCATATTTCTTGGGGGCTTTGTTCATTTCTTTTTATTCTTTTTTCTCTAAACTTCCCTTCTCGCTTCATTTCATTCATTTCATCTTCCATCACTGATACCCTTTCTTCCAGTTGATCGCATCAGCTCCTGAGGCTTCTGCATTCTTCACGTAGTTCTCGAGCCTTGGCTTTCAGCTCCATCAGCTCCTTTAAGCACTTCTCTGTATTGGTTATTCTAGTTATACATTCGTCTAAATTTTTTTCAAAGTTTTTAACTTCTTTGCCTTTGGTTTGAATTTCCTCCTGTAGCTCGGAGTAGTTTGATCATCTGAAGCCTTCTTCTCTCAACTTGTGAAAGTCATTCTCCTACCAGCTTTATTCTGTTGCTGGTGAGGAACTGCGTTCCTTTGGAGGAGGAGAGGCGCTCTGCTTTTTAGAGTTTCCAGTTTTTCTGCTCTGTTTTTTCCCCATCTTTGTGGTTTTATCTACTTTTGGTCTTTGATGATGGTGATGTACAGATGGGTTTTTGGTGTAGGTGTCCTTTCTGTTTGTTAGTTTTCCTTCTAATAGACAGGACCCTCAGCTGCAGGTCTGTTGGAGTTTGCTAGAGGTCCACTCCAGACCCTGTTTGCCTGGGTATCAGCAGCGGTGGCTGCAGAACAGCGGATTTTCGTGAACCGCGAATGCTGCTGTGTGATCGTTCCTCCGGAAGTTTTGTCTCAGAGGAGTACCCGGCCGTGTGAGGTGTCAGTCTGCCCCTACTGGGGGGTGCCTCCCAGTTAGGCTGCTCGGGGGTCAGGGGTCAGGGACCCATTTGAGGAGGCAGTCTTCCCGTTCTCAGATCTCCACCACTGCTCTCTTCAAAGGTGTCAGACAGGGACATTTAAGTCTGCAGAGGTTACTGCTGTCTTTTTGTTTGTCTGTGCCCTGCCCCCAGAGGTGGAGCCTACAGAGGCAGGCAGGCCTTCTTGAGCTGTGATGGGCTCCACCCAGTTCGAGCTTCCTGGCTGCTTTGTTTACCTAAGCAAGCCTGGGCAATGGCGGGTGCCCCTCCCCCAGCCTCGCTGCTGCCTTGCAGTTTGATCTCAGACTGCTGTGCTAGAAATCAGCGAGACTCCGTGGGCGTAGGACCCTCTGAGCCAGGTGCGGGATATAATCTCCCGGTGCGCCGTTTTTTAAGCCCGTCAGAAAAAGCGCATTATTAGGGTGGGAGTGACCTGATTTTCCAGGTGCCATCTGTCACTCCTTTCTTTGACTAGGAAAGGGAACTCCCTGACCCCTCACGATTCCCGAGGGAGGCAATGCCTCGCCCTGCTTTGGCTCGCGCACGGTGCGCTGCACCCACTGTCCTGCGCCCACTGTCTGGCACTCCCTAGTGAGATGAACCCGGTGCCTCAGATGGAAATGCAGAAATCACCCATCTTCTGCATCACTCACGCTGGGAGCTGTAGACCGGAGCTGTTCCTATTTGGCCATCTTGGCTGCTACCCAAATTGCACATTTTAAAGTACAGTGGTCCCTCTTATTCGAGGCGGATGTGTTCCAAGCCCCACAATGGGTGCCTAAAACCTCAGATAGCACCACACCTCATGTATACCATGTCTTTGATCTGATAACCTGGATGATTACTAAGTGACTAATGAGCAGGTAGCATATACAGCATAGAGATGCTGGGCAGAGGGATGATTCACGCCCCAGGTGGGACACAGCAGGATGGTTCAAGACTTCACCACACAACTCAGAATGGCGTGCAATTTAAAACTTATGAATTTTTTATGTCTGGAGCTTTGCATTTATATTTTCAGACCATGGTTAACCACAGGTAACTGAAACTGAAGATGCAAAACCATGCATAAAGGGGACTACTGTATACAATTTTATGAGTTTTGACAATCTGACAAATATATACACCCATGAAACAATCACTGCAATTAAGATAGTGAACATACTTATCACCCAAAAGGTTCTTCATGACACGTTGTAATTCTTCCCTCCTACCCCTCCCTGGCCTCTACTCCATCCCTAAGCAATCCTTGATCTGCTTTATGACACTATTAGGTTAGTTTGCATTTCCTAGGATTTTATATAAATTTAATAAAACAATATGTATTTTTTTCGGTCTGTCTTCTTACATTCAGTGTACTTATTTTGGGATATGTTATGTTGTTTCATGTATCAATTATTAATTCTCTTGTATTGCTGAGAAGTAGTCTATTGTATGGATATACCACAATTTGTTCTATCCATTCACCTGTTGATGGACATTTAAGCCATTTTCCCCAACACCTTTTTTATTGCCTTAAGAAACAGAGTTACTAAAAGCTATATTTGAGTAGAAGCATAATAAATAGAAGCATAGTGAATAACTGTCATAAATAGTTCTTGGGTAACTAGTTTTTTTTTTTCCCCTTTAAGAGATTTTATAGTATCCTTAGAATTAAGAGTAAAGCAGCAGAGCAGGTCAGCAGTTTCCCCCTCTAGAGATTTTATTTCATATCCATTTGCTCCTGAAATGGTAACTCTGATTTCCCAAGTTGTTATGCATACCTAATTCATCAAATGTAATCATTCACAAGGAGACAAACCAGCGCTTCTTTTATCTGCAGCCAATCAGTATATTCAGTAAGAATAAGTGAAGTCAAACCAATACCAGACAGCTGTGCAAGATGTAGGAAAAACAATCAACCACAAGAGCCTGGCTTAAACTTAGGAAGTATAGTTGCATAGATAGCACCGTGTTATTCTGGACACACGTTAACCAACCACATAGAAATAGCCTTGGAGAAACAAGGTTCTTAATTCAATTTGATAAATGAGGACTGTGGGGGAAAATGGTGACTATGAACTATATATATGTGTGTGTGTGTGTGTGTGTGTATGTACAACACAACTGTAAGTGTGAGTGGTTATTTAGGTGCTAGGAATACATGATGAATGAGCTTGGTTTCTTTCTTTAAGGGATTTTCAGTCTAAGAGAGGTAACGATAGATTATATGTAGTCATCTATAGACCCATAAATGACTAACAATTTTAATCAGTAAACTTCTTGTAGGATAAGCAAAGTATTCTTAGGAGTGCAGAGAAAAATTTTATTGGTTCTTTCTGGGAGTAGGGAACCTTCAAAGAGGTAATTTGATATAGACCTCAAAGGCCATATGTAATTTTGTTAGGGAAGGGAGGATGGGAGATGGGAGGAAAATTTATAAGCTTGGTGAGAGAGGTATGGTGAGCCATGTGGTGTAGCTGAGACTAGATTGGAGTCTCACAGGTTGGGGCTGGGTGGTAAAGGAGTTTGAATGTCTTTTTAATGGATTAAACTTTCCTCTGGGGGCAATGGGGACTCATTGAAGGTCCGGGTTTGTTTTAAAACAGGAGAACGACATGAAATCAACCATATATTTGATGGGGGTAGGGTCAGCCTTCATAGATTAACTGGATGAGGTTCGTGGCTTAGGTGAGAGAATAACTCTGTGCATGAAAGAAAATGGATTTGGGTATAGTATTTGAAGGATATGCTGGTACAGGCAAGCTTTTATCAGTTTTATGAATTGTGTTTAAATTAAAAAATTAAAGAAAGGGAGTAAAAGGTTAAAGTCAACAGTAAGTCCCCTTTTTACTCATGTTCCCATTGATTCTCCTCCCTCGAGGCAACCAATGTTCCTTGTTTCATTATATCATTTCTGATTTATTTCAGGTATTTAGAAACAGGCTGGCCATGGTGGCTAATGCCTGTAATCCTAGCAGTTCGGGAGGTGGAGGCAGGGAGATCACTTGAGTCCAGGAGTTTGAGACCAACCTGGCCAATATGGTGAAACCTCGTCTCTACAAAAACACAAAAATTAGCTGGGTGTGGTGGCGCGTGTCTGTAGTCCCAGCTGCTCAGGAGGCTGAGGCATGAGAATTTCTTGAACCCGGAAGGCAGAGGTTGCAGAGGTTGAGCTGAGATTGCGTCACTGCACTCCAGCCTGGGCGACTGAGGGAGACTGTCTCAAAAAACACAAAGAAATATATCTATGTACTTAACTTTGTTCCTGTAGTTTCTATTAGTAATAATTCGAAGTCAATAAATATAGAATGACTTCATCCTTTTGGATGGCTGCATAGTATTCTACTTACAAATATGCCATAATTTACATAACCAGTTCTTTGTGATGGAAATTTAGGTTGTTTACAGTCTTTTTCTATTACAAATGATGCTTTAGTGAATATCCTTGGAAATTCATCATGTTGGGTACTATAAGTATATCCTTAGAACAAATACCTTTCATATGAAATTTCTAGGTCAAGCTTAAGCATATTTAAATTTGTAACGTATTACCAAACTGTCCTTGATAGAGATTTTACCAGTTTATACTCAACAATGCATGAGAGTGCCTATTTCTGCATATTCTTGCTATCAGAGTATGTTATTACATTTGTTGAACTTTGTCCCTCTGATAGTTACAGATGGCATCTTACTGTAGTTTAGTTTGTATTTCTTGTCTTCTAAGTGGCATTGAATATCTCTCCATGTTTTTAGAGTCATCTGTATTTCCTTTTTGAGAACTATTTTTAAAATTCTTAGCCTGTTTTTCTGTTGGTCATTGTTTTTTTTGCTTCAGGATTTATAGGGGCTTTCTATATATTAAGGAAATTAGTCTCTTCTCTGTGAATAGGAAATTTTTAAAAAGTATTCTGGGGTTCTGTTCTAAAAGCATACGGATATCTCAACAGTTTGAGGAATCAAAGGTTAGGCAGACATGGAGGGCCAGGCTAATAAGCATGTAACGGGTTTCTACTAGGGGGCAAAAGCACGTTTGGATTCCAGTTCTGGAAAGACCAGTGTGTTCTAGGGAGTTTGCTTACTTAGACTAGGAAGGAACAAGCTTAAGATCAGGGTAGTTATAATCAAATGAGTGGGTTAAAGAATGTTGGAGTAATGAGAGAAATGGTGAATCAGGGCTAGGTGGGGGTAGTTAAGAATAGAGAAGAGGGAATAGATTCAAGAAAGAGGAACAGATTAGAGAGACATGCCAGCCGTTCTCTTTTTGAGGCTCACTCTTTTCTAGTCAGAAATCTCATGACCAACATGTTTTGTCTGTCCTAGTTTCCCCTAAGGCTATAGCACAGGACAGCCCACTGCTCTACAGCTGGGCAAGATTTGAGTGTAGTAAAGGATGCAGAAATTGCTGAGAGCTTCTCTATCTGTATATGGAGCAGGACCAAGACCCTAGGACCATTCCAGGGGTGTGTGAAACCAGGTAACGTGATATTATAAGTAGTATTTACATGGAAAAGAAGGGGCAAATGTCGTACAAGTACAGTGAGTATCAGGGGTACATGGTAAAGGTGGAGCAAGCTGTCTTTTATACAACTTCTATAATTATGGAACTTTGCTTAAAGAAAAACATTAAATTATACTTACTGGAAAAAAATCAAATTGTGTTAAACAGCATAAAATTAAAAGTAAAAAGTCTTACCCTCCCTTGGGTAACCAATGTAAATAGTTCTATACATTTTTGAACCTTTTTATGGAAAAATGCATACACTTTAAGGATTATTTAGTTCATATTATACATGCTGTTCAACAACTGGCTTTTTCTATCTAAATATGTCACAGATATTCTTCTATCAGTATATGAAGATCTATTGCACATTTTAGCAGCTCCTTAATATTTTATTGTGTGGATATGCCACAGTTTATTTAATCATTTCCATGATGATGGGCATTCAAACTGCCTTCTTATTTATGCTTTTGCAAATAATACTCAATGAACTTTATTGTAACACCAATTGAGAGTTTCCTCCTTGTCCCATTTGTGTCTGCCTAGAGCAGCAATTCAGAGACTCTCTGTAATCAATCTGTCCACTTCAGGGACAGCTTTTTCTCTAAGTCCTGAAAAATGAGTGGCGTTTGTGTGTGTATGAGTTTTGAGGCCATGTTTATAGTAGTAGACTTTTAAAACACACCTTCCTGAACTTTGTTGTTCCTTTTAAGATTGATGCCTGCAATTTTAGGTGACTGCCACATGGTGGCACAGAAGCACCAAATTCCTACAGACAGTGCTTACAGTCTTGGTATCCGTGAAGGGTTTGAAAATGTTTCCTTATTGTGTCATTATACTAAATACTTATAAAAACAGATTCAATTTAATTATGAAGTGTCTAAAAAAATTCTCAAAGATATATGCATGCATTTATCATCTGTATTTCTTTAGATCTTCATGTTATATCATATTTCTGATTAAACAGCTTTCGTTTGTCTCATAAGAAAAACCAATATACTTCTTACAGAGTTTTTAGCCATACAGGAAAATTTCCCCAAATACTTTCAGCTGTTTTTCTCTTGCTTGCCTTCCTGTCTCTACCTCTGCTCCGTTTTTCATTGCTTGAAGTTAAGAGATGACAGGGTTTTCTTTTTCCCACTTCCTGGTGCCCATCTCTCCCAGCATCTCCATAGGCAGCCAAGGCCCCAGCAAGTTAAGCTTCACAAGACCAGCAGCTGTCATTTGGCTGTGCTGCTCAGCTAATGGGAGCAGTGGATCAAACTTCAAAAGCATGAGCTATGAGAGTTTCACTGGACTGCCCCCACCTCCCTCAGCCTTGATGAGCAGGCTGGTGGCCTTACACGGGCTTTGAAGTCCCATTTGCTTGTCCCCCTTGATTCCCACCAGTTTAAGGGTAGTCGCAGAGAGTTTAGTGGGAAGTGGCAACATTACTTCTCTTTGGTGGACTTGGAATACCACTCAAATCCTGGCCTTGAGTTTCTTCCTTTGGTGGCACAGGGATGGAAGGGTCTTTCAGAAATTTATAGCATACAGGCATTTTGAGGTTGGTATGTGGGAATGGTAGCGTAGGAGGCTCAGTTTGGACATATGAAAGTCTTGGACTACATTCCTTTACTCATGTAACTCTAATTTTGTGCATCTAGAAGACAAATAGTGTTAGCTTCCCTTTTCAGTTAAATAGGATTCCTGCACTGTTTAAAGCACCTGGGAATGTACTTTTTGCCTGTCTCAGTTTAAGGACTCTTGGGCCATAATACCCAGTAGTTATTGTTTTGAAAATTGTTAGTGCCCAGATATTTTACTAATTTATTACTTTATTTTTCTCTTTAGGAAATAATGATTGTTTTTAATTAGAATGCCGGGGAAACACTGCATTTATTAAGCACTTCCTATTTAGGGCAGTATTATACAAAGCATTGAAGAAAAAGTTTACAGACAAGCCTCACACTATGAGGCTCCATGCACAGGCTGAAGGACACTGTGCATGGATGAGAGACTCACATGAGCTGGGGTGTGGTCACCTACAATCTCTCTCCATGTGTAGATTCATGAGCTTACCCTACTTCTCTATTGCATTATGTGGAATTTTGGAATCTTGAAATAATTCACCTGATATAAATAATATTAAGTTAAAATTCTAGATCTTTACATTAGCCAGAAAAATGCCTATTCTATATCTATAGGGTTGTTGTGAAGGTGAAATAAACATGTTTTATGTGAGGATGAGCATGCTTTTATCATTTGGGGGAATCTTCCTTAGAGACCCAAGAACATTTGGTGTGAGAAGCTTGGGTGTTCTTAGACAAGTTGAGATTCTCCCTGCCCACCCTCCCCTCAGCTGTTCTCTTGATGCTGTCACCTACTTGAGGGATGGCTTTTGTCTCTTTGGTGTCTCCCCCAACTCCTAGCCTTGCACATGCATGATAGGTATTAAAAATATCTGCTAAGGCCGGGCACAGTGGCTCACAGTGGTTGCAGTGAGCCAAGATTGCACAACTGCACACCAGCCTGAGTGGCTGGGCAAGACTCTGTCTCAGAAACAAAACAAAACAAAACAAAACTAAACAAACAAACAAAATCTGCTAAATGAATGAATGAACATTTATAAAAGCAGTGTTAGAATCACTGTGGGCAACAGATTCTAACAAATGTTATAAATCATCAAACGATAACTGAGCATGTCTACAAGTTATTTCCTCTACCATTTACAAATCAAAATGGACTTGTCACAGGGCTTTCTAGGTATTGTTTGGTATATCTGTGACAAGAAAAACATCTCTAGAGGGAAAAATAGGAATATTTTCTTCTGTTTTCAGGATGCAATTTATCGCCTTTGACAAAAAACACCAGGAATGTCTTCTCAGATAAAATGTTAACTCCGATATTTGAATGTTTTTTAATTTCAGAGGTAAATGTTACTGTTTTAAAATATGAAGACGGTATGACTAGACAGGATGTTAATAACTTGACATTACAAAATTTATTAAATTTATTTTTAAAGTGGTTTGGTTCCCCCTCTCAAATGCATGAAACATGTGGGAGTTGGAATAGATCTGCCCCAGGCTGCCAAACAAATTTTTAATGGAACTGGAGTCCTTCAGGGATTGTCCTAAATCCACATAATATTCTTAAGTCCTGGTGTTTGCACTGGGACCTGTATATTAGCAGCTGTACGTGTGAATAATATACTTATATCAATCTATCACTCTTGTGAATCCACATCTGTAGGGGCTGCTGCACATCAATTATTCCACCTCAGGGGGTAGAGAAATATTTGGGCCAGCACTGACCTCCTTTTCAATCAGGGCCTCTGGAAGTCAAATGGTCCCTTTAGACAGAACCTCTGTTTGGGAATCCATTTGGCCTAATGTGGCCATGCTGGGAAGTGAATGTGATTACCTGTGTCAGGTGTGGAGATGGCATCCAGAGAAGCAAATGAAAATTCTGTCACTTGGAGCCACCGTCAACATTCAGGATCTCTCCCTTCTATCTAATTCTTGCATAACATATTAGCCAGTCTATCAGAAAAGAATGTCAGCTTCAGTAAGATGCATCTACTTTGCACCAAAAAAAAAAAAAAAAGCAACTGTTTGTTTGAAATAAATTGTAACTTGTGTAACTTGTTTGAAGAGCTAAATTCACTTTCAAATTCTTGGAAATGTTTTTATTGTCTGAGGTTTCAGGAAGAAAGTCTCCTCAGGAAGAAGGAGGATTTTTTTGTCTTCATATCTCAGTGTCTTCTCTTTTTTTTTTTTTTTTCAAAAGGAAAACAAAGGTTTTATAATGCTTATCTTTTTGATCAAAAACTTGGAACATCTTTCTCAAGAGTACAGAGTTCTTTTATTTTTTAAAGCTTCTGCTTTTATACCTAGAGGTGTGTTACAGATTGTCATAACTGATAAATCAATGACAAATGTAGCCACTTCATTTTGTTGGGGAAATAGACAATTGTGGTAGCGGCTGACCATTTATTTAATTATGTGGTAAGTACCACATGATGAGAGGGCAAAGTTAATTGATGATTTGGGCTATCTCAGCCAGGGTACAGTTTACATGGCAATTACGCTGGGATCATCTAACTGTAATTGGCAAGTAATTTTGTAAGTGAAGGAACATGACAGCTCATTTACATGGTGTTCACTGAGTAAAATTTGGGGACATTTATCAACTACTTCCAAGTGAAGAGTGATTGTATCAGTGTCTCCCAAAATGCCACAAGCTGTTTAAAAGTTACATGGGAGGTTTTTTGTACAAATCTCCATGCATTCATTTCCCTGAACATTTGCTAGTTATGTGCTGTGTGCCAGGCACTGTCCTAGACACTGAGGATACAAAAATGAGTAAAATAAAGAGTTCTACTCTCAAGGAACTCATCTATGCGAAGCAGACACATCAATAATTTTAACACAACGTAGTATGTGAAGGTTTGAGCTCTGTACAAGTACTATGGGTGCCAAGGGTGGGGAAACCAGTTAGGTGGAAGATGGTTAGGGAGAGCTTGCTAGAGAAGGTCACACCTGAGATTAATCTTAAAGGATGCCCAGGGCTTTTCAAGGGGAAGAGCTTGCCAGGCAGAAGTGCCAGCCAGAGTAGAATCGGAGCAAGACAGCTGGTGTGAGCTGGAAACTTTAAGCAATCCAGGTACATTTCAAGGCAGATATGTAGCCTGTGAAGTTGCATTAGCTGGCATCTCAGAGGGCCCTGTAGGTCATGCTCAGGGCCTGGGTCTTATTCTCTACCCTGGCAAGCCATTGGAGAGTCTTAATGTCAGAGCTGTTTTGTAGGAAGGTCATTTTGTATAATAAAGCCACTTGCATTATTGCAGTATGCCAGGCTCCATTCTGCATGTATCAAGGCATTTCATCCTCACAATAAACCCCATGAAGTAGGTATTAACATTTCCCGTCATCTATAGATGAAGAAACTGAGTACACAGAGGTTGGCCAAAGCTACACAGTGAGTGATGGAGGAGCCAGGATTTGAACACAGGCTGTCCTGCTCCAGAGCCCTTGCTTGTCAACAGCCCCATTCTACAGCATGTCATAACTCTCTTGACACAGCTGACTGCAATTCCTTGTTTACACAGTGTCCCCTACCCCCACCCCAACACACACACACACACACACACACACACACACACACACACACACACACACAGCTGTGAGCTCTGTGAGGGCAGGGACCATGTCTATCTTGTTTATAGCCATATCCTTCAAGCTTAAGACACTACCTGCACCTTCATAGACATGCAACAAATAAGAAATAAGTCTAGTTTTGAGGAGGGTTGTGATTCGAGTTGACCTGGCAAGGGATGATGATGAAAGCCTGAATCTAAGGCAGTGTCAGTCAATAAGGAGAGATGAAGAAGGGGAAATAAATGGTCAGGGTTTGTTGATTGATTGGATGTGTGGGTCTTGTTGGAATATTCTCACAGTGCTTCTGATTTCCAACCCATGCACTGGAGGGATGACTTGGCAAAAGAATGTGAAGCAGTGGGAAGCTTACACTGCTCTTCACAGAGCTCTTAAATTCCTTACAAGAAATGTTGCAGACTCAGGATGAGACATTAGAAGAGACTTCCCTTGAGGTGGTTAAAAATAGAAGGGACACATCTGCCTGGGATGGTTGAGAGACAGAGCTGCCCTTGGGTAGATGAGTGGTTAGATAGCCTTTGGGATTCTTCCCCTTTTGAAAATGCTCTGATTTAAAATAAATCAAAATTCTCCCAAGCTGCCTATGCTTAACTGCCTGGCTTAGAGAAGATAAAACCAAAGTGTTCAAGGGCTGGAAAATATTGAGTCCAAATGCCTGGATGATAAATAAGGAAATAGAAGCCACGGTGGGTTAAATGACTCATCCCAGGGCACACACTTGAGGCAAAAGGAATACCCAATCATTGGATTATCAGTCTGGGCTTGCTCTTCCCCATGTCTCATACAGCAGCATTTATGTTTTGGGGGGTCCTCTGTGGGAAGGCCTGTGCTGGGTAGAAGCACACAGCAAAGGAAACCTGGTATCTGCCCTTGAGGAATTCAGAGAACCTCAACAATAAAGAACCCTTATCACCTGAAAATGTCACAAAGTACCATCTATTACGTAGACTATTTGGAAAATAGAGAAAATGAATTTTAAAATTCGTAATGATTTTTTTAGCCTCACTCATTGCCTGGCACTGCTTTAACGCTTTATATTTATTATCTCCAATTCTCCGTGTTTTAATGCTTTACATTCATTATCTCTAATTCTTACAGCTGCCTGCAAGTTAGATAGTATGATTTCCATTTTATATTTCAGAAAACTAAAGCACCCAGAACTTGTTCCATAAGATCAGACCATGGTAACTCCAAGTTCAACCCTGTACAAATTATATTAACATTTTGTTGTATTTTTTGCAGTCTTTTTCTAAGTACTAAGACTATTTACTTACATATATGTAATTTTATCATAGATACAATTTGGAATCTTCATTTTTTGTGGCATGTTCTATGTATTTTCCATATGATTGTTTAGTCTTCATTTTGATGGCTATCTAATGTCTGATCAAGTTTTCAGGAGGTTCTTAAATGCTTACTCATAGAAATCTTCCGATTCTTGGTATATATGGCATTTTAAAGATATATTTTGAGGACTGGTACCTCTGCCCATCCTCTTTGGATGGCATTGTGGAGAGGAGAAGAGAAACTACACAGAGGATCATGGCTTTCTTCTCCCCCAGGAGCCCCTCTGAGAATGGAGAGTGGTTCTGGGCACAGCTCAGAGTGGAGCCTGGGCAGAGATGGCCTGAGGCAGATAGCAGGTGACTTTTCAAGGCTTGGCTTTTCTGACTGAACACACATTCTTCCTCCTGCCCTTGTAAAAAGGCAAGTTTTCATTTTCTTAGGGTAGTAAAAATCTTTTGTGTGAAGAAAAAGTGTCGTCAAGTGTCTTATTCATCAGCATATATACCATCTCTTTAAAATGACAGTGGGAGTAAAAGTTCATCAGTTCAATATGTCTTTCACATTTGGAGACTCCTGACTAATAACCTCTGGTATTTATCATCAGAACAGCCAAAGAACTAAATTCTGGCACATGCTTCTCTCACGCACTGAGAAAAACTTAAAAAGACAGAAGATTTTCTCCATTTTTTCTTCTATTCACTTAGAAGGAAAAGCATACCTTTTTTAATTAAAAAAAATATGAGCACGCAGAAACATCTGGCCTGTATTACCACAGCAGCTTCCTAAATGGCTTCCTTGTCTCCAGTCTGCCCTTTAAAAATCAACACTATATGCAACAGCTAGAAAGATTTCTAGATCACAGATTTGCACCAGCCACTCTCCCATGTCACTGGCATATTCTTCCATGACTCTTTCATGGTTCTTGGGGTCAAGTCCTGTGTAGCCATAGCTGCTGTCTCTCCTGCTTGCACCCTGCCCCAGCCACACTGAGCTGCTTGTGGCTCCCTGCTTCATGCTATAATGTAGGATTATCTTCAGGCCCGTGTACAAATCAGTTCTTTCTCCACAAGCTCCCTGCTAGGCTCTGCTGAACCTGGATCCCAGCATGGGCTCCCACAAACCCTATCCAGCTATTATACAGAATATAAACTTCCATCTTGTTTGTATTTTATTTTATGTTAGAGACACAGTCTTGCTCTATTGCCCAGGCTGGAGTGCAGTGGTATGATCATAGCTCACTGTAACCTTGAACTCCTGGGCTCAAGCAGTCTTCCCGCCTCAGCTTCCCGAGTAGCCAGAACTATATGTGCATGCCACCACACCCAGCTAATTTAGCCTTGTTTTTGCTTGGTCAGCATAATTCCTATATAAAATTTTTTAAAAAAACTTGAATCCCATTGGGCAAGGCATATCACTGTTTAGTTTGCTTAAGGCCCGACCACTCTGTGTTATACACTAAACCCTAATCACACATTTATTCTACGCTGGGTCTTATAAAGCTACTTGTTTTCTTATCTCCTTTACACAATAGAATATAAGCTGTTTGAGGATAAGGATTGTGTATTGTTAACTTTCATATCTATAGGCTTGACAAAGACTACTCAATAAATATTTATTATATGAATTTATGTCTTATAAAAAAACAAAAATTAGACCAGAAAAGACTCTCTTTTTGGCTTTTCTGCTTGTTCATGAACATCACAAGACTAATGGAACTCAGTGCACCTGGCAAAACTAACAGTATTTCCATCAGGTGATCGAAAGTCTGTGTTCGTGATTTGATACTACTAAGATTGAACCACTCTGGACATTTAAGCTTTTGAATGTGCTTATGATCTTTCCCACTTTTTCTTGTACCAGGATATCTGTTTCCATCAAGGCGTATATTTCCTTGGTTTTATGTCCACATGACTATCCAACTGGGCTATTCAGAAATATGAGTGGAAAGGATTAGACATATTATTTTATCTGCTTTGCAAATCTGATCATGACCAAAGTACAATCAGTGGGAATTCTCAAAGTTTGGTCCTGCCAATAAGTAGTACATCCAGATATATGCAAGCTGGTGATGCTAGAGGTTATAGTAATAGAAATGCCCATTGGTGAATCTTTGATAATCCTGTGCTTGTTTCAGTCATCATGTTTTTCCATTTCCTTAGTTATCCTTTTCTAGTCATTCATCTACGTGCTGCTTTAAAGATGCTAAAAAAGACCTGGTGTCATCCAGGAACCAGATTACTCATATTTATGGAATTTCATATAATCAGTGCCATAGGACCATGGTACGTGCCTATGGCAATATTCTTGCCATAAATTTGTTCTTCAGAGAATGCTCTGCATTTTCAGGGAGTGCTATGGATATTGCAGAGGGACTGTACACCATAGGGCATTGCTGAATAATGGAAATGTGTTCAAGTATCAAGTTTAAGGAAAGAACAGCAACAAAAAAATAAAACCCTTTCATCCAAGCTTCCTTCCCTTGGGAAAAGGTGGGGACAAAATGGCGAGAGCTTATTATAGAATCCTTTAGCAGCCAGAAATTTCATTGACAATTTTGTTAATGTGTCTGCTCGTCTGCCTTCTCAGAGGCTCATTGTGAATTCCTTAGTTGATATTATTAATGGTTAATGGGTGCACCTGAAAATCAAGCAATATTGTACCATTTGGGTAATAGTTATGTTAAATGGTTCTTTTCTACAGCATCGAGCTTATCAGATTATCTTTTTCCTAATAATGAATACCTCATCTTTTCCAATTTCCTAATCAAATGCTTCCATGTCATCTTGAAGCAGAGCCAGTTCCAGCTGCATCTATTCTATACTCTTGGCTTCAATTATATCAAATTATTCAACCTACTTACGGTTCCTTAGATTCCCATTTGCTCTGAGACATAGACATCATGCACCTCTTTGGAAGCTCATGATTGCCAACTATTCAAAACAGGTCTATTGTAAGTAAACAGTGAATCAAAGAGAGCCCTAGGCTAAATTTACAGTTATGAGAAAATTTCTACAATAAGTTTCTTCCTAAATATTGGTGCTCTTGGGTGATCTTAAGTGTTCTCTTTACCCTGTCCCTGCTCCCTAAAACACACATGTATCTCATTCTGCATGGCATTGCTTCAGAGTTGAGGATGTCCGTGGCAGTGGCAAAAAGTAAGTGCAGGCACGTTTTGACTATAAAATAACAAACATTTAATTTTTCATAGGTAATATATAGTTTGGATTGATCAGAAGTATGAGGCTTCCCATACATTGCCATATTTTATTTTATTCAACCAGATACCTGTGGCTAAAAGAGGACAGTACAAGAAATAGTGAACAGCCTTGGGGAAACCTGATATTGTCACTTTCTGTTATATTGGCTGCTGAAACTTTATTGTATCTTATGCCTCTAGTCAGATGAAATGATTCATCATTCTGGACTCATCTTTTAATAATGACTTACAATTATAATAACTTATAATTCTTATCTTTATACTTCAAGGCTTGATCTGCATATCTCTATCTCCTTCATTTCTAGGTTCTTTTGATCATTGTTTCAGTATTCTGAACTTTAAAAAGATCCATTTTCTCTGCTAAGAAAAGGAGAGTTCAGACTCACCACTGACCACCCAGGATGACTCAGGCTACACTTCATTCTCTAGTAACATGTTCAGTTGCCCTTTGGGGCCAGAGGCCGTGCTTTATATTCCCTAAATCTCTATTGCCCAGCACAGTGTATAGAATGGGCACAGTACATAGTTTCTAAGTGGATGAATGAATGAATACATGATTTCACAATTTATGATTGATTTACTTCTTTAACGCAAAATTATATTTTACCTGGAACTGTATCGTTTCAAACTTCTATCAAATATTCTTAATACCAAGTACAGTGCAGTGCAGACCTTCTCAATAAATGTTTAGTGAGAGCAAACATATATATTTTGGAGACTTATCATGGAGATGCCAGAATTTGGCCACACAGTATTTCAAAATCCATGCTTGCTCCAATTAGTCAAGAAATGAATTTTCACCCCCCAAATTAACCATTGGTTCAATAGATTGGTTACTGTGATTACTCTCCAGTAATCACAGAGATGGAAAAATCTTTGGAAAGCCATCTATGTTTCTTGAAATATTTAAATGGAAACCTTCCCCTTCAGAGTGTTATTGTTCAATGGATATCCACAATTCCTGCAAACATCTATTGAACAACTTGTATGTGACATGAATTGGAGATAAATGTAAAACTGGCAATTTTTCAAATTACTTATAATTTGGTAGCCAAGGATAGAAATAAAGCAGCATATAGTAAGATAAATTTTACAATAGAAGCAGATATAAGGAGCGGAGAGGGGGGAGTAATTAATTCCACATAAAGCATTAGGGAAGGCACCCTGAAAGAAATGGCTCTGAGTTAGATTTCAACTATGACAGCAGTTTTTGTCTTTTGGATAACTATCATGAGTGAAAAATGCCGGATTGTGCTTGATGTATTTGTTTACAAGGCAGTGTCATATTATAGGGAATAAACTTTTAAAAAGCAAAGATCTGAAAGACATTTAACTCCTCAGTGCAACACCTGAATCTCCAACTGTGTTCTTTGTTGTGTGATATCTGAGAAACAGAACTGAATCAAACCCTACTATATTAATGGATTTATATATGTGCACATAAGGCTAATATATTTTATGCTGCCAATTTTTTATGGTTTCATAAATAGTGCTATCACTAACATTTCTAAAAAATGAAGAAAAGAGCTCATATGTGCTAGCAGAAATTCAGTATATTTTATAGAACACTGCTACTCTTGATATAGCCTACGGGATGTGACTTTTCATAAAAACCTAATGAATTTCTAGATTTGTCAGCTGTTTCCAAACAGATGCACTCAGCTAATCTAATGGAAACATTTTGAGCCCAGATCCCAAATATCAATAGCTTTTAGTATTGCAAATTAGTTTGTCTATTGGGTAAATTGGGCTGTGTGGTTCTTGATAAAAAGTAGCAAGTAATTTTATATGGATGTTTTATGTGTAACTGCCTTGCCAGGGTTTAATGTTCATATTTTTCCTTGCAGAGTTTTAAGTTGAATGTAGACAGTCATTGTGCTCTCAAGGAAGCTGTGGAGGAGGAAGGACACCAACTTCTTGAGCTTATTGCATCTCACAAAGCAGGTAAATCCTCCTGAAATATTGCAAGTCTTTACGTCTCCAGACTATTAAGAATGAAGAAGCATTGCTGTAAATTACTGCATATATTCACTTCCTTATGTATTATTAATATTTACATTATCAGATTGACCTTCAAGATTTATAAATGTTTCATATACTGCATACAATGCTGTGATACTTATAAGATGAAATACTGCCTCCAAATGGTCTGTTCATTTTATTTTGGGCTGCCGTTTGCCTGAGTTTCAATTGAAATTACATTCTTGAAAACTTCACATTGACATGCTTTTTGATGTAGGTGCTCTGGAAATAACATTAAGACAATGAATGAGAACTGTATATATAGTTATAATGCATACGCATTAGGGTACTTATAGATATCATTACAGATATAAGGCAAGCAGTCTAAATTATTTCCCTGCCGCTTCACACACAAGAACATTTTGCATGTTCTTTGCTGGTCTTTGCATTAGCAGAGTTTTTGGCCTTCAACCAATTCTTACCCCAGTATTAATATATTTATAAGGAACAGATTATAAATAAAAAATAGTTTTGTCATTTGGTTATACTTATCCTGATAATAGAAGACTGTAAGACAGGATACTTACAGTTTGGCTCTAGGTTTGAGCTTAGCACAGCTAAATAGGAAAAAGACAGTATTAATTGGATTTACTAATGTTAAAGACTGCCGTCTTAATTCTGGCCTATTTACTGTATTTCTCATTGAATTGACTTTACCTATTTCCATAGACAATTTTTATCATTATAAAGTCTCTACACAGATACACACAGAGCCTTTTATTTGGAATGTGAAACTGTAATGTTATTAATTTTTATACATTGTGATTTTTGTTCCTCATGTATTTTTTTAAGTCAATATACTGAGTCTAAATCAGTTTCCAAGCCAGTCATCTATGTGGTTATCACATTTTTGTGTCCTTATACCTCATGTTAAGAATTGCCTGTCTCTATTCTGAGTGACAAATGCTGATATGGCAGGTGATGGTAATGGTCATTTAAAAATATTTATATTGTTTAAAATAGCCATCTAATTTACTAAATAAAAATAATGAGTAAAGATTCATTCAGGCCCACAACTTCTGCTTTCCCCTCCTTTTGGAGAAGGACTGAAGGACATGCTGCGGATGATTGCAAGTCAATGGAAGGAGCTGCAGAGGCAAATCAAACGGCAGCACAGCTGGATTCTCAGGGCTCTGGATACCATCAAAGCCGAGATACTGGCTACTGATGTGTCTGTGGAGGATGAGGAAGGGACTGGAAGCCCCAAGGTAAGTGGCTTGAAGTTTGCCTTATTTCCTCTTATTTCTGTCTTCTTTTGAACTAGGCACCACTGAAGTTTTCTTTCCAACCCTAAGGCTTTTTGTTTCTACTGGGTAAACTTTATATCTCTCTCTATATATATATAAACAAAATGAAATGCCTTAGTTTAAAACAATAAAGCCTTCAACTTCCAAGTTTTCCAGGAAGAGGTCTTTTTTTGAAAAGTGGCAGGGTAGGTGGGGGACAGTACTTTAAGGGTGAGAGAAAGGGGGACATAAAACATTTAGTAAACAAAACATAAAGCATCTTTAACATGAATAATCAGAATGGTTTTAAATTGTTTTGTTGCAACTATAAATCACTATAATCAGTGCAATCACTCAGCTCTGACATCCATTAGCCGCTTGGTTACAGCAAATTAACAAAGAAGAGAGAAAGTGATTCATTATCTCATTCCTGTTAATGACTATCAGATGCATTGCCTAATTAGGGGATGGTCATTGTAGTGGGAAGAAGGTCATATGCTTTGCTACAAATCTTTTTGCTCCAAGTGTGAGTTCTCCATAATGGTACAAGCACCGAATACAACAAGTACTTTAAAAATGAGTACTGATGTGTTTTGGTTATTCATTTTAGTTGTCCAAAATAACCCATAAAACATATGCAATTGAACTTTAAATGAGGCACCTTTTGATACAGACTGGCACTGTTCTAAAGGTATCTTTGGGCTCATAATGTGGAAAATAATGTTATTAATTTGATATTTTCGTGTAATCACTCCTTTCTTTTGCATCTGCTCCTTTGTGGAAGTAAACACAGAAAACCTGCCTCATAATAAATCCAGAATAAAACTTATTGTAACATGGGGGAAACATATTTAAGAGTTCATGGTTTTTATTCCTGGCTTGGACAAAGTAAGTAAATCATCATCAAGTCACATTTATTCAGCATCCATGTAGATTGGCATTGTGCTAAATGTATACACAGCAAGTTAAACAAATACTTTGCCCTCTTAGACTCACATTTTTAAATGCAGGCAGAGGAGAAACCCATCCAGCCCTGCAATGTTGAGACCCATGCAGCCAGTGAAAAGCTCAGACAATTTACAGCTTTTGAATCTCAAACAACGCCTTTAACTTATTTGTTGGAAACAGAGGATAGAATGATGAGCTCAGTTTCACTTAAAGAAACCTCCATGAAGAAGGTTGCATTTCAGGAAGTACTTGAAGGAAGGAGGAGAGGTGGCTTGGCACATGAGCACATATTTTAGGAAGTGATGTGATGAAAGGATCAAAGCTGGAACTAATAATGTAGAGTGGAGACTGTATTCAGCACATTTCTCAGGGCAAACTCGGAGCTATTTTAAGGAGTAGGCTGTAGGGAGAAGTTCACTGGGCTAATGCTTTGGCTGTGTGTGGAAGTAGGGAGAGGAAAGATGATAAGAAACGACACAGTTAAAAACTTGTTGTAGGAGGCTGAGGCAGGAGGATCACTTGAGGTCAGGAGTTTGAGACCAGCCTGGGCAACATAGCAAGACCTTATCTCTGCAAAAAGTGAAAGATGAGCCAGGCATGGTGGCATGCACCTACAGTCCTAGTTACTCAGGAGGCTGAGACAGGAAGATTGCTTCAGCCCAGGAGTTTGAGGCTGCAGGGAGCTAGGATCACACCACTGCACTCCAACCTGGGCAACAGAGAGAGATCCTGTCTCTAAAAAACAAGTCAAAAATCTTAATTTTAGCTGGGTATGGTGACATGCGCCTATAATCTGAGCTACTCAGGAGGCTGAGTTGGGAAAATCACTTTAAAAAAGCTTCATTGTATTTTGTTTATTTAACAAGAATACACTGAGGGCCTACTTTTTAAAAGCTATCCTGTGTTGGCTACATTTTACATGCCAGATGCTATTCTATAGCACTTCTGTATTATGTCATTTAATTATCATGACAAATTTTTAAGTGGTTCTATTTTAATCCCCGATGGAGAAAAGGAGGGCAAAGAGAGGTTAGGTAACTTCCTTAAGGTCGCACAGCTGCTAAGTAGCAGAGCTGGGAGCCCTTTGATCGCAGAGCCCGTGTTCATCACCACCTAGCATACTGCCTTTCACTGGCACTGCTCAGGGCCAAGTGTGGGACCAGGCGTTAGAGATGAACAGCTGGCTTCCGTGCCTGTCTCATGAAGCTTGTGGTGAAGTGTGAGCAACAGATTTTAATAACTGCCTTTACAGATTGTGATGTGCCGTGAAAGGAAAGAAAAGGGAGTCACAAGAGGTTGGGCCAGGAGAAGTGATCTAGATTAGGGTATCAGGGAGGGATTGTCATTCTGTGAACAGGCCAGTGTTGTTAGAAAGGGAGAAGTGTGCAAGGGAAGCTGGGTGCCCTGTTGTTGGACAAGGGGAGGCTTTTGGAGTAAGAAGAGAAGTGACATTATTGCGTTGCACTCTAAAAACCTCTTACTGGCTGTGGTATGGGACATGAGTGGGTGGGGTGGGATGAGTGGGGCTAGGGTGGGAGTATGCCGAAGTGGACTGCAGAGATGGCACAATGACCTAAATTAATGAAAGAGCTATGTTGAAAAGGAGTACATTCACCAGGGCCAGTTTGAAGTGGACACTTTGAAATCACCTTATTGTTTAGGGAGGCATTGAGATAGAATGAAGTTGATAACACAGTGAGAAGGAGAAAGTATTATCAGAGGAGAAACATTGTCAGCATTTCTCAAAAAGAGGACCTGCCTACCCAGGCTCTTCCTCAGACCATATCAGAACCTCATGGGTGGGGCCCCAGAATCTGCATTCCAATAAGCTCTTGGAGAACCTCTATAATAGGCACCAAGAAGACCCTTTTCCTGCAGGGACTACATGATCCTCACCCAACGTGAATAAGAGAATGTCTGTTGCATTGTTACTTATAATAGCAAACAATTGGCATCAACTGAAATGTTTAAAATAAGAATGGTTTGATTAAATTATGCTAAATTTCATTCTAATGAAATGTTATGGTTACATAACCATAAAAATAATGTTTTAGAAGAGAATTGGAAATACTGGAGGATACCTATGATATACAATGATATATTTTTGAGTATCTTTGAATTTTCCAAACCTCTCAACGAGCAAGAATTATTATAAATAAAAAAATAAGAATACATTTAAAAATATAAGAATTAAAAAGTGATAAGAGGTAAAATAGGTGACGTTGGGCTAAGGGACTTGAGATATGAATTTAAATATCAAGAAGAAAAATAAATATATCTGGTTCTTAATGATTAAGGTGCCTTACTTCTTAAGAGAAAACCAAACAAAAACCCTCCACTTACATTATTCCAAAAGTGAAAATACCTTGAGTCACATCAGCTTACCAAGAATAACATTCGTGCTTTCCTTTTTAATAGTATTTCTATTCTAGAGCATTTTCATGTCACATTATGTGCACAGCATAGTGCATCTAAAAGCAGCTACAAGGAGAGGCTTTTGTAGGTATCCGCAGATGCAGAAGTTGAAGGAGGCTCTGAGAGTTTGAGATCTTGACATGATTGAGCCAGCAAAACCCCAGGCCTCTACCTCCCAACTAGTTCTCTCTCCACAATCTTGGCTGAATTTTCTCTGGAAAAATGAACTCATCCATACTCAAGGATGAATGTGAAATCAATTTAAGACAAAGAAAATATATTTATTAATTTAAGCTTAAGAAACTATGAAAAAATCAGAATGCTCATGCTTTCTATTTGTTTAATGTTTATGAACTGCTTCTTTTACTCCCTTGGGCAAACACATATAATAATAATATAAAGGCTCAGATTCTGAAGCCAGACTGCTTGAGTTCAGTGATTGGCACTTACTAGCTGTGTGTTCCTGGGAAAATTATTTAACTTCCCTGTGCCTCCGTTTTCTCATTTATAAAATAGAGGTAATGATAATATCTGCCTCAAAGGGTTGTGATACAGATTTAAAAGACTTGACATACCTAAAGTGCTTTAGAACAGCACCTAGCACATAGTAAATCCTAAGTAGGAGTAAATATACAAGACTTCATTTTCTTGTTTTATTTACAGTTCTGGGTACATGTGCGGGATGTGCAAGTTTGTTACATAGGTAAACATGTGCCATAGTGATTTGCTGCACCTATTAACCCATCACCTAGGTATTAAGCCCAGCATGCATTAGCTTTTTTTCCTGATGCTCTCCCCGCACCTGTCCCCTCACTGACAGGCCCCAGTGTGTGTTGTTTCCCTCCCTGGATCTATGTGTTCACATTGTTCAGCTCCCACTTATAAGTGAGAACATGTGGTGTTTGGTTTTCTGTTCCTGTGTTAGTTTGCTGAGGATAATGGACAAGCCTTCATTTTCTAGAGACAAATAATTTTAATAAATTATAAATAATAGACAAATATTATAATGGATCTGATAAATACTCTGATAGAGATAGGAACAAAGTGCTATAAATACACTGAGAAGGAAATAACTAACCCTACCTTGGGCTATCAAAGAACAATTTACAGGGAGGCATTCTTGTTTTAAATGAAAGGTAGACAGGATTTTTGCCAAGGTGAAAATAATGGGCAGAGAGAATAGCATATACAAAGATAGAGAGGTGTAAAAACTGTGGTGTGGCTGGAACCTGGGACCTTGTTGCAGATGATGAGTAGGCCAGCCTGCCACAGACTGCACCAAGACGTAACAATGTGACAAAAAATGATCCTTAATGATCAGTGATTTGACAATAATTCCTCCTATGTCTCTATTAATATAATCCAAGCCAGAGTGAGGTCTCTATACACAATAAACCTGAACATATTGTTTAAGCCAAAATTTTTATTGTCATATTGCAATAAATCGAGCAAGCTTAAATAGGTTACCCTGAAGTTCTCCATGACTAAAAGCTGGATTTGGCTTCTTAGCCATTATGTCAGTCCTCTTTCCATGACGTGACCTTGCACAGGTCATGTACAAATTGTGCCATGAAATGCATCTCCAAGCACAGCAGTTATGATCATCTATTTCATCTTAGACCTAAAGAGGAATTAAAATTAAAACATGATAATACATAACTCCAGAATTCATCTTAGGTTTACTTCAGAAGCTACTGGGAGCTTGAGAAGCATAATAGAAAATCTAAGGAATATATCTAGGGGGTATTTTTCTTTTTTACCTTGTTTGAGAGACTGCAGAAAAGGACTTGGTTTTAGAAATCTTGTAAAGAAGGAGGATAGGAGGAAATTCAAAGACTCTGGGAAACTTCTCCCCTAGGACTCAGCAGCATACCTTATTTGTTGTATTTCATTTTTTAAAAAAGTGTTTTCCCAGGACTGTGAGATCTTTTATACATGGAAATAGAGAATAGAATTCACCAGTTCTAGAAATAGAGCTTCAGCACTCACATCTAAGAATTGAAAATATGCTTATAATTATATATTTTTACTTTAAGATAGATTGGTGAAAGTTTATCACTTCAGATTAGGCTTTCAGTATGTTCAATTTTTTAATGGTCTACAGCTGGAGGGATTTCAAAACATAGTGAACAACACCTAACAAAAGCTACATTTTTTTGACCTTTCAAGGCAAAAAACAAAAAATCTGAAAGCAAGAAAGCATCTTTAAATTTTATACATTGTCTCCTTTAAAATGTTCTTATCTTCTCTTTCTTTACTTTTCACTTACGAAGCATGCATTATTACAGGTGTCTTATAATGGAGACCAGGATTTCCCCCTATGACTTATCCAACCTTACATCACTGAAAGCATGCAACAACAGTTCCTTCACCCTTTTTAAAGAAACAGATAAGTTTCCAGAACAAAGAATATTTGAAGATTTTATTGTAAATTCAGAAAACTTTACAGCTACTACGAGGATGACCTAGCCTGAGTCCCAACTAACATCTTCATTTCTTTAGTGAAAGGAGACAGAGAGTTAGCTGCTTTGAACTCTAGGATTGTGCTCATTTTATCTGTCTTCTTTGAGGCTCTTAGATTGAAGTCATCTTCCTTTGGAAATGGATATCAGACTATGAAGGTCATCAATGTTATCTGTTCAACAATAACAGAACAGCAAGCTTAAGGATATTCCTGATATATGTTTGCTCAGCCCTATGAATGAAAGTGTTAGATATTGGCTGAGAATTTACATCTATGTGGCCTTTGACTTGGGTATATTGCTTACAATATACCCAACTGACCTTTATTTAGATGTCAAGAGAGGGCAAGTCTAGTGTTAGCATGTGTTTTTGTTTGTTTGTTTACCAGATGCCCAAGTCTTAACCCAGTATCTATGCTAATGAATTATGGGTAACTTTCTTTAACTGAAGGGGTATAAAGGAGTCGATCTGGGGAGCTTCTTGGCAAGATGTTTTGGGTAAGAGCGCAACTGGCTAATATTTTCTTAGAATAGAACTTGATCCTGATTCTTCCACAGCATTGGTGAGACAAAGTATTGGATCTGCATTCTTTTCTTTTCTGGCTCAGAAGCTTATGTAGTTAGCATGTTCCTTAATATAAGATCTTCCGAAACAGTGCTAATGCAATCAATGGGAACTGCATTTATGTGTCGTCAGTCCCACATATACTGATGCACATATTTGTAAGGAACTGCTTGAGACACTTTGCTGTCTTCCTCATGCAAACAAGAGCACAGGTATATGTTATCGAAAGAAACCAGAAATGATCTAGTAAGACTAAATTGTGCCTAAAGTAATGGAAAGAAAAACAGCAGGCCAAGGCCTGGCCATTATTTATTGAGTGCTGACAGAGAACTCTGCACTCTGCCCAGTGCCAGGCCAGACATGAGAGAAGACATGCTTTTCTGCTTAGTGGTCTTATCATTTCAGTGTAAGCACATAGTGTAACAACTTGTCTAATGTATTTTGGGCTATCTGAGATCTAGAATAATAGATTACCTAAGATTCAGATCATCTTAATTAGGATGTTAGCAGATTGAAATGGAATGGGGTTCTTGATGCAAGCAAATGAGTAGTAAATACATTATCAATTCTACCTCTTCTGTGCAGAAATATTTCTAAAAGCCAGTATCCGATCTGGTTCCTTTCCTGCTGAACTATATAAACATAGTCCTGATTTGCAGTACCTAGGGAGAACTCTTTCTGCTACTGTGGATTTTTCAATAGCCCCTTTTTTTCGTTATCAGAAGGGCAACTTTTCTTCAAAAATATTTTTTGAAAGACAGAAACAAAAGTGAGTTACTTCTTTGAAGATCAGTGTGGTTACTAAGTTTGTTATCGAATCCAATAGAAAATAGTTTCTCTAATCTCCTTGAAGCACTTAAATTTGCATATTATAAGATGTATGGGTGGATCTAAGATGAGGAATTTTTTAATGGTCTGCCACTCTCTTGAGATGACTGAAAAAAATGGTTGGGAAAATAAAAATATACACTAGGTCAAAGGACAGCTAATGTTCTTGGTCTATATAGTGTATAAGAGCATAGCAGACCGAGCACAGTGGCTCATGCCTGTAATCCCAGCATTTTGGGAGGCTGAGGTGGGTGGACCATGAGGTCAGGAGACAAGCCTGGCCAATATGGTGAAACCCCCTCTCTACTAAAAATATAAAAAATTAGCCAAGTGTCATGGTGTGTGCCTGTAGTCCCAGCTACTTAGGAGGCTGAGGCAGGAGGATCGCTTGAACCTGGGAGATGGAGTTTGCAGTGAGCTGAGATTGTGCCACTGCACTCCAGCCTGAGTGACAGAGCAAGAGTCTGTCTCAAAAAAAAAAAAAAAAAAGCATAGCTTATTTTGTTTTTCACACTATACTTCCATTGCTGGTGGCCTTGAGAATAGAAACATTTGGCTCAGCAAGAATCTGGGAGTAAAATTCTTTGGTGTCTCTAATCAACACAGGGAAAAGTCATTGACAGGAATAGGTAGCTTACTTTTTTCCTATTTAGTCCAAGAATGCCTAATCTCTGAATCTGCAATAACTAAAGTTGAAAAGATGCTTGGTATTGTTTACAAACTTACAGTCTGTGGAAAGCAGCCATTTTTATTGGCAGATCTCACATTTTGTACCTCAGTCTGATCAATTTTAAATATAATATAGAGTAAACACATTAGAAGCATTTTGTGCTAGGTAGTGGAGGTCAAACATTTTAAAAATCTATTAATGTAAGTATTTAAGCACAAAAAAAGAAGGCAAAATACAGAATTGCTTCTAAAAAACACTTTAAAACTAATAAGTAAATTCTTTGAAAGTGTGAAACAATTACCTCAGTGTGTGACTTACACTTTTTCCTGGAATGTGTTGTTTCTGGCAGGGGAGCAGGCTGAGCTGGGAGAGCCCTGCCTGCTAAAGGGATTACTCCGCTCTGGCTTTTGGGTTTATTGAGTCATCTAGGCCTTCTTATTAAATGGCAGCTTTCAAATGTACACACACCTGCACTCAGCACCCTAAATACTCCAAATGCTTGTTTAACTTTTCTCACACCCAGAGTACCTCTCCCATCTAGTGTAGTCAAATGGCATTGAGTTGTCCACATTTTGCTTGTTCTTTCTCTTTGGAATTCAGTTGGAATATACCCATTTATGTGGTTGTGATGCTGCCAGAGACAGAGTGTTTTTTAAGGTACTGTACTGCTCTTTGCTCTGTACTCAGAGAACATTCCCAGTCTTAGCTCCCACTGTGCCTAAATGAAGGTTTATGTTTCTCAGGAAACATTAACTAGATTGGAGGTCCCGCCGGGCAGAGCTCAGGGACCATCTCACTGCAGGTTCCAGGCCATTTTGCATTGGACTGGGGCAGTGGCTTCTCATTTTTATACTCATTTGGCCTGCAGAGGCCAACACTTGTTTAGCTTTGCCTCCTGCAGAGCTCAGCAAGGTTGTGGACCTCCCTGAGTGAGAAGAGGGAGAGGGAAAAAAGGAAGCCTAAATCAAGACACTAAGACAAAAGAAAAGAGAGACTAGAAAGAAGAGAGTGAAGGAACAGAGGAGAAAGATTAAAGAACGAAGCATGTGTCCAGTGAAATGTGGTAGAAGCTAAAAAACATTGCCTCAGCTGTCTTTAGGGGCATTGGTTCCACAGGCTGCCCAAGTCTGTTTCATGGACCTTAGTGTATTCATGAGGTCTCTCTCTCTCTCTCTCTCTCTGACACACACACACACACACACACACACACACACACACACACACGTTCATTCCTTTCTCAGTCTCTGGAAATCAAAAGCAGAAAAACTTTCTTTACTTTTGACATCTTAGATATTATTGTGTAACCATTGTGTGTGGGTGTGTTTATATAACATATTCTATTAATGCGGTTAGCACTCACAACGGGCTTACTATAGTTTAGGTTCATGTAAAGCCTTTTACCTGGGTGTGCTTGTTCATTCTTCCCAACAATGCCAGGAGTCCTAACTCCTATTATTACTTTCCCTTTACTGACAAAAAAACTTAGGTTCCAAACGGAGTAGATAATCATTGAGAGAGTCTTCTTAGACACCCTCCATAACAAGGGAAAGGACAAACTTCTTAGCCCATCATTTGATTCTAGCTGCTTAGTTAAGATTTGTGTCAATGTTTTATTTCTTAATTCTTCTAGTTTACCCACCCTTTTCCAAATGTATTTTTCCTTTTCTTTGTTCTTTGCTCTTGCTCATGGCTTTTCTCATTCCCTCCATCTATACTGCTTTTATTCATCCTTAGAATAGATAAATATTTAAAATGTAACTACAACATGATGATGTAGCTCTGGACAGGATACTGTACCTCTTCTTGCTCACTGCCTAGCAGTGGAGACAGATGTGCACAAATGTAGTTCTAAATTAAGGCAGACTGTGCGATGAATACAAGAGATACAGAAACTGGGAGAGGGAACGTTATTTCAATCTGATGGGCCCTGGGAAGGCCTAAGAGAAGATGGATTTTGTGGAGGTCTCTAATATTTGGCAAAATTGGTAGTAGAAAGATGTTGGAAGGAGAGCATTCCTAACATAGGAAATAGCATGGTCAAAAGTATGGAAAAGGGAAAATATGAGGGACATCGAAAGTGAACAGTGAATAGTTTGGCTTCTTGAGCATACAGTATCCATGTGTTTATAAGCAAGAGATGAGGACTTAGTGAAAGATAGATACTGAAAAAGTTTGACCTATATACTGGACAGCTTTGGATATCAGGCTGAAGAGTTGTGTTTTACTGGTGTGCCCTGTGTGTTTTTAATGATTGAATTTGGTCATAGAAAACAGATGGCAAAGGCAGGATGAAAGAGGAAGAACTGAAAGTCAAGACAATGAATTAGGAAACTACTACAATAATGAAAGGCAGGCCGAGGCAAAGCAGTGGCTGTGCTCTAATATAAGGAAAAAAGTAAGAGTGATAGTCTGGAAGAAGAAATAATAGGATTTGGTATCTAGGGGATGGAGCCTGAGGGAAGGGTTAACGATGACTTAAAGGAATTGAGCATGAGCAGTTAGGAGAATGGTATTACCATTAACTGAGGTTGGACACATTATGATAAGGAATAGCTTTGAAAGGGAAGATAATTAACTCTGTTTAGTACAGTGACCTTGATGCACAATTAATAAGAATATCTAGGTGTGTAACCTGGGCATAGATATTTTTGTAACCTCCCCAGGTGATTCTAAAGTACAGGAAAGTTTGAGAACAAAGATTTAGTAAGGAGGAGAAACTTGAAAATCAACTCTGTGTTCTTGTGTAACAGTTGAAAATGCAAGCCTGAAGCTCAGAGTAGAGGTCAATGTTAAGGATGTAGGTTTGGTAGTCCAAATAGAAATAATAGCTGTAACCTTGGAAGTTGATTTTAACAAGAGACTATTGTGTGAGAATAAAGTAGATGTGCAATAGAACTTTAAGGAAAGCCTAGGGTAATTGAGAGCCAGGATACCATATTAAAGTTGGGGATTAAGTGAGAATCTACAACCTGAGGAGTGAAACTTTCAGGCCCTGTTGCCCAGAATGCTGGCAGCTGGGGAATGGTATTATAGCAGGTCAAAGGAACTTTTCATGGAGCGAGAGTGAACTTAGCATGTTTATAGACTGAAGAATAGGACTAGTGAAAAAGGGACACTTGAAGAAGATAGTTTCAGGGACAAGAAAGATGGATAGTTATTGCTACAATGATTCAGACAAGGAAAGGAAGTGAATCAGTGGATCTGTGATTTTCAGGAAAGGAGGATACATCTTCTGAGTTAGGACAGAAAGAGGGAAGGAAGCCAAAGAATTTAGAATGAAGACAAACCCCATGAGATTAGTCAGTGGAGCAATTATTTGAATAGAGGGAGGGTTGAAGCTGAGGAGGGACTAGAGAACAGAGTAGGAGTCAAATCCTATCCTCTCAAAAGAGATTTCCTAAAATTTTCCAGTCCTGTGTGATCACTGTGCCCTCTAAACTTCTCATTTACTGTTTGTACCTTACATTTGGTGATTAATCTCACACAGCCTTGTAAAACACCAGTTTCATCGTGGTTTTGAATTTCTGTTTATATCTTTCATAATTAACTTTTCAAGTGATTACCATCCATCATGACCGCAAACTCCTTGGGGCAGCAACTACCTCCTAAGCTTTGTTTTACTCACTTTACACGTTATTTCAGCTTTAAAATGTATTTTAGTAAATTTTGTTTGATTATAATAATATCATGTGTAGTTATAATATCCTTTTTAAAGCTAAAGACAGAACCCTACTTTATCATCTCATCTTTCATGATACTTTATCTTAGCTGTGTAAATCATGGCACAATCCCATCTTAACATCTGTTCTTCCTTTCTACACTTCTCTCCCATTTTCTTTGCCACTTGTTATTTTTTTTGTAAATAAAACAATCTTTAAATCAACTTTTAGAAGAACCATTTCACCTATTTTTTCCCAAATAACTAGGCATTTGTACCTTAAATATGTGATTTTATTATAGTGTGAATTTATTATTATATTCATACTTCCTTGAGGCAGGTCTAGTTGGTTATGTTAATAGATTGTTAGATTTTTTAAAACCTTTGTTTAAACAGCCTTGCTGAAAGGATATACTCTGAGTTGCTTCTTTGAAAAACATTAAAAGCATCTAATATGACTTGGTAGCTGACCAGCACACTGGTTGATGAAATTTGTAGTCTTTGCTCCAAAGCTCTCTAACAAGATTAGGTGAGATTGAACTTGAGAAGGTAAAGGTCTCTAAATTGACATAAATTCAAAGGGCAGAACTAGATCATACCACTATTTGAATCGCTATCAAAGTCTAATTTCTGACATATTATATTTGGTCCATTGCAATTTGTGTACATACACATCCTTCTAGTAAATGATGAATGAGGTTTAGCTAACATAATGTAGTTTATACACTTCTAGACATTTGTAGGAAATATATGATTGGGGAGCTCTCTTCTTTGTAAAATGACCTGGGTCGCTTTTCTGGAACACAGTCTCTCTGTTTTATACTAGACACAAACACAAACACTCAGGCATTTATTTCCCTGCTGTCTTTCACTTGATACCTCGTGTATATACTCAAGCTATCATTAGATAGATGACGAGCAAATACGGAATTTCACTGGATGCTTTCATGTGGCTAAAACCATTCATTTTTAAGGGAATTAGACCATTTCTAATGGGAATTTTTGGTCCAGTTTTGAGACTAGAAAATGATTAGTTAAGCTTCATCAACATATTTGAACTTTCAGTGTTTAAACCTTCTGAAGTTTATTCATAACTTGAGGGGCTATGCATTTTGAATTATGAGGAATTTTGGAAAACTCCTCTGTCTCATTTCTTTTCTTCTTTTCTGCTGCTCATCCCCAAAGCTTTCATTTCTTTTCTAGCTGAAAGTAAGGTAATAATAGTATGATATAAACTTGTGATTCTGATGCTAAGCGGGCTCAATAGCATCAGTGATAATGACTGTTGTAGGGTAATGCCAACTTGCTTACTGTGTTGGAATTTTCCTCCTTAAGACTTTGGAGGTTCTCTTACCTGGCCTGTCGTACACCCAGCAAGCACCTTCACACTGACCACTTTTTTGATCACACATTGTTCCTCTTCTTAACGAGCTCTTCTGAGAGGTGTATACACATGTTTAAAATGGCAACTTTCTGGGCACCACTACCCAGCTTTTTAAATGAAGTTCTTGGGACACAATGTTTTTTTCTCTCAAGTCAATTAGACTAAATATGACTGAACAGAAAACAAAATGTATTTTTCAAAATTATCATCAAATAGTGCTGCTACTAATTTTGGTTGCATTTTAGAGTGAAATCATCTCATTTCCTAGTGAGAACTTTTTAACTATTACTATTAATCAGTAATTGAAAATTTCCCCTCATTTTTGGTGAAGGCTAAGAATTATTAACTGTATAATACAGGACAAAGAGAACAGTAATGTGAACAAAGATATCGCTGAATAAAAATAAATTTGATATTCTAAGTGTTCTTCCTTGTTATTATTTTTGTATTTTTTCCAATTGTGTGGTGGTTTTCAGTTGAAGTCCTGCTTCAGACCTTTGGCAAATAGCATCTTTTATCATTATCTACAGATACTTTTTGTCTCAGTTGTACACAAAAAGCTTAATGACTATGCTCCATTGGCTAATACACAAAAGGGAAATCAGGTAGAAGAGTTTGAAGATGAAATCTCTGGAAAGCCTGCATTTTAAGCAGACTTTCTCTCATAACAGTCTTGTGCAATGCCTTGAAATAGAAGCTCTTGTTTTGTGTAATTTTCCAAGGCAATCAATAGTTCTTTCTTCTCATAAGTGGTAAAATTTGATATTAGGAAGTACAGATATACTTCTCATCATAAAAGGGAGTGTGTTGGGGATGTTGCACTAATGATACAATCAGCAACAGCAGTATCAAATAATGTTTATTAAGCTTTATTTGGCAGGCATTGTGGACTGCCTAACCAATAGCCATTTTCCTCCTTTGTCCTAACAGCATCACCTGTTTTGTCCACATACTACTTTCTTTCATGGTGTGTGGTCCAGGTGAAGTGGACCCTATTCCCCAGCCCAGCCAGTGAATCACAGTTAGTCCATGAGGCAACCATAAGGGCTCCCTTTGCACAGCTAATTGATGCACTTCTGGCCAGTGAGATATGAAGAGAGTCTATGGGGCTTTGGGAAAGGTTTTCTTTCTCAAAAAGAGATAAACAAGGCTGGGTGCGGTGGCTCACACCTGTTATCCCAGCACTTTGGGAGGCCAAGGCGGGCAGATCATGAGGTCAAGAGATCGAGACCATCCTGGCCAACATGGTGAAACCCCGTCTCTACTAAAAATACAAAAATTAGCTGGGCGTGGTGGTGCACACCTGTAGTCCTAGCTACTTGGGAGGCTGAGGCAGGAGAATCACTTAAATCCAGGCAGCAGAGGTTGCAGTGAGCCGAGATGGTGCCGCTGCACTTCAGCCTGGCAACAGAGCAAGACTCTGTCTCAAAAAAAAAAAAAAAAAAAGATAAACAAGAAGAAAAGGTTCCCTTTCAAGCTCTGGATGCTTTCACAAGGGTAACAAGCTGAGGTGCTATAGCCATTTTGTCACTATAAATGGAGCTAGGTCAAGGATAATGCTTAATATGCCAAGGATGGCAGAGGGGAAAAATGGGTTCTTTATATCATTGAACAGCTGAATGAACCAACTCTTGAGGTGTTTGACCTTCAGCACTTCTTATAAGTTCCTTCTTTTTTTTTTTTAACCTTCCTCTAGTTGGAGCTGAAATTTTCTGTTATTAGGGACAAAAACAAATTCTCTCTTAATGAAATATTGTAATCTGTTGAGTATTATGTAATTTGAATATTTCTCTACCTATTGAATCTCACAATACTTCCTTTTACATGTTTCCCCCAATGCTAAACCATTACTTTTTTTTTTTTTTTTTTTTTTGAGACAGAGTCTTGCTCTGTCACCCAGGCTGGAGTGCAGTGGCACGATATCTGCTCACTGCAAGCTCCGCCTCTCAGGTTCACGCCATTCTCCTGCCTCAGCCTCCCAAATAGCTGGGACTACAGGCGCCCGCCACCACACCCAGCTAATTTTTTGTATTTTTAGAGAGACGGGGTTTCACCATATTAGCCAGGATGGTCTCGATCTCCTGACCTCATGATCCGCCCACCTCGGCCTCCCAAAGTGCTGGGATTACAGGCGTGAGCCACCGCGCCCAGCCTAAACCATTACTTTTTAACCTCTTCTCAACTTAATGCTACATGGTGACTTTGTTCACACTAACGCTATTAAAATTATTCTCATCAATGTTCCCTCATGACTTCTTGGTTACCAAATAAGTCCCTGAGCCTCAGATTCCTTTCTATAAATCATTGATTGGTGGCTTTTAATTAAGAATTATTAGCCAATTATTAAAAAGACAAAAAATAACAGATGTTAGCAAGATTGCAGATAAAAAGGAATACTTATACAGTGTTGGTGGGAGTGTAAATTAGCTTGATCATTGTGGAAAGCGGTGTAGGGATTTCTCAAAGAGATAAAAATGGAACTACCATTCAACCCAGCAATCGCATTACTGGGTATATATCCAAAGGAATATTAATCGTTCTATCATAAAGACACATGCATGTGTATGTTCACTGCAGCACTATTCACAATGGCAAAGACATGGAATCAGTCTAAACGCCCATCAATTGTAGACTGGATAAAGAAAATGTGGCACATAAACACCATGGAATACTATGCAGCCATATAAAAGAAAGAGATCATGTCCTTTGCAGGAACATAGACGGATCTGGAGGCCATTATCCTTAGCAAACTAACACAGGAACAGAAAACTAAATATGTTCTCACTTATAAGTGGGAGCTAAATGATGAGAGCACATGGACACATAGAGGGGAGCAAAAGACATTGGAGCCTTTTGGAGGGTGGAGGGTGGGAGGAGGGAAAGCATTAGGAAAAATAACTAATGGGTACAAGGTTTAGCATCTGGATGACAAAATAATCTGTACAACAAACCCCAATAACAGGTTTACCTGTATAACAAACCTGCACATGTACCCCTGAACTTAAATAAAACTAAAAAAAAATTAGCCTCTTTTTTCAAACTAAATCTTACTTATAAGCCCAACATATATGTATATATTTATAAACAGAGTGGCATTTTTCAGTTGACTCAGTGGAATTTTTGAGTTTTATAAACTCAGTGGAATTTTTCAGTTGATTCAGTTGGAATTTTTCAGTTAACTGAAAACCTGGGGGCTTTGCCCTTTGCTCACTGTCCCCTGCGACTTTTGTAGCCCTCCCTATCTCTGACCTCTGCAAAGCTCACAGGTACCATGGGACATAGTACTAAAACTAGCCTCTGAATTTAACCTTACTGTCGGTGCCTCTCCTGCCTCTTCTCCATTTGCACTTTATGTGCCTCTCCTATCCAGAATCCTTCAGTGGCTTTCCATTGCCTATCTATAAAGTTCCTTTCTAGCCTTGTTCCTTTGATGCTCCCTTTTCTTCCTTTGCCATAGCCACATGAGGGTACCTCTAGTCTCCAAAACGTCCCAGTTTATCTTTTGTTGCTATGCTCTTCTTGTTCAGCTCCCTATCTTTGCTCATCTCCACCTGTTTAATCCTCCCCATTATCAGGGTTTATCTCGGTGGTCTGTCTGCCACCCAGTAGCCATCTATACCAAAATGACTCTCAATTTTATCAATTCCCACAGCATTTGTACCTCATTTATAGCACTTATCACATTCTGTCTTTGAATTTTGTATTAAAGATATTCCTCAAGCTGCATTCTTCTTAAGGTGGGGAACCATTTCCTGTTCATTGTTCTGCACACTGCAATGCTCAGCGTAATATATCCCTCAAAGACTATTCTTGAACAAAATGCTTGTTGAGTGACAAACAATTTATAACACAAATCAAAACCCTTAAATTACGTGTGTCCTTTAGGTTGTTTTGTTTTGTTTTGAGACAGGGTCTTGCTCTGTCACACAGGCTGTAGTGCAGTGGCACAGTTTCAACTCACTGCAACCTTTGCCTCCCAGGTTTGAGTGATTCTTGTGCCTTGGCCTCCCAAGTAGCTGGGACTACAGGTGTGTGCCACCACGCCCAGCTAATTTTTGTGTATTTTTAGTAGAGACAGGGTTTCGCCATGTTGGCAGGCTGGCCTCAAACTCCTGGCCTCAAGTGATCTGCCTGCCTCAGCCTCCCAAAATGCCAGGATTACAGGCATGAGCCACCACACCCAGCCCTTCAGGTCATTTTTTTTTTAGTTCTTTAAGCGTTTGTTCCTTTTTTGTGAGTTGATTCATACTCTTTGAGATTACCTAGGACTAAATTGATTTAATTAAATTTCATTATATGATAGAAGCTAGAACAATTAAATAAAACACAGGGAAAGCTACTTTTTAATGCAAAATATTTTATATCTTTGCATTTCACAGCCTAAAAAAGAAAGAAAAACAAAGCAATCTACTATGTCTGTACTTGGAAATTTTATTTTTACTTTTTTCTACCATTAAAAAAATTTTTCAGTAGCTTTAGGGATACCAGCGGTTTTTGTTTACACGGATGAATTGTATAGTGGTGAAACCTGAGATTTTAGTGTACCCTTCACCAGAGTAGTATACATTGTACCCAATATGTAGTTCTTTTATCCTTCTCCTTCGTCCTACCCTCCCTGCTTCTGAGTCGCCAATGTCTATTGTGCTACTCTGTATGCCTTTGCATACCCATAGCTTAGCCCCCACTTACAAGTGAGGACAGAGGTATTTGGTTTTCCATTCCTGAGTTACTTCACTTGGAATAATAACCCTCACGTCCATCCAAGTTGGTACAAAAGACATTATTTTGTTCTTTTTTATGACTGAGTAGTATTCCGTGGTGTATGTATGTCACATTTTCTTTATCTACTCATTGGTTGATGGGTACTTAGGTTGGTTCCATATCTTTGCAACTGTGAATTGTGCTGTGATAAACATATTCATGCAGCTGTCTTTTTGATATAATGACTTTGTTTCATTTGAGTAGATACCCAGTAGTGGGATTGCTGGATCGAATGATAGATCTACTTTTAGTTCTCTGAGAAATCTCCATGCTGTTTTCCACAGGGATTGTACTAAATTACATTCCCACCAGCAGTGTATAAGTGTTCCCTTTTCATCACATCCACGCCAACATTTATTGTTTTTTGACCTTTTAATAATGGCCATTCTGGCTGGGGTAAGGTGATTTTAATTTGCATTTCCCTGATGATCAGTGATTTTAAGCATTTTTTCGTGTTTCTTGGCCATTTGTACATCTTCTTTTGAGAAATACCAATTCATATTATTTACCTACTTTTTAATGGGATTATTTGTTTTTTTTTTCTTGGTTATTTGTGTTTCTCGTAAATCCTGACATTAGTCCTTTGTCAGATGCATAGTTTGCAAGCATTTTCTCCCATTCTGTGGGTTGTCTGTTTACTCTGATGATTATTTCTTTTGCTCTACAGGAGCTCTTTAGTTTAATTAGGTTCCATTTATTTATTTTTATTTTGGTTGCGTTTGCTTTCGGGGTCTTAGTCATACATTCTTTGCCTAAGCCAACATCCAGGAGAGTTTTTCTTAGTTTTTCTTCTAGAATTTTTATGGCTTCAGGTCTTAAATTTAAGTCTTTCATCCATCTTCAGTTGAGTTTTGTATATAGTGAGAGTTAAGGATCCAGTTTCATTCTTCTACTTTGGCTATCCAGTTTTCCCAGCACCAATAGTGTGTTCTTTCTCCAATTTATGTTTTTGAATGCTTTGTTGAAGATCAGTTGGTTGTAAGTATTTGCCTTTATTTCTGGATTCTCTATTCTGTTCCATTGGTCTATGTATATACTTTTATACCAGTACCATGCTATTTTGTTTACTATAGCCTTGTAGTATAATTTGAAGTCACATAATGTGATGTCTCCAGATTTGTTCTTTTTGCTTAGGATTGTTTTGGCTATCTGGGCTCTTCTTTGGTTCCCTTTGAATTTTAGGATTTTTTCTTCTAATTCTGTGAAAAATGATGTTGATATTTAATAGGAATTGCATTGAATCTGTAGATTGCTTTGAGCAATATGGTCATTTTCACAATATTGATTCTTCCAATGTATGAGCATGGAATGTATTTTCATTTGTTTGTGTCATCTATGATTTCTTTCAGCAGTGTTTTGTAGTTCTCCTTGTAGAGATTTTTCACCTCCTTGGTTAAGTATATTCCTGGATATTTTGTTTTATTTTATTTCATTTGCAGCTATTATAAAAGGGATTGAGTTCTTGATTTGATTCTCAGCTTGGCCATTGTTGGTGTATAGTGGTGCTACTCATTTGGATGCATTGATTTTGTAACCTGAGACTTTACTGAATTCATTTATCAAATCTAAGAGTCTTTTGGAGGATTCTTTATGATCAAAACGTTGGCAAACTGAGATAGTTTAACTCATATTTTCCAATTTGGATGCCCTTTATTTCTTTCTCTTACCTTATTTCTCTGGGTAGGACTTCTAGTACTATGTTGAATAGAAGTGGTGAAAGTGGGCATTTTTGTCTTGCTCCAGTTCCCAGGGGGAATGTTTTCAACTTTTCCCCATTCGGTATGACATTGGCTATGGCTTTGTTATATATGGCTTTTGTTATTCTGCGACATGTTCCTTCTATGCCTAGTTTGTTGAGGGTTTTTATCATAAAGGGATGCTGGATTTCATTGAATGTTTTTTCTGCATCTACTGAGATGATCATGTGGTTTTTGTTTTTAATTCTGTTTATATGATGAATCACATTTATCGACTTGTGTATGTTGAATCATCCTGTGTCCTCAGGATGAAACCCACTTGATCATGATGAGTTATCTTTTTGATGTGCTGTTGGGTTCAGTTTGCTAGAATTTTGTTGAGGATTTTTGCATCTATGTACATCAGAGATATTGGTCTGTAGTTTTCTTTTTTTGTTAAGTCCTTTTCTGGCTTTGGTATTAGGGTAATACTGGCTTCATAGAATGAGTTAGAGAGGATTCCTTCTTTCTCAATCTTTTAGAATAGTTTCATAGGATTGTGACCAGTTCTTTGAATATCTGGTAGAATTTGGCTGTGAATCCATTTGACCCAGGGCTTTTTTTCACTGGCAGTTTTTTTTTTAATTATTGATTCATTCTCACTGCTTGTTATTGGTCTGTTCAGGATTTCTATTTATTCTTGATTCAAGCTAGGAGGGTCATAAGTTCCCTGGAATTTATCCATTTCCTCTAGATTTTTTAGTTGTGTGCATAGAGTTATTCATAGTAGTCTGGAATGATCATTTGTATTTCTGCAGTATTGGTCATAATGTCTCCATTTTCGTTTCTAATTGAGCTTATTCTTCTTTTGACTTTTGAGCTTATGGCTTCTTTTCTTGGTTAATCTAGCTAATGGTCTGTCAATTTTATTTTTCTTTTCAAAGAACTAACTTTTCATTTCATTGGTGTTTTGTGTTTTTTCTTGTTTTAATTTTATTTAGCTCTCATCTGGTCTTTTTTATTTCTTTTCTTCTGCTAGGTTTGAGTTTGGTTTGTTCTTATTTCTCTACTTTCTTGAGGTGTGGCAATAAACTGTCAATTTGTGATCTTTTAGACTTTTTGATGTAGGCATTTAGTGCTATGAGCTTTCCTCTTACCATTGCTTTTGCTGTATCCCAGAGGTTTTTATAATTTGTGTTACTGTTATCATTCATTTCAAATAATTTAAATTTCCATCTTGGTTTTATTGTTAACCCAAAAATCATTCAAGAGAAGATTATTTAACTTCCATGTGTTTGTATAATTTTAAGGGGTTTTTTGGATTGATTTCTAGTTTTTTTCTGCTGTAGTCTGATAAGTTACAGAAGATAGTATTTTGATTTTTTAAAAATTGAGGCTTGTTTTGTGGCCTATCATATGGTCTATCTTGGAGAATGTTCCATGTGCTGACGAGAATAATGTATATTATACAGTTCTTAGGTAGAATGTTCTGTAAATATCTGTTAGGTCTATTTGTTCTGGTGCAGTTTAAGTCTAGTGTCTTTCTGTTGACTTTCTCCCTTAATGATTTGTCTAGTGCTATCAGTAGAGTTGAAGTCACCCACTATTATTATGTTGCTGCATACTTGGACATTTTAAGCAGGGTTATTTATGAGTTTGTTAGCTCACTGATATCCTAGGCATACCAGTTATGAATTAATGATAAGTGTGACAGATGTACTAATACTCTAATTTTTAAACACTTAATTTTCATTTAAGTATTATAATTGTTATTGAGCTCCCAGAGGGGACAGTCAAATATGTAGGTAGTCTCAATAAGGCATATATCCTTTTAAATTTATTTTCCTGTTTCCTATAACTTTTGTAAGATTATCATTCCTTAATAGAATGTACCTGAAAATTTCATTAATTTTAATAAAAATTCCAAAAGTTGGTGAAAGAAGGAATGTACCACTGTACTACTATCTAGTTAGTTCCTACTATTTCGTTTTAGCTACTTACTGCTTCATAATTTTAATGTATGTCACCAATATTTTTAAATAATTCTGATGACAAGGAAAGGGAATGTTGATTTGATGAGCTTTCAAATAAACTATAATAATATATCACATGATATAGTAGTGATAATATAATGATTGAAATGCTTTGAAAGAAAACTTTAATGTTTTTTTCAAGACCAATATTATCTGTTATTTTCACTGGGGAGGATTTGACTAGACTAGATATAATAATAGAGACAAATAGACATAATTACAGACCTAGATAATTGAGAGCTTCAAATAAGCCCATATAACCATAAGCCATAAGAAAAATATAAGGTGCTGACCCTAGGGACCAGGAAGTTAAAGAATCCCTTCTCTGCATCTGTTTCATCATCTGCAAATGAATGATAATCCTCTCTCCCTCCCTCAAAGGGTTATTGAATTGATTAGATGAAATATATGAAATTATCGGAGTTGGTTGCTAAGAAGACAAATAATGTTCTATACAACATTTCTAAACTCATATAGTTGCTGTCAGGGTGGGAGTCTGACTTCTTGTTCTCATGCAAAGGCAGGTGGGGAGCTGTGGCCACGAGCTGGGCTACAGTGAGGAGCTTTGAGTGGGACATAGAACAGGAGGATCATAGCACCCAAGGTGAAGGTGGGCATGAGAACTAATGGTTCAGTCTAAAGTAAAGACTGAGTTTACAACAGGAAGCAGAGAGAATGAATCTGAAAAGAAAAACAGGAAGTAGAACCTGGAGAGAACCACTTTGAGGCACCAATAATCAGAGCCAGATGCCTCACGATAGGACCATGGGTGCTACCAGTGGTGGTGGTAGTGGTAGGGTGTGTGAAAAATCAGTCCCCGCACAGGCCATGCCTTCCACACACTATCCTATGATTCCTGGGCTTTCTCTTCAGTGCTAAAATACTGGTCCTATAGATGCCACAGGTTCAGTTTGTGACTTCCTACTTTTAAGCTCCAGCATTAAACCCTAAGGTGATGAGATCTTGAGGCTTAAAAGATACAGGATCTGAAATCTTGAAATATGTTTTCAATATTTGTTGTTGTTGTTAGTGGGAAATCATTATTATGATACTTCGTCAAGAGCCTTTGATGCTAAGACCTAATTAACATGTATTTAGAGATCTAGAATAAATTGCTTCCCTGATTGTGTGCTTATGATTTACTCTTGTTAGTTCTAGTATCCATAGGTTAATATTTGAAACATGACAATTGGCTGGTGACTTAACAATGACTTACCTGCTTATCCCTTTTCACTTCCCACATCCCCCTACTTCTTACCCATTAATTCTGTAGGACTCACTTTAAATCAGGAAAGGAAAATGAGTCACCTAAAATGAATATAGTCAGAGAAAGTCTCTGGACCTTATGGCATTGCCCATAAAAGCCTCACTAAATTCTCTTCTGCAAAATATTTGACACTTGCTGCTTAAAAACCAGTGATGCCTCTGTGGGGTCAAGCCTGGAGACAGAGAACCGTGGCATAATTTGCAGTTAGAGAAGACTCAGAAGAGAGTGAGAGAAGGAAATTTTTCTAGGTAGCTTTACCTGTTTCAGCATATATGGCCAGGTCTTTAAACTTCCAGTTCATAAAGCCGTATTCCTTGTCCTAATAATTTTCATATCTTTGTCTCCTAACAAGCACTGAGCAGTAAGTGGGCTCCACTGTCTGTCTGCATCTGACTGCCCCGACTGTGTTAGTCATCATCTGCTCATGGAAGCATGGAAACCCTGGGGGAATAAGTGTTTGGCAGAGTCAGCAAATGGGTTGGTTTGTGCAAAGTTTTGGGAGAAGAGAGTAGAGTGGCAAAGTGAATTAACAGTGATAACATGAGTAAAAGTGGTGCTGAAAATGCAGCGGGATGGCCTCCTATCTAACTATTATGATTTGGAATAAAAAAAGAGATCTTGGTAAGTAAAAACTTATTTTTAGTATTAGAAGATATTCACATAGTGCATAATGAAAAGCAAGTCTTTGGATTTTTGAGTCAAGGACCTACACAATTGCTGAGAGTATTAGAAGATACTTGTTGTATTAGGTGGTCGTAAATGACAACAAAGCACAGGACTAATAGGACAGAGGAAAATGTGCTGTTCAAGAAAAATAGTCTTCTTTTCTTAAAACATATGACATTTCTGCATCCTGCATTTGCCATGATATAATGACCCATTAACAGAAAAGAAATGAAAAATAAGGAGTCAGCATGGTTGATGGTTGTTACCTAAGCCCATAATAACATTTTAAATTGCTTAAAGTTGCAGTCTCCTAAAGAGAAAATATAGTTGTTGAGTGGCCCTTTTGGCTACCTGGCAAGATGTATAATTCAAAAGATTCAAGATTTAATTCTTCTGGAATCTTATTTCAGATTTCCTATGTAAAAGAGTCAGAGCATTTTATATATTACAGAGGAGTATGAGACAATTAAGGCCAGAAAAATATAGGCAGAGAAATATAAGAAAACATACTTCTTTCCCTGTTTCACAATACTTTGGTAGAGTGCTAAGTAAGACAAACAACCCTATAATTAGGAAGAAAATTATGAGAAGTTATTTTTATTCTCAAAAATCACATTAATGGCTTTGTCTGCAGCTCAGTTATTACCAATTGCTATTAACTTGTTGGCACAAACAAGCTTAAAATTTATTTTATATTCTGTAGTCCTAATAATTTTTTTGAAAAAGTGTGACATTCAAATCGTGTAATTAAAACAAGTAGAATAATAAACATATATTTATGAAGGGTTTGTGTGTGTATTTGTTTTAAGTTGAACAGATAATTCCTAGTGATTTTGTGAGTCATACAGTGAATAATTAAAATAAATTTAAATTCAAATATTAACATTTCAATTTCCAGTTTGGTGAACATAAGCAAATTATTATAAGTTTGTTTTCAATTCCTGCAAAGCATATTAAAATTAACTTTTCCTCAATTTAAGTAATGTGTATAAGTAAACTTCCTTCCCACTGTGAAAAGGTTTCATTTATTGCTATTTGTAAACTGCCTAGGATAGATTCAGAGTGGATTGGGCTGGAAACTCCTTGAACAGTTTCTTTTGAAATAACACTACATACGTTAAGCTCAATTACACATCCAAACAGCCACAGCTCACTTTTGGTAATTTATTCATTGATTTAACATAGTACCCAGAAGAGCCATGCCTGCTGTCATTTTTGTAATATATTATGTTTTAAATATACTCATGCTCACCCCTGCACACCATTAAGGTGTGCATAAACCTGTGTTTTTCTCTCTTGACAGCTATAAATGTTTGTTATTATTACACAAAACATATGTTCATGTTGTTTTTGTCTAAATTATTCTATCTGGGGCTATAAAGTTTTAATGTTATTAGTTGCCCTTAGAATTTTAATGTTTCACTGCTGTAACCTTCTTAGGATTTCTGTGCAATTAAATAGAAACTATTTCACTGCAGCCTGGAAGAACAATATATTTTATACAAATAAAAAAAAAAAACCCTTCTTACTCCATTTTCTTTCAGTGTAGTAAAAATATTTGCCTGACAGTTTTTCTTTTTGGTCTGTGGAAACCTCACCTGTGGTCATACCTGTGCACCAGCTGTGTGTGGAACATTTCTCTTTCTGCTCCTGGCGTTTGTTGGAAAGATATGAGTTAAGCACCCTTTAAACCAAAGGGACAATATTTCACCAGCCTTTCAGAGGTCATTCCAGGTGCTATTTAGGTGACTGTATTTCAGCCTGGCTTTAGTTTAACATATACAGAGGCCAAAAGGGACTAAATAAGAAGCCCATTATAGTGGCAAAATATGTGTCTAACTTGGGTTCTTACCAGCATGGTTCAAAGGTGGTTTTATTTACAAATACGTGGAAGCACTAACATTTGGTGGAGCCACAGAGATGTTTTCCCTTATGTCTTCTCTCATTTTCATACCCACTGGTTGGTTATACTTGGTCCAGGCCTCATCGTCAAGTCAGATAGGACTGCAGACTTACTTAGAAACCTAGTTTCTCACATATAGAATCATTGCATCGCAAATAATTTTTATTTTACAGAAGAGCTTCTAAGTGTATTCTGACTTGTTTACTATAATCTTAATGTTGGCATTGTCTACCCCAACCCCAGTGGTCTTTCATATGTACAGTGCTAGGGCCGAGTTATGTCACTGGCTTTTAATTGGCTCTCAGCTTCAATTTTCCTTTTTTTAAAATATACTAATCACTCTACCTTCATTGTCATCTTCCTAAAATACATGTTGGATCACTCAAACTCCAGCTCAGAAGCCTTGCCAATGAATAAACTCAAAATCCTTAAAAAGATGTTGACAATTTTCCTTGATCCAGCACGAAATCGCTTCTCCAGGCTCATTGGCCCTTAGTTCTATTGCATTTCCTATACCTCAGTCCACTGGACCTGCTCACAGCTTCTCCAACACTACTCAGCCGCAGGTCCAAGTCAGCACGTGTGATGTTTCCTCAGGGTGGGTGCTCTTCTCTACTTTCTGTTCATCCAACCTCTATTTCTTCAAAATTCAGTTCAAATACTGCTTCACCCATTAAGCTCTTCCTAATTCTCCCTCAGTCAAAATTAATCGCATTTGATGCATCCCCTCAGCACATTGCTTCGGTGTGGTTTCTCACATATGTCATCCTATGATGTTCACTAGATTATAAGCTCCTTGAAGGCAGGAACTATACCTTTCATCTTCATTTTCTTACCAGTGCCTCACACAACATGTAATAGGTGCTGCTTTATTGGCAAATGGATGAACAATATTTCTTTCTACTTTGTTAATCTTGAAATTGGGAATCACTGAATTGTTAGACTGTCAACTTAATTTCCCTACATTTGTGGCTTTATGAACATGGTTATAGATATAAACATACCTGACACACTTATAGAAGAAGAGATTATATATTTCCTCAGAGCAACACATTATGCTAGTGGAAAAATCTTTGTTAATAAGTTATTTTGCTTACATCTGAATGTACCATCAAATGCTCAGTTCATTCATCTTGTATCTGTCCTTAGAGGAATCAAAGATTATTTTGCCTTTATTCTTTGAATAATCTCTTACTAAAGTAAATAATCAGCGTGAAAATCAGAAAAACGAAATAAATGAACTTTGAATTGGGGTATCTCATATATCAGGATTGCTTCACTTCAATTTGTAGCCCAGTTTGACTTGTAAGAAAATTAGTGGAAATTAATCAATATATGGTATTATTTTGTTTTTCCAAGATTGTGGGTTTGAGTTGCCACAAATTAGAATTATTTGCTACCAACTCAGCCCACTCTTCATTAAGATATAAAATTTCACAGCATCATGAGGAGTTTGTTCTTTTTCCTTAAACAGTACCCCTAAAAAATATATATTATGGAATGAGAATTTCTCAGTCTTCTCAGGAGCCTTCCAAGACATTGTTTAGCAAAACAATGGGTTAGTGTCTCTTCTCTTTTTTCTAGCACAACCCTCAGTTCATGGCAGTTTCCAGGAAAGGAAAACAGGAAATTAAGTTCTTAAAGGATTCCTGGAAGTCTCTCTTGTTAAAATCACCTGTTTGGACTTTTCTTTGTGTCTCCCACACTTCTAAGTTTAACACCACATGCAAAGCCCAGTTAGAAAGAGATCTAGAAAGCCACATTTAACTTCCTTTTTAAGCTTTCATTTTTTTTTCTTTTTTAGAGTGGTCTCAAATGGTGGGGATTAAGGTCTTTAACAGGCAGCAGTTACTGTCCACAAATAGTAGACCTCTCTAATTCACACCATTTTAATTACATCTAAAATTTCTGCCAATTATATGGCGAAGGATTATATGGCAGGGCAAAGGACGCGGGGTGGATGTGGAGCCTGAGCAGCTTTCTCTTTTAGAAACAGAAGAACCTGTAATGGAAAAATGCAACAGTTGTTGAAGAATGGAGATAACAGAAGTGGTAAGTCAAAGTACTTGATTACACAATAATCTTCCACAGAGTGCTCATTACTGCTAAATAATTGACTGTGTTGCCAGGTTTCTCAGTGAGGAAAGGGTCAAGGAGGTCAGTTATCTGGTGGTAATGACCGTAGCAGTCATTAGAGGGTATTAAAGCTATTAAGAATAGAAGTTTAACTTTTTATTGAAGTTTTTATTTAAATGATATTAACTTCAATTCAACTTTTAATTGAGGTGCAACCATCCAAATTCTACAGTCGGGCACCAAGAAGTAATGAACATAAAATTACATGTTCTTTTGATAGGTTGATGGGTCTTTATTAGAATTTCAAGGGCCTCCACAGAGCTGTTATTAGACACAAGCTGCTCTGAAGTCTTCTATTAGAATTAGGGCTGGGTGAAAGATTTCTAGGAAATAATTTTAACCTGGACCACTGAAAGGTTTAGGGAAAAAAAGAAAGGAAGGAAGTTCTGTCTTTTGTTTTTGCCTTTATTTTTATTTTTTTTAAGGTGAAAAGGCCTGTTTATATGGCTAGATTTGCACGCATTTGCCAGGCCTTTAAACATAATATATATCTCCTTTCCTCCCTTTTTCTCTTCCTTCCTTTTTTCCTTTCTCTGCAACTCAATGGAAATAGAAAAAAAGTCCAAAACACCAGATTTTTTTTTCTCTAAATTTTAAGGAATGTTATCTTTCCTAAAAATTAAACACATCTGTGTGTTGCTGTTTCTATTAAGGTAGCAGTATCTGTGAAAAGTCAGAATAAAATGAACACTTTGTTAAAATATTTAAGTTAAGCCAAATAAAAATGAAAGTTAATGCCAGAACTTTACCATTCGTGATTTATAAATAAGCTGTTTTCTAAATAAAAATAACCACCCACCTGCAGTCAGATCTCTTAGAGAAATGGGAGGGATGTGCCGTTTGAGGAGGGAATCTTCTATTACTACTCCTCCAGGAACAAAAGAAAGATAATTTCGAGGTTCATAATTTTACCTCTGTGAGCCAACAAGGAAGGAGCTGGGGTAGTGAACAATTTCATAAACAAAATCGTCCATACCTAAAACCCTTTGTTTCTTTGTAATCATAAACTTTATGAAGATTCGCTGTTAAGTTGGTTGGCTGCCATTTACAGCAAAGATATTTGCTAGAAGAATTGATAATGGCCTTTTTTCCTTTGGAAAAGAACTTAAGCTATTTTACATTTTTGGTAGATAGCCAGCATTTTGTCATTTAAACGTGTCACATTACTATGAAAACATCATGCATCATAACACAGCATAACAATGTGTTTTGCTGAAGTGCGAGTTTCTCAAAAAAAAAAAAAAAAAAGGAAAGAAAAAGAAAGAAGGCAGTCATGTTTTTTTTTTTTTTTCCACAATGTGAAAGCCATTTGAGTATATTTTCCCCCAAGAGCCTGTAGAACTGGGCGCTTGAACTAGCCACACATCTGTGGATGCTCAGCTGTAAGTGGGTCTCTCTTATAAATGTGAGGGGCCAACCCTAAGCTTTGTTGCTAGTAAGAGAATGTACAAGTAAGATTATGAGAAGTTCAAGTGAAGCTAATTGCATATAAGCATTTTTTTTTTTTTTTTGGTCAGGAAGCCAGAAGAACTAGAACCTGGATTTTTAAATATAACTCAATACTTCAGTGTGACTTGAAATTATGTCTTTTATAAGAATGAGAATACTCTGGCCGGGCACAGTGGCTCATGCCTGTAATCTGAACACTTTGAGAGGCTGAGGCAGGAGGATCTCTTGAGGCCAGGACCGGCCTGGGCAACAAGCAAGACCCTGTCTCTACAGAAAATTAAATTTTTTTAAAAAAGAATGATAATACTCTGCCATAATTCATTGACTTACTAAAGCGTTAGTTTGGAATGACCTCATTATGAGAGGAAAAGAAAACTGCCTCCCAATAGCTGGGTTTAAATGACCATTTCTGTGTGGGATCTGGAAATGTATTCTGGTGTGTGAATTTTTCTTCTCCAGTGTACAGGCCAAAGTACCAGCTCTCAACTGCCTCTTCTTGTTCCCATTAAATAAGTTGTCACAATTTAACACGTAGACGTTTTAATTGAAGATCTCATTTCATCTTAAACTTGGGCTTTGAGAAGATCTTATTTCATAGGCCCACTTCATTTACTTCAAACCATCTTTAAATTGGAATTAGAAATAAAGTCCCAGTTAGAATATAAGCAGCTTATTTGATTGTTCAACATTAGAGAATGCAAGATTTTTTTTCAACTATAATAACAGTATGTTGGAAATTACCACATGTTGCTATTGTAAGGAAAAAAAGGCAATATAATGCATTACTTGTAGAATTTGATGAAAAACTTTTTAATGCAATGGAATTGGGTATCAGCATTGATTTTATTTTCCAAGACATTTTGCAATAATTTTTACAGTAGTTCAGGGGAAAAAAGGAGATACTTTTGGACCAGAGAGAAAAAATTCCTATCAAGGCTGTCACCTGCTAGGACTTAGAAGCAAGCAATGATCCCAACAGAAGTGAAATTATAACCTGTTATGCGAGCCTCTAATGTTCTTTGAAATTTGAGGTAAAGGGTAGGTAAGCCCTTCTACATGGCATGTGTAAAGTCTATGTAACAATGTAACCCTTTCCTGATACAAAGGGGTTAGTTCTTTTAATGTTTTAAATAATTTATTTTTCTTTATGATATTAATAGTAATAGATGCTCATTGAAGAAAACCTGGAAAGTACAGAAAATAATACAAAATAAATAAAATCACAACTATCTTACCACCAAATGACAAGGTTGGCTAACATTCTGATGTAGTCAGCAGATATTCTTCTGGCTTCTTTTGTAGCCATTACAGCATTCTGATGTAGCATTCTGAAGATCCTTCTGGTCTTTCTTTCTACTGCTAATAGTTTTGTTGAATTTTTAAAAATTCACAGATTACATGGAGAGATTTAAATTAGATCAAGATATTTTATACTTCATATTTTTATTAAGAAATATACTTTCCATGTCTCATTTTCCACAAATAACATTTTGTTTTGTTTGAGAGATTTGTTCTCATATTTATTTTACTAAAATTTCATATGGCATATGAAATACCTCATCTGTTGTTTACCATGTTATTTTTAAAAAATTATTCTTTGAGCGCCCCGTATATAAGATTAAGATTAGCACCCTGTGTGTAAGATTAAGATTAGCACCACTTCTGTGCTTATGCAAACAAACTCATGATGTTATAATGACAGGTTTTATATTTATCGATTTTCCACTTTCCAGAATGCCTTCTTGGAAACTTTATGATTTCCTGATTGGATTTCATGATTGAATAGTTTATAATTTTTTAAGGCTGAGATTGGTTATATTTTAAATAGGTTTTACAAATATGGCAAGAAAGTTAGTAAACACTGGATATTACAGTTGTGTAGTTGTACAAAACCAGGAGAAATACATTTATTGATCTCTTGAGAGCAGTAATTACCGCATACAGAGATTGGATTCTATTTATATTCTTCCAGTGCTTCAGATTTCTTTGCTATGATTGAACCCAGCACTATAGCATTTTACCAGTAAGATGTAGCTCATGATGCTAGTTGAGTTACTCTGCAGAAAGTAGCCTTAGAATAAGCTGTTGAAGTTGCCACGTAAATGAGATGTTTAAAATGATTTTAAAATTTACAACAACATTTTGATTGTCAATTTAGGTAAAGGTCTTAAGAAAGCAAATATAATACACTCTGGATGTGGTTAGGCTGTGAGTTGTTAATGTTCTTTCATAAGCATGGTGACATGTAGTAGATCATTATAATACCAAAGAAGGCTTTTTGGACCTTGATGACATTGTATTAGCATTCTACAGAGTTTTAGGAAAAGGCATTTTAGAAGATGGACGTGAGACAACTTTCTCTTCCCAATGTTAGGATTTTCAGCAGTATATTCATTCTTTTCCCTCAAGGCTTATAAACATTTTTTGGTGTTTTGTTTGTCTGTTTGTTTGTTTTTTGTTTTTAATGAGGGAGGTTAGGAAGTGATGTTGTAACTGGGATGTCTGTTTTGCTATGAACCATTTACTATACTTTTCCTTTCTTGTCCAGGTAAACAATAACAAATATTTAGTGAGCATCTTATGTGAAAAACATATGTCGAATTATTTTTAATTGCCTTTATATAAAAGTTTAGGAGCTCTTGCTGTATAGGGGGATCTTAACTGCTGGAATGATCAGTCAATTCATTTAGCCTTTGTCTAATCATTTATTCTATGAATGTTTATTAAGTATTTAATGCCTACCATACATCCTAATATGTTGTCTTCCCTAGACTTTCAAGTTTTGTGTCATGGGAGAACTTGGGCTTCTCCTATAAAATATTTTGTAGGATTGCAAGAAAGAAGAGAGACCATTTTCTAATTAAATGTCAGGCAAAATTAATCTTTAAAGAGAATGTTCTAGTATCAGCAAACTTTATGCTCAGAGGAAATGATAAATTTGCAGAGATGTGCATCTATATCCAAGAATCCAAACAGGAGAGCTTGATGGGGAACTGAAAAGGGGATCAAAAATCTGGGCTTTGGACCATAGAAACACTGACCTTTTGGAAAGGACTTGAAAGCTATAAATGACGAGCAGGGGCAAGAGACTGGGACAGGAAAAACCAATCAGAGAGCATAAAGCTAAGATTCAGACTCTAGCTTTATATGTTTTAAAAAATTCCAAAGAAAGGCTTGGAAATGACTTTCTAAGAACATCATTTTTATTTGATTTAATCATTTGCATATTTGGGGGTAACTTGTTTGTACCAAAATGTGGTTAGATTAGTTGATTCTTAACTATCACTCATTTGTATCACATATATTTTGTATGAGACTGGAATAATTTATCGGATCAGCAGCCACAAAGAATCAGCAAGTAAAATCATTCTAAATGTAATGCTATCTAGGATAGAAAAATCAAGAAAGTATGGACACATGTTAACTGGGTCTTTTCTCTGTTTACTTTTTTCTAATTTAATTTCATTTTAATTGTAATGAAACAGTATAAAGGATTCATATCCACCTCATCAATTCATATAAACTGTCTTTGATTCACATTTCAGTCTTTGACAGATTTTTAAGCACAAAATGATAAAATCATACAGCATAAGGCTTTTACATCAGAAAATATGGAAATAGAACAGTAGTTGTTCTCTTTAGGACAGAGCCCTCTATCCAGGCAAAACAAGAGATTTCATCCCCTTCTACGAAGTTTACTCATTTTGGTCTGTTGCTTTAATTTATAGTGACAGCATCTGCAAAAAGCACAGGGTTACTCTGGTAGATTGCATTGTTGTTCCCATGATTCACTCCCCTTTTCTGTAAGAGGATTATACACCCCTGTCTATTACCATGTGACTTGCAGGCCTCCTGTGGAGGAGGATGCACCCCTGCCCCATCAACTTTTAGCTTGGCTGGTATGAGCTTTGGACAATGGTAAGTGAGCAGATGCTTTAGGAGCCATTGCATGTCTCCGCTAGCTCTCTGGCTCTTTTCCTTCTGACACAAGAATAGCATATCCAAATAGGAGCTGCATCCAGGAATGAAGAATGAAGACAGATAGAGAAAACCCGCAACCCACTCACAGCCATCCTAAGCAGGCATGTAATGTAAGTGAGAAGTAAACATTTGCTTTCCTATGCCTCTAACATTGGAGGGTTGTTACTGCAGCAAAGCCTACCAAATACAATAACCAAAGGCTTGACCATGTGTTTCCCCAACCTCAGCAAACCAGGCTGCACTTCTTCATGTCTCCCATCTCTAAGTCTTCCTCCAATATCGTTCGTGTCACAAATAAGGAAGCTTACAAATCTTCCATGGCTCCTTATTTTAAATGTGAAACTTGTCTATTTCCAAGGCAAGCCTATAGTCTAATTTCTGTGTCAAACTTATTTTCTGTTTTTACTCCACACAGCCTCCATCACTAGTTGAGCCAGTTTCCTCATTGTCTCACAATCTCTACACATCTGCTTAGAGCAGTAGAATACAGTGGTTAAAACTAGCTTCTGGATTCAGCCTGGGACTGAACCCAGGTCCCAGTGCCAACTAGCTGGGTAACCTTGAACAAGTTACTCAACCTATCTAAGCTTCAATTTCCTTAAAATTGGATAATTCAAGAAGGATAATAAGAGTACCCAACTCACAGGGCTATAATATTAACTGATGTTAGGCATATAAAATGCTTAGTGTGGTACCTGTCTCATAGTAAATGCTCAAGAAGTGATAACTGGTTGTTGCTTTTATCTGGAATGCTTTTTTGCCTTCTGACTTATCTCAATCCTAACCAAACTTCAACTTTGAGTTCAAAGTTTATTTCTCTATGAAGTCTTCCCTTACAATTTTTTTGATAGTGTCTTTTACTTTCTCATTGTTGTTTCCTGTGAATTAGGCTATCCCTGGTTCTAATCTTCTTGAAGGCAAACAGTGAGTTAAACCTACTCTGTATCCTATAGGCTGAGGACATCATGGCTATCCAGTCTAATTAATCGATAATATTTACCCTGTTGAGGTTATTCATTTTGAGAGCCAGTTATTTTTTTGGAGGGGTGGTGATAGGGAGTAGGGGTGCAGTCAGTGCAGAAATGGCCATAGTTTTAATAGAATATTACTTTTAAGCAGCTCTGAAAATTGTTGACATCTGTCATGTCATCCAAGTCTTTTCCTAAATAGACCTAAAATTTGAAAGAATCCTGTAGTTATAACAAGAGGTTTGGTGTTAAGATAAAAACATATTAAGTGAGGCTTGTACTGGGATTAGTTTTCTTTTCTTTTTTTTTAATTTTTAATTTTTTTATTTCAATAAGTTTTTGGGGAACGGGTGGTGATTAGTTACATGAGTAAGTTCTTTAGCGGCGCTTTCTGAGATTTTGGTGTACCCATCATGGGGTTAGTTTTCAGTGTAAACTCAAGAGTGACCCTCAGTATTGCTGAGTTTAATCAGGGGAATTTTGAAAGAGAAGATCATTCCTAGCTAAATAAAGTGTATGTTCTGCCAAGGTCAAGTTGTATTATTTGAGACCCACTGCTGAGTACTTTATTAATTATTTTCAGATTGGAAAATAAAATTACAGCTTTTCCAGGAAACTCTGGGAATCAATTTATTTTAGTAGGGGAATAGGAGCAAGGAAAAGCAGCTTGCCAATTCTATGCAACTGTGAAGAACAGGGAATTACGAAAAGCTTGCTGTATGAGTCATAGTTAGAGTAAAAATCCTTGCTTCAGGGATTAACATCTACATAAGTTATGGACAAAATAAGTAACTGGGGCTCCATATGGATATTTTATTGTCCATTCTAATTTGTATCAATCACTAAAAAGAAAGGATCACATGATACAAGCATATCACTGATCCATCTGTAATTATGAAATCGAAAGTAATTTTAGAAAGTACTACCCTCAACAGAGAACTCATTTATTTATTTAGCTGTGGCTAGGAAGCTGTCCTAGAGCTGGGAGCTACTGTTGTAGCTAGATTAGATTAATGAATTACCACAAAATCTGACTGAAATAACACTGGTAAAAATAGACAGTGGATATGTTCAAGGTAATTGATAATTATAGTGGGAGAAAAGAATGTTGAACATTTTTATGAGAAAATTATGTGTTCAATGGACATATTTTAATAAACACATAAAGAATGTTGAAAATGAGTGATTAATTGTAACTTATTTTTTAAAAGTATGAATCTATGTGTGAAGGTTGTAGGAATATATAGGTTAAACCAAATAATGGTAGAAGAGAAGATTACTTCAAAGAATAGGATATTATAAAGCCATGTTTATTAGCTTTTGTCAGAGCAGTGCAGCACCATTCAATTTATTCATTGCTTTATGTTAGATAGTTCTCAAGAGACTGAAATCCACTATTAAGCTTACTGATTTACATGCAAATAGTGGTCTCTTCTCCCAGTTGTATATAGACTAGTATTTGTAAGGACTTTGTATTTTGCCCAGAAATGTTTTGCACTTATTTTTAAAATTAGTTAAAATAAACGTGCTCCCTATTATACATTTTAAACCAAAAATCTATACCTTTAAAAATAACAGATTTTGAAATGCAGCAAATGGTACATGTGCAGAAACATCTATACATATACAACATAATTGCTGGCAATCAAATTGCTTGCCCATCAGAACAAGCAAATGATGTCTGTTTTACTCCAGATTCATGGGTGCTGTCTTCATTAGGAATGTTAACTTATCAAAACATAATTTGTTGTACCGGAAAATTACTTTTTAAATTTCCTTAGGTGTATGATAGATTTTGAAAAACATTATTTTGATGTGTGAGTTTAAATCAAGGCAGCTAAATTAGATGAGATTGAGAAGTAAATATTCGAGTTCTTCTATATAGATAGGTGCTGAGAGTGGCATTCGTGGTTCAAAGATGGGAAAGTTCCTGCTAGCCCTACAGTTACTCATAGCTGAGTGTGAGAGAGTGACATATAGCTCTGTGCTGTGAGTGCAGTGTGGTAAGTCATAATGGTAGAGAAGGATGTCTACACTGGGAATCACATAGCTTTCTGAAAGGGTGTGCTGGAATCAAATTTTAAAGAATGAATAAAAATTAGTCAGGTGAAAATGCCTTCAGAAAGTGTTCAGCATGACACTAGCAGGAAAACAATAAGTAATTCCACTGGGCTGTAGGAGTAGGAGTAAGTGGCATAAGATGAGGCCAGGAGGCAAGAGAGGAGCAGACTGTGAACGGACTTGTGTGACACCACTGATAGTTAAGAGGCACTTGTGAAGGTACTTAAGCAGGGGGTGGCATGATCAGCTGTGCAATTTAGAGGGGTCTCTAACAGCAGTGCAGAGGATGGTTGGGGGACACAAAATGGAGTCAGGGAAGGCAGTGAGAAGGTGGAGCCTCAAAGCAGTAACGCTGACAATATAGAGAAGACAGGATGGATCCAAGAGATGTTAGGGAGGTAAAAAGTCCTTGGCCTAGCCTATCATCTCTATTTATAATTTCCGTATCTGTAAAATGGGAATACTATTCCTACTGTGTACTCCATAGGTTGTGTTGGAAGGATTAAATGTAAAGCACCACTTAACATAGGGCCTAGTACGTAGAATACATTTCATAAATATTAGCTTATGATATGTCATAATACATCAGCAGAATGGGGTAACTGATGGGAAGAAAGCAAGAATGTAGTCAGCGCAGGCTGTTGAAGAAGTAATGAGTGAATAGCATTATATTCTGAGATAGGTAATTTTAGAGGAAGGATTGATTCTGAAGGCCAGAAGCCAGATTGTAGCAGGTTCAGGAATAAAATTTAGAGTGAAGAATTATAGAAAAGATAGATGACTCTAACAAGATATTTAACTGTGAAGGGAAGGAGGAAAATAATATCATAGCCAAAGGGAGATGTTTGATAAGTTTTTTTGTTATTTTATTTTTGTTTTTGTTTTGGGGTATTTGTAACATATAAGACTATGTGCAATCAAGTCAAGAGTCCAGAAGTAGTGACAAGGGGTAGATTGGTATAATGAACCATGAGATCTAAGTTGAAAAAACAGGAATGCAGAAGAGAGCTGATATAGAGGCAGGGATTAGAGTTACTTAGGACCTGTCTGGAAAGAATAAGTGCATTAACAATGAGATGAGGGTGGAGAGTGGGAGTTGGGAGAATCAGTTTGTAGTTACAGTGTGGGACATGGGAGTTTACATTCTAGATATGGCAAAAATATGATAATGGGAGTTGATTGCAGAATGGTGTAGGTCATCGGAACTGAGGAAGCCAAGAAACTGGGATGTGGGAAGAATCAATATCACTTACACTGGAATTGTCGGAAGCAGAATGGGAGTGGGTGGAGGAGGGAGAAACAAAGATCCCAGGGCAAGTGCCATAATCTTCAACCAATGAATCCAGTAGTGAGTCACACAGAGACACTCAGTATGAGTTTCAAAGGACATATTTTTAAATTAGGGTAAAGAAACAGTGGCTTGGAAAAGGCTATAAGAACACAAAGACTGACTGTCTTGTGCATATTATGGTGAGTGGAGAGAGGAAGACCGAGCAGCCTCTACATCTAAGGAAAGGGCTAGTGGGGATGTCAAGGGGGAATATGAGCTGGGAGCACTACTTGGGTGAGAGTAAGTGAAAAGACATAAGAAGGTCTCTCTCTTTGAGTACTGATGAAGACCGGCAAGGATGAGAGGCATAGTAGAGTTAACTGGTCCCAAACTTCCATTCTGATAAGGGCAGAGGCACTGGAGAATGTCAGCAGCCTGTGGCCTAACGGACAATATATTCAACTCTATTTTGTATGCCAGTGTTTTGTTTCTTTTTCTCTTCTGCTTCCAGTGTTTTTCCTATTTCACCGTGTATTAGCATTTCAGCCAGATATTTGAGGGAGAGAAATAGTGAGAAGAAATGAGCATACAATCAGGAGATGATTGCATATTGTCATGAAACCTTAAAAAATTGTTTTTGTTAAATAACTGCTGCAAAAGTTGATATTATCTAATGGCCTGATCCAAACAAAATGGTATTATAAGTAGGAAGACCGCTTTTCTTTCTTTTTTTCTTTCTCTTTCCCTCTCTTTTTCTCCTCCTTTCCATATAAGACACATATATTGAGTTTTAACTACCAAAGCACTGTTCTTGGTTGTTGGTAGGGTAGAGGGTAAAGGGTGGTATAGAATGAACAGAACCTGGTTCCTACTCCTAAGATTGTTATAGATAAGAAAACAGACTTGTTAATATTCATAATATATATAACTATAATATACAACATAATATAACTATAATGCCAGAAAAACATAGACTAAAATGAGGGAATGAATGATATCTTATGGAAGTATAGGGGAAAAACAAAGAATATGAAATGCTTTATGAATTAGTGTGTTTTAGTGGGAATTTTGGTTCTGAGATAGCAATAACACTTCCTAAATTTCAAAATCTAGGTGACTTCATATATATATAGGATTTACTTTGGTTTTCTTTCAACAGCATGGATAATTGACATACAAACAATATATGATATTTAAATGCTATTGCTATTGAGTGGTTCACACTAATGTTATGACCCATTAACACTTAGGAATAAGCCCTGAAGATGATTAAAGGAGTTATAGATGATTCAGAAGTATCTGCGTTGTTTTTGCATGAATGTACGTGAACTTATGGTTTGTGGCTAATCATTGATATGTGCTTAAAGAATAGAGATATTTGTTCTCAGAGAATAGAAGGTTTCAAGTATATGTCAGATTTTTAGAGGAAGGATGCTATAGCCATCTTCATCTATCTCAAGACAAGAGCTAATGATTAATTGTCTATTTAGCACTATTGGGGTGACAGTAAGTGAAATGTGTCTATATAGCACAACAATCCCAATAAAAAGAATCATTCATATGTGTATTTATTCATTCAGTTGTCAAGGGTTCATTGAGTATCTTCTATGTGCTGGAAATCACACCAAGCTTTTGTGGAAACAATAGTGAGCAAAACCAGACAGGATTTGTCCCCTCATGAGGCTTGAGGAAGATAGAGTGTAATCACATTTTCACAAATAAACAAAAAATTGCACCTGTGAAAAATACCACAAGGGAGAAGTCCAAAGTGTTAGAAGAACTAGTAGTTAATTTGATCCACTCAGGGAGGTTAGGCAAGTGTTCACCAAGGAAGCAAAATGGAAGATCTAAACAATGATTAGACATTAAACAGGGAAAGGGGCTGCGGACTGAAAATGTCTTCAGGCTGAAAGAGTATTAGTGATTATGAAACTGGAGAAAGACCATGGCACTGGAAGAGAGTGCAAGTAGGACTGGGTGTGGGGTGAGATTTGGGATGGAAGGAGCAGCCAGATTGCTTGGGGCCTTGTAGTTCTTCACTCTGAAGGCAAAATACACAGCAAGTAAACTCCATTTTTGTTAATATATTTTACCTTAATATAGATACATCTCAAGGCAAATGCCTTCCCAGAAATAAAATGGAAAAGACATTATTATGGTAGAGTATTTTAACAGAATACAAAAAATAATATTCTTCATTTTTTTTATTTTCAATAAAGGCAAGATAGCACACCTCTTCTTCACTCATAAAATAAATAAGAGGAAAAATAAGATCTGTAGCTCCTATCTTGTTTATCCTAATCAGGATTAGCTTTATCCTAATCAACAATCTTATATTCAACCTTAATGATATTTCATTAGCTTCTCAGAACCACCTTTCCTGTCTAGGTCTAATTATATCTAATGTAATGTATCTCAACTCACTATATTAAATCATTTTTAAAAAGCATTTTAAAAACATTTTAAAATCACTCCAGAGCTTTGATTTAGGCCCTAGAGAGGAATGAGTTCTGTTATTTCTTTTTGGGGTCCATGATCTGCCAATTTTCTTCTCAACGTGTCTTTTATTCTCATATTTTAAGGAAATGAAAGTAAACAATTTTCTTTTGTAACAATTGATAAATGTCTATGTAAATAAAATGCAAATGTAAACACCTGTTGTAATCAATTCTTAAAATAAGCCAGTTATTCAACATGCCTCACATTGTAAATAGAGACCAACTTGCTCTTGCCTGTGCTCACATTAGCCCTTACAGATAACCCTCGATTGACTGAGAATCTTAGGTACCTCCAGTAGTATATTCTGATATCCTTTTATACTCCAAAGAGATCAAGGTTCTAAATCTTATGAATGCTAAGCTTCAAAGAATGTGATTCAGAAATGACACAGAAATACTACTGAGAATCTGTGTAATAGTAGCATAGGACTCTGTTACAGAAATATGCAAACAAAAATGTACAAACAAAGAAATATACAAACAAAAGTCTGAAGATGTAAAATACATAAGTGAGGAATCATTAGCTGCTGCCATTTCCCTTTGATGACCTTTTGGTGATGTGTTTTCATAAACTACTGCAATTGGATGTACCACCTAGAGAATCCTCAGATTTCTTTCAAGGCACATCATGGATACCATATTTAATGAGACTGCAGGAGAAATAGATTACTGCTCTTCTACTCTCTGGAAGGTCGTTGTGAATTTTTTTTTCACTGAAAATGTTTTGGGACTGATAAAAACATGCCCATTCTCCATCTATGATGGTAATGAGTAATCAGGTGTGCATTTGATTAAATCTGGTATGCTTAGTGTTCAGAGGGTAGAACTGAAAGCAAAAGAAGAATGCAAATTATATAAATGGAAGAAGTGGAATATACAATAATATACAATACAAGAAAGGAAATCAGAAAACTAGGACCTTTTAGCCAAAGAAAAAGAAAATTTTGACTGGGTGTGGTGGCTCACACCTGTAATCCCAGCACTTTGAGAGGCCGAGATGGGAGGATTGCCAGAGCTCAGGAGTTCAAGACCAGCCTGGGCAAAATAGTGAAACCCTGCTAAAAAAAAAAAAAAAAAAAGAAAAGAAAAGAAAAGAAATTTTCTTGCTGTTTTTTAAGTAAAGCTGAAGGACTTATGTTAACTAAGTCTATTGGACTTAAGATTTGGGCTTGTTTCTAAGAGCAATGAACAGAAACAATGGCTTCCAGAGGACAATCCTTGAAGACTGGTGATGGAGACTGGTTGAATTTCATGTGGTCCCTAAATTTTACCCTGAGAGAAATAACAAGAGCTACAATTGGAACTTAAGGAAAGGCCAGTTTATTTGAGGAAACTAAAAATGGTGTAATTTTTAGGTATTTCCTTGATAAAATTGTGAAGAATGGGTACAAAAATTCCATCTAAGGAAAATGGGGGAGGGGAACACGTTTTTAGGGGATTGCATTTTAATGTGGAAAGAGAAAAAAATGAATATTCTTATGCTAGAAGTTGTTTTTGAAAATGTTCTCAGTGACTAGAGATTTGGAAATGGCAACTCGGCAAATACATGAAGATATCTTAAAGGAAAAAGACTGTTAACATTATTTTTCCAAAAGTATAACATCATT